>NC_000004.12:149830471-150133502 GCF_000001405.40 Homo sapiens | reverse complement strand
GATAGGTGGTTTTGCATTTCAGACCTGCTCACTGCTACCTATTAGTTGAAACTCAAAGTATGTTCAATGCTCATTATTCACAGATTCTGTAAGTACAAGTTCACCCTACTTGCTAAAATTTATCTTTAATCTCAAAATCAATATTTGTGGTACTTTCGTGGTCATTCTCATACATGCACAGAGAGGTAAAAAATCTGAGTTGCGCTGTGCACATCAAGGTGAGGTTAAGGTGATGTTCTACCTTGTTTCATTTCTCATATGGTAAACACGTGTCCTTTTCACGGTCTTTTCATGGTCATGGCACATTTCTTTGACCTTTTTGTTGGTGATTTAGCTGTTTAAAATGGTCCCCGGGCATAATGCTGAAGTGCTATCTGGTGTTCCTAAGTGAAAGAAGTTTCTGATGGACCTTATGGAGAAAATACATGTTAGTGAAGCTTTTTTAAGTCGTGAGTAATAATGATGTTGGCCATGAATTCAATGTTAATCAATCATCAGTATACATTAACTATGGTGGCTTTAAACAGAAGCACACATAAAACAAGCTTGTATATTGACTGGTTGATCAAAATGTTAGCTGGGCATGGTGGCTTATCCCTGTAATCTCAGCACTTTGACAGGCTGTGGTGGGAGGACAGTTTGAGCACAGGAGTTTGAGACTGGCTTGGGCAACAAAGTGAGACCCCGTCTCTACAAAAAGTAAAATAACTAGCCAGGTACGGTCTCTATAAGAAATTTAAAAATTAGCTGGGTGAAGTAGCATGTGCCTATAGTCCCAGCTTCCCAGCTACTTGGGAGACTGAGGCAGGAGGACTGCTTGAGCCCAGGAGTTGAAGGCTGCCATGACCCATGATGGTGACACTGCACCCAAGCCTGGTTGACAGAGCAAAACCCCGTCTTTAAAAAAAAAGTTGTGAACAAAAGGCTCTTAGGAACTGAACCCTGTATTTCCTCTAGGAGCAATAGCTTAGTATTTGTTAATTCAGTGTTTACACACAGAACACAACTACCATGAATAGTGAGAATCAACTGTACCATCCCTGGCATTGAAAGCTCTCTAATCTTTTGCTTGCTCTCTAAAATGAAACCTCTCTACACTGCATTCTGCATAGGGTTCAGTCCCACCAGCATACTTTGATTCACAGTCCACATTACCCACTGAATTTTAAATTTCCTCTTGTATTTTGTGGCATACAATCCAGCACTTGAATGCTAGCAGAAGTCAACTACTCCTCTGAGAATGACGTTCCCATTAACAAAACCACCTGTGTGCAGAAGGGAATGGAAGGAGCTGCCCCTCTTCTTAACACTAGATGGTTGGCAGGGGTATGTGAAGAGGAGGGGATAGCAGCAGCCAACTTGCATGCCCTTTCTTCCATCTAAGCAAAAGGCAAGGCAGCCCTTCTATGCCTCACAAGACCTCAAGAGAGCACAAGGATACCACAGCTTATCCTCACACACAGGGCTGCCTTTATGGATGTGCAAATTGTACAGTCATATACAGCCCGAGGCTTGGTTTAACATACTGTTGCTGTCTTGAATGTCTTAGTAATTCCTGAACAAGGGGTCTGCATTTCCATTTTACACTGTGTCCCACAATTACATAGCCAATTCTGCCCACAGGACCCCTACAGTATTACAAAAGGGGTTAGTCTCAAGAAAGGGAGGCTCACTTCTGCTGAGGATGAGTCAGGGAAGGGCAGCACACATTACCCAGGGAAGGAACACAGGGACCTGCCAAGATGCAACAAGGAAGTGACCAGTGTCTGGGAATGTCTCCCTAGGACTCCTACAGCATTTCAACCTCTAATAAAAAGAGCTTTTGACAAGGAACAGTGACTCTGGGACCCAGTCTCTCCAGTAACACCCAGGATTGTCCCAGGCTCAAATAAGACAGCCAATTCAACATTAAGAGGGGACCCCAATTATTTTCTTACAAGATATTTTCATGGGTTCCACATACTCCAGAAAATTTGCTCCAGTCACAATGTAGTTCTTCGTCACATTTTCTTGGGTCATATCAGCCTAACAGCAAAGTAAGATTTGCTATATAATGTAGGCTTACATTGTACTTAGGTAAAAACAATAGTTTTTCTTCATACAAAGAATATCTACTTTTTTAAAAACCTCCCACACAAGCAATTTGTGACATGTAATTCAACAAAAACATTTCTATTAGGCCAATGTTAAGGTGAAGTATGTATTTTTAATATCACATTTGTTTAATTTGCTCCTAGAAGAAAATGTACTAGGCTTTTTTTCTGCCTTAACACAATGGTGAGCTGCCATGTGCTCTTAATAAAATGATCAAATGAAGCCAGGCACAGTGATGCATGCCTGTAATCCGAGCTACTTGGGAGGCTGAGGCAGGAGGATGGCTTGAGTCCAGGAGTTTGACGCTGCAGTGAGCTATGATCACACCACTGCACTCCAGCCTGGGCAACCAAGCAAGATGCTGTCTCTAAATAAAACAAAATGATCAAATCATTGTAGCAGCATACTTTTGGTCCTTGATATTTCCATTTGTTCAACATTTAGTGGCCCCTTAGGAAACCAGGACTTATTAAGAGTTTCTGTGCTAGGACCTGTAGCCAGCTACACAGGCTTGGCACCTGTATAAACAGCAATGAAGAAGCTTTTTAAAAATTCCATATTGCTCTCAGTGATCTCCAGTTTCGGTGGTCCAAGGTTAGAGATCTTGCTTTCAGTCTGGATTCTCTGCTCCGTATCCTCTGCCATGCTAGTCTAGATCACATCTAGAGTGAGCATGTCTCCTGACTGGTTATGCCGGTGGTCTTCCTTCTCTTTTAGCCTCAGTTCAGCTGGCAGAATGACCCCAAAGCAGTTTTCATTATATCAGTTTTGTCAAAAGCTGATATAGTCTTCACATAGCCCCCTGTTTAAACTTAACTCTCCATCTCCAAATTTCTCCCAGCTTATTTCCTACTATGTCCTCACATTATTCTCATTTCCCTTAGTACTGTCAACCATCTTTGTACTTGCTTTTCTGCTGCTGCTACTGCTGTACGTGCATGCATGTTCGTGTACATGTGTGGGTACGGGTGTGGCTGGGTGATGGATGGGAACAGTCTCTCTACTTCAGTCTCCCCAGTTCTAGCCCTGTTTGCATTCTATTTCTTCACGAACACTTCCCAACTCTTCTGGCTCACACTTCTGTCTTCTGGCTGGCTAGTAGTATCCACGAGCCTTTTGTCACTTCTCTCATTATGTGTTTTAGATTTCCTCATCAAATAGAGTTTGATGCCTGAAGAACAGGGACCTCACTTCATCTGAATGAGCTAGGCAGGTAAGGGGGGCTCTCAGTGAATACATATTAAGGACTTCTGAGCTCCACAGCATTCCAGATTCATTAAATAGACTGGATGTTTGCTCAAATAAATTATCCTATTAAAAACTTCCGTGCAAAACATCCACGAATTTAATCCCGTTCTCTCATTTTCCTATACAGTATCAGTGCTAAATTGCTCTAGATATAGCTCAAATAAGCCATTAACCAGGAACCATTATACAATATAATGTCACCAAATTCGCCTAAATATATTAGTACACAAACTGCAAATACAACTGCATGAAAAGCCAAATCATTAATGGAGATTAGGCACCTCTTCAAAAAAATTTCCTTTTCCATAGTTAAGAAATTTTTTATTTTGGGAAGACAGACTTCTGATTTTAAAAAATAAAGTATGGCTAGTTGTTCCATAGATCATTTTAATATAATATTTTAAATTAAATTATAGTAATTATTAAAATTATTATTATTTTTGAGACGGAGTCTTGCTCTGTCGCCAGCCTGAAGTGCAGTGGCGTAATCTTGGCTCACTGCAACCTCCGTCTCCTGGGTTCAAGCGATTTTCCTGCCTCAGCCTCCCAAGTAGCTGGGACTACAGGCACGTGCCACCACACCCAGCTAATTTTTGTATTTTTAGTAGAGACAGAGTTTTACCATGGTGGCCAGGATGGGTCTCGATCTCTTGACCTCATGATCTACCCACCTCAGCCTCCCAAAGTGCTGGGATTACAGGCATAAGCCACGGCGCCTGGCCATTAAAATTATTTTAATAAATTATTTTAAATAATCATTTTGATAACACATATGATTAGCCAAAGCGTAGAAGCATTTTCACTTATGTCAATAAACTGTATGTCACTTATGACATGACTGTCATAAGACTGTCATGACCAGTCTTATGAATACTGGACCATTTATTTTCTGTGGCACTCAAACAATTTTAAGGAAAAGTATTATTTTCTTTTGTTACCAAAAAGCATGTTTGTATTCATTTTTTGTTGTCACAGTGTCTGTTTTAAGTCATTCATAAATAAAATATCTTGTTGAGGGTAAAATACTGCAGTACTTTTCATACTGCAATAGCAGGTTTTCCCAAATATAATTGCACTTCACAGACACAGATAATGAATAGTTATGTCAGGTATATGCTAGTGAAAAATGTTCACAAGCTCAGTAGCACATATTAAAAGGTAGTGTTTACCCACAATGCTAGCATTACTTCTGAGTAATAGTCCTGATATCTGTTCTGCCACAAACTTCTCAAATAGTTTGATAACAAAAAGCACAGGGAAAGTTAATGCTCTTTTTAAACCCTAAAATTAGAAATAAAATCCCACTCCTTTCCAATCCTTATGAAGATTTTGTAAAATCTCCAACCAAATAATACTCTCTGTCCATGGACTTAAGACACTCCACTATCCTGACCCACTTTATCTTTTTCATTTCCTGCCAAAACCAAATCTTTACCCTATGAAACCAGTGGCATTTCTTTAGGAATGTCTGCTTCCTATCTGGAATAAAGTTTAGGAGCTACTTCCCATAAGCATTTAGGAAACTGTAAAATATGTTAAAAGTTTGAAATAATATTGTCTAAAACAGCTTCCCACATTTGGGGACATTCAATCTTTCAGGATTTGATCATCTTCGTAAACTCATTTCATAATCTCCAGAGTAAACTTTCTAAAATGCAAATTAATCCTCTTACAATTTCTCAAGGGTAACCCATAGCCCAATGGATGAGGTCCAAATCTCTTGGAAATGCATTGTATGCGCTACATAATCTTGTCCTTGCCTACCTATTTGATTTCAAACACCCACATTCTATTACACACACATATCTACACTCCTTACCCTGGCCATTTCAAAACCACTTGCTTTTCCCTTAATACTCCCATATCTTTCCTCTTTATATCCATCAAATTAAGTCATGGTTTCCCAACCTTGGCACTACTGATGTTTTGGGCCCAGTAACGCTGGCAATTCTTTGTTTTGGAGGCCTTTCCTATGCACTGTAGAATATGTGGCAGCATCCCTGGCCTCTACCCATTAATGCCAGTAGCATACCCCACCCTACGCCAGTCATAACATCCAACAATGTCTCCAGAAATTTCCAAATGTCTCCTCATGGGCAAAACTGCCTCCTGTTGAGAATCATGGAATCACGCAGTCATCGAATTTCTAGATGCCTGCAATACCCACAGCTCCTTCTGAGCCAAGTTCATTGCACTTAGGTTGCAGTGCCATATGACTCAAACCACAGCAACTGTTTAAAATAAAGTATGGGTGTTTACCTAAAAGCAGCCAGCTATAGGCAAGAATGTGGAGGCTAATGTTCTATAATGATGCTCTTATACTGGGCAATAACCAACCAACTCCACCAGACATATCCTAGTATCTAGGGGCTTAATGCCAAACACGCTGAAAGAGACAAAGAGTGGCATGGAAACCTGGAGATGTGTGCAAAGAATCAAAATCAGGAGTCTGTAGACACACACGGAGAGAAGGTGCAGCATTAGAAGAAACCTGAGAAGAGTAAACCTTGAGCAGTCACTGAGATACAGAATTGCTACTGTATTTTTGTTGGTCATACGGTCTAATCATGAACCTAACAAGGTTCCCTATAATCCTTACTCCCCATATATCCTTAAATATGTCAAAGGACACAGACTCCAACTTGAAGAAGCTCCCATTGACCACATCTGAGCCAGTAAAATGATAGTAAGGAATTATAACCCATACAATAAAATATTCTTTCATCCATACTGACATAAATAATTGAATAAGTAAGTAAATAGGGGAGAAGGGATAGCTCTTCCTTATCAAGTTAATAAATGTAGAAGGAAATGTGGAAATATAAAACTACTATTTGGCAAACACCACAGTAATAACTGGTGTGGGCAAGAACCATGAGTGGATACCAACATTAACGGGTGAAAGTATGATGAGAAACAAGGTATTGCACACTCTCAAAGTATTTCCCTGCAAGATATTCATTTCTATAAAAAAATTATAAATGTACAGGTGGAGAAACCTAGAAGGCACTTGCTTAACCAAGTGACCAACACTAACTTCACCAGTAATGAGATATATTGAGATCATATACCTTCTGTTATGATTCACTGAAAAGGCACAATATAACTTCCTTAGTATTGTTGCCAAAAATGCATAACCACAATGTATTCACAGGGGAATACCAGAGAACCCAAAATTGAAGCAAACGGTACAAAGCAACTAGCCAGAACTCTTCAAAAAGATCATGAGAGACAAAGACAGACAAAGGAACTGTTACAAATTAGAGGCTATTAAGGAGATATGACAAGTAAATCCATGTGGGATCCTGGATTGGATGCTGTACTAAAACAAAGACATTTATGAGACAACTGGCAAAATTCAAATAAGGTCTGTAGATCAGTTAATAGCACCAACTCTGTTGATTTCCTGTTTTAAATAACTACACTATGTTTACAGAAGATATCAGCATTACGGGAGGCTGGATGGAGGGCATATATAATCTCTGTGTACAATTTGTGCAATTTTTGTAAGTCTAAAGTTATTTCAAAATAAAAGCCAAAATATATTTTTTAAAAATTGTAAAGCCCTAAAAAAAGACCTAAAATACATATTACCATCTCCTGAGATATTCTTCCAAATTAAAGCACCAAATTAAAACCTATTACTCCACGGCCTGGAATATCCTTAACAAATCTGTCACCTCCTCTGTGAAGCATTTTTGATGCCTCTACAAAGAGTTAGCTTCCCTTCTTTGACCACAGTCTCTTGCATCACTGCTGGCTATTAATAGACTCACCCTGACTTAAAATTATTATTAGTTCTTGCATTTGTCTTTTCTACTACAATAAGAGTTCCTCAAAATACAGAGACCTTGTCTTACATATCTTTGTTCCTCATGTGTCTCGTAGAGTGCCTACCATAGAATAGGCACAAAATAATAGCTGAATGAATTAATTATTCATTAGCCAAAAAACATTTTCTGTCGTATCTTAGCCCGCTGCTCACAAACACTGTAAGAATGGCTTCTTAGAGGGGCAACTGGCAAAATTCAAAGGTCTGAAGATCAGTTGACTCCTTTGTGAGTCCACTCTCATAGTATCCAAACATGTTGAGACTGCCTAAAATACTGACTTTAATTTATTGCATAACTGTAACAATAAAGGAAATTTTCAGAAAGAAAAGTCATTCACAATCCTATCACTAAGACAAATTATTTTCTTTTTATATTATTTTATAGTATTGTCTACATGCATAACTATTTTTATTGTGGGTTTTTTGTGGTTTTTTTTTGAGACAAAATTTCACTCTGTTGCCCAGGCTGGAGTGTAGTGGCTCGATCTCAGCTCACTGCAACCTCCGCCTCCCGGGTTCAAGTGAGTCTTCTGCCTCAGCCTCCCACGTAGCTGGGATTACAGGTGCATGCCACCACGCCCAGCTAATTTTTTGTATTTTTAGTAGAGATGGGGTTTCACCACGTTGGCCAGGCTGGTCTTGAACTCCTGACTTCAAGTGATCCACCTGCTTCAGCCTCCCAGAGTGCTCGGACTACAAGAGTGAGCCACCGCGCCTGGCCACACATGCATAACTATTTTTAGATAGTCATTTTTAGATAGTTATAAACATAGGGTAGACAATTTTGAATTCAGTTTTCCCACTTACCAAACATTGGCTCAAAATAGTATATAAAACTTTGGAAATGTTTTACTTCTATATCATATTCTTTGAATATCATTGATGGTTGTCACTCTTCATCATTTGAGGGTGAATACAATAAAAGTTCTGGAAAAAGTTTAAGAAGCTAGTCAGAGCCAAGTCTATTGAATAAATAATTATACTACATAACATATTCTGGAAAATAGGAATAATTATAGAGTGGTAAAACTGATTTTTGAATCTTGGAAATGAGCCTTGAGAGCAAATAAAAAAATGTCCAGAGATTCATAAGATAAATGCATCCTGATTATATCCAACATGACAAATCAAAACCAAAGGACAAAAGTTCTTTGAATGTCTCTGTGGCATTCCTTATGTGGGAATACAACCATATACCTACCACAAGATGATCTTGAGAACGACATGACAACATGCATAGTCTGAAACAATACTGCTAGTAAAAACATTGGTGTCTTTCTCATCTCTAATGGCATTTGTCACTGTACCTGTGTGAAACTTGTCTCATAATGGAATTGTGTGTCAGGGGAAATAAATATATTTAAATCAAATTTTAATTTGTATTTTCTGGACTCCAATGCATGCAACCAGCTCCTTGGGGGCACAAATCATACTGACATTTTTCAAGTCTTAAAAGCTCAAGAAGTAATTAAGACATTGATTGGTACTGCCTAGGTGGGAATGCTCTGCAAGAGAAAATCACTTTTAACTTCCAGAAAAACTTTTAAACTTTCATCTTCTGTCTACATGTAAAATTTGGGCTACTGTATTAAGCTGAGAGGCATCTAAGATGTTAAAATTTGGATTAAGTTACTTAAGTGGGCTTTTATAAGTTTCCATTTATGCAACTTTTGGTTTTTGTAAAAACTTTTTAATTTGCATTTTCAAAATGGCATGTGACAGCCATAATATTTTACCACAAAAATATACAATGTAAAAGACTAGGTGTTTAATAAACTTAATGATTCAAAAATGCAACCATGTAACTAACGTCAGCTTCAGTATGCACTGATGCACAGATACTTAAATATCTTCCATAACTCATTCTTAAAATGGCATTTTAATGACTTAGAATGTGGGCAAACTAAAAGAACAATATTTTCAAATATAATCAAATGTCTTTATGTTCACATTATGAGAAGCCTGCCATAAACCACTACAAAACAAAAAAAGAAAATTTTAAATAAAATCTTCTTGAAAGTCTTAAGAGCCTGAAATGCATAAAGAAAAGCGAAATGCTCCTTCTGGGTGGGCGTTGCTTCATCGCTAACAGTCCTCAGGCTCAGAGAATTAAACTTCTGTGGAGGCAAATGTCTAATGACTACAGAGCTTTCCAACACTGTGCTGAGAGTCTGGCAGCTGCATCACACTACAATTAAATGTCCTAAAAATACACAGGGAGAATATTCATGAAAGTTTGTCTTGCTCTTTCAAGTGTGGCGCTCTTCTTTATTTAAAACCAAAAGTATGAGGTTAATTTTTTTTTTTTTGAGACAGGCTGGAGTGCAGTGGTGTGATCTTGGCTGACTGCAACTTCTGCTTCCCAGGCTCAAACGATCCTCCCACCTCAGCCACCCGAGTAGCTGGGACTACAAGCATGTGCTACCACACCCGGCTACTTTTTAATTTTTTGTAGAGATGAGGTCTCACTAATTGCCCAAGCTGGTCTTGAACTCCTGGGCTCAAGCACTCTTCCCGCCCTGGCCTCCCGAAGTGCTGGGATTACAGGCATGAGCCACCACACCCAGTCCAACGTTAATTTTTAAATCTGAAAAACTGCAGAGGGTTACTGAAAAGGCAAACACAGGGATATCTCTGCACTTCACTTTACTGCACTTCACAGACACTGAGCTTTTTACGAATGGAAGTTTCGTGGCAACCCTGTATGAGGCAAGTTCGCTGGCATCATTTTTCCAACGGCCTGTGCTCGCTTCACGTCTGTCATATTTTGATAATTTTCACAATATTTCAGACTGCTTTATTATTATTATAGCCATTAGGGTCATCTGTGATATTTTTTGATGTTACTACTGTAATCATTTTGGTGCGCCAGAAACTGCGCTCATGTAAGACAGCAAACCTAACCTATAAATGTTTGTGTTCTGATTTTTCCACCAACCAGCTGCTCCCTCATCTCTCTCCCTCTCCTTGGGCCTCCCTATTTCCTGAGATGTTACAACAATACTGAAACTAGGCTAACTAATAACACTACAATGGCCTCTAAGTGTTCAAGTGAAAGGAAGAGTCAATCTCTCACTTTAAATCAGAAGCTAGAAATGACCAAGCTTAGTAAAGAAAACATGTCAAAAACCAAGACAGGCCAAAAGCTAGGCTTCTTCCCCCAAACAGTTGAGTTATGAAGGCAAAAGAAAAGCTCTTGGAAATTAAAATTGCTACTTTAGTTATCACATGAATTAAAAGGCATATTGCTGATGTGGAGAATGTTTGGTTGGAAGAGAAGATCAATCCAGCTACAACATTCCCTTGAGCCAAAGCCTAATCCAAAGCAAGGTCCTAATTCTGTTCAATTCTATGAAGGCTGAGAGTGGTGACAAAGCTCTTACCTGATGCGGGCACAGAAGAAATGCTGGAAGCTAGCACAAGTTGGTTCATGAGGTTTAAGGAAAGAAGCCCTTGCTATGACATAAAAGTGTGAGGTGAAGCAGCGAGTACTGATGAAAAAGCTGCAGCAAGTTATCCAGAAGATTCAGCTAAGACAACTGATGAAGGTGTATACATTAAACAACCAATTTTTTAATTATACTTTAAGCTCTGGGATACATGTGCAGAATGTGCAGGTTTGTTACATAGGTATACACGTGCTATGGTGGTTTGCTGCACCTATCAACCCGTCATCCACATTAGGTGTTTCTCCTAATGCTCTCCCTCCCCTAGCCCCCCACCCACTGACAGGCCCTGGTGTGTGATGTTCCCCTCCCTGTGTCCATGTGTTCTTATCGTTCAACTCCCACTTACAAGGGAGAACATGTGGTGTTTAGTTTTCTCTTCCTGTGTTAGTTTGCTGAGAATGATGGTTTCCAGCTTCATCCATGTCCTTGCAAAGGACATGAACTCATACTTTTTTATGGCTGCATAGTATTCCATGGTGTATATGTGCATTTGCTTTATCCAGTCTATCATTGACGGGCATATGGACTGGTTCCAAGTCTTTGCTATTGTGAATAGTGCTGCAATAAACATAGGTGTGCACGTGTCTTTATAGTAGAATGATTTATAATCCTTTGGGTATATACCCAGTAATAGCATATATGCTCTATTGTTGAAATGACAACAAAGGATTTAGAATATTCCATAAACTTAGTTGATAAAGCAGCAGCAGGGCTCGGGAGGAATGACAAATTTTGAAAGAAGTTCTACTGTGGCTAAAATGCTATCAAATAGAGTAAAAGAAGCCAATGCTCATTTACCATTCCCCAAATCCTAAGGCCTTTAAGAATTATAGTAAATCTACTCTACCTGTGCTCTATAAATGGAACAACAAAGTCTGGATGACAGTGCATCTATTTACAGCATGGTTTACTGAATATTTTAAGTACCACTGTTGAGACCTACTGGAAAAAAAATTCATTTCAAAATATTACTGCTCTTTGACAATGCACCTGGTTATCTAAGAGCTCTGATGCAGAGGTACAGAGAGATCCATGTTGTTTTCATGCCTGCTAGCTCAACATCCATTCTGCAGCTCCTGGATCAAGGAGTCATTTCAACTTTCAAGTCTGATGTAAGAAATACATTTTGTAAGGCTATACTTGCCGTAGCGATTCTTCTGATGGATCCAGGCTAAGTAAATGGAAAACCTTCTGGAAAGGATTCACCATTCTAGATACCATGAAGAACATTTATGATTCATGGGAAGAGGTCAACAACATATCAACATTAACAGGAGTCTGGAAGAAGTTGATACCAACCCTGATGAATGACTGAGGGGGTTTAACACTTCAGCAAAAGAAGTCATTGCAGATGTGGAGGAAATAGCAAGAGAACTAGAATTAGAAGTGGAGCCTAAATATATGACTGAATTGCTGTAGTCTCTTGATAAAACTTCAATAGAATAGGAGTTGCTTCTAATGGATGAGCAAAGAAAGTGGCCTTGAGGTGGAATCTACTCCTGGAATAGATGCCATGAACATTGTTGAAATGGCAACAAAGGATTTAGAATATTCCATAAACTTAGTTGATAAAGCAGCAGCAGGACTTGGAAGGATTGACAAATTTTGAAAGAAGTTCTACTGTGGCTAAAATGCTATCAAATAGCATATCACACATTCTTGTGTTATTTTAAGAAACTGCCATAGCCACCCCCACCTTCAGCAACCACCACCCTGATCAATCAGCAGCCACCAACATCAAGGCAAGACCCTATACCAGCAAAAAGATTATGACTTGAAGGCTCAGATGATTGTCAGTATTTTTTTTTTAGACAAAGTTTCACTCTTGTTGCCCAGGCTGGAGTGCAATAGCGCAGTCTCGGTTCACTGCAACCTCTGCCCCCCAGGTATAAGTAATTCTTGTGCCTCAGCCTCCCAAGTAGCTGGGATTACAGGTGCCTGCCACCACGCCTGGCTAATTTTTTTGTATTTTTAGTAGAGATGGGGTTTCACCATGTTGGCCAGGCTGGTCTCGAACTCCTAACCTCAGGTGATCTGCCTGCCTTGACCTCCCAAAATGCTGGGATTACAGGTGTGAGCCACCATGCCCAGCCTGCAGTAAACCTTTTTAAATTAACGTAGGTACATTGTTTGACATAATGCTACTGCACACTTAACAGGCTACAGTATAGCTCAAACATAACTTATCTGTGCTAGGACGCCAAACATTTTGTGTGATGTACTTTATTACAATATTCATTTTATTTTATATTCACTTTATTGTGTCATTAACTTTATTGCAGCAGTGTGGAACCAAACCTGCCATATCTTTGAAGTATGCTTGTATGGACTGTAGCACTATTTTTCTCCAACAAGCAATTTTTAACTTAGATTCAATTAATTCCTCTTCTTAAGGCTGACCACTAAGAATACAGACACACATAGTTAAGCCTAGCCTTTTCTCTCTAGAGAAATCAATGACAATAAGGTTGAAAGTAAGCACTTCCTCCAACTAAACAGAACAGAGTAAAACAAGCCATAGGAGAGCTTCTTAAACTGCACAGTGACCCGCAAACTAGCTGGTCACATATAAAATTTTGAGTTGGGGTTTTACATGGAAGACAAGAACCACAGTTTATAATAGGCTACCAAAAGCTATTGTGAGTCCCCAAAAACTTCTCATTTACAAAATTAGAAAGCTGGACTAAATATTTTCCTGTATCGGTTATACATCCTAAAATACTATACTGACTTTGCAGCTGTCCTTGTTTTCAAAAGGCATGATGAATAAATGACCCTTTCATTAAATGTAATAAAATTTGTAAAGTAATATTATATATGACACATACTGGTACAAATTGCTATCAGCAGGCATTCATAATAAGATACAAAAACAATAAAACAAATTCAGAAGTTAGCCATGACCAAAAACATTAATTAACTTTTCAAAGCATCTATAACTCAATTCTGAGTCAAATGTCACAAAGCAAAAAGTCACTTGAATTCACTTTTAGGGCTTTTGGCATAGAGGCAAATGTTATAAAGCAAACATTTAATGAAATGGTAGGTCTTTTAGTTCAAGATTAAAGTGACAAAGTATCATAATGTGGGCTACTCACTAAAAAAAATTTTCTTCTTTTTTTTTTTCTCCCTGCTAAATATTTTCAGGATGAGTCAGTTGGTCTGTATTTGCATTGGGCATAAAATCAACATGCTAGTCAACTAGCTTTTTCTCTTTTCATTAAAGTAGTTTCTAGAGCAGAAAGTAGCAGAGGTGGAGGTGGTAAGAGGAATGCAGGCCTCAATTTACACAATAGGAATTTCACAGACTATGTATTCTTCCATAAAACAAATGAAGTGCGTGCACTGTACCTGGTTCATATCTAATCCATTTGTAAGCCTTTCCCAGGTATAGAAATACTGGGGCATATATCCATGACTTTACCAACTAGAACAACTTTTTGTCTACAGCTTTGATAGTATCTCTCAAATCACAAAATGCTTAAGAGTCTCTTCAAGTAACCTACCTCTGGGAATCTATCCTAAGGAAAGACAATGATCTAAAGCATGTTGAAATCTATGCACAATAAGTCGCTCAGAGGATAAAAGAAGGAAAAACTAAAAACACCCCTAATATCCACAGATAGACTGAATAAATCATGGTATATCTAGCCAATTTAACATTATTCAGTCATTCAGGTATGCGATATGAAGATGATACAACAACATGGAAGAGTACGGTAAGAAAGAACTCCAGGATACATGATTACATGGAAAAACCATGCTATTTAAAAAGTATGTGCACAAATGTATGTAACTGCATTAACACAATTGTTATTATTATTATTATTATTATATTATTATTGTTATTTTGAGACAGAGCCTCACTCAACTGTTGTCGAGGCTGGAGTGCAGTGGCGTGATCTCAGCTCACTGCAACCTCCGCTTCTTGGGTTCAAGTGATTCTCCTGCCTCAGCCTCCCAAGTAGCTGAGAATTACAGGTGTCCACCACCATGCCCAGCTAATTTTTGTATTTTTAGTACAGATGGTGTTCCCATGTTGGCCAGGCTGGTCTCTAAATCCTGACCTCAAGTGATCAGGAGTTCATGACCAGCCTGGCCAGGAGGCCCACCTTAGCCTCCCAAAGTGCTAGGATTACAGGCATGAGCCACTGTGCCTGGCCAACAAAATTGTTATTATTGATCCCCTTTAAGAAGCAGAGTGGGATCAGGAAAGAAAGGCAGATGTGAACAGACTCTCAGTTTTCGTATTTCTGAATTGTTTACATTTTTCTAATGCAAATGTACTTGAGCATTTTTCTTGTACAGTATACATGTATACTGTATATGAAAATATGTATAGGAATAGTCAATTATAAAAATATAGCATTAAAATTGAAAGATTTTTTTCTGTATTTTCTAAATTTTCTGAAGCATCATATTCCCTAATTTTAAAAATTAAATCTATAAAATAACTCTAAGGGTCATCCTTTTGTCTAGTACTAATCACTCTTTAATCTACTTTTTCATTTTTCAGATCCTACTCAAAGTATAATTTTGCAACACAACTTATTACACAGGTTTTTTATCTGGTAAACACCAAGTGAAACTGCATCACTCTAAAACCTAAAACAATTTTTTTTTGAAATCACCTGATTAGCTTATTTGACCTGTCCCTCGTCATTACCATTGAAGCATCTCCCAGAGCCTGATCAGCTTATTTGACCTGTCCCTCATCATTACCATTGAAGCCTCTCCCAGAGCCTGATCATAGGGGCTTACAGGACAGCCAGGAAGAGTGTAGGGTCCAGAATCACACTTCCTGGGGATGAATCCTAGCTCCATCGCCAGTTGTGTAATTCTGAATAGGTACTTGAATTTTTTGGCCTCAATTTCCCCACTGTAAAATGGGAATTACAGTACCTAACTCTCAAAGTTGTAAGGATCAGTGGAGAATATGAATATACAATTTTTCCAAGATGGTGGATTGTTTGCATGCCTCTACCACGTGAAAAGACAAAATAGTGTGTGGTGATTCATGCTGTGAACTTTTTTCCAAGAAGCAACAGAGGAACTTAACATGAAAACTGAAAGAAACCACAGACCCTCTGAAAAAAGCAGTGGGCTGCAGCCTACACTATGAGCCAGGTGGAAAACTATAAGCACCTACCCAGTGCTGGAGCTGGTTTAGTGAGCAGTGGGGAATATATGAGAAGCAGTGGCATCAGGACGGGCTTTATATGCATTCCCAGACTCCAGCGGGGATGGAGGGAAGCCATTTCTGATCCCACCTCACAGGGGACCTTGCAGAAGTCGGCCAGCTAACTCAGACAGCAATCACAGGTTGAGAGAAGCTCCTAACTGAGATCTGCGATATAATCTTAAGGGGGGGATGAACCCCTTTGGCCAGAACCAAGGGGTGAGTGGGAAGTGTGCTGCAGCCATGAGCACAGGAGCTGGGCACCCCTGCTTCATGGGCAGACCAAGAAGGGCATAGCCTGAAAGCCCTGGTTTCCTTCTCCTCAAGGAAGGCTTATGGCCTGAGGCATTTTTGAGTTCTGAGCACAGATTGCCTGGAACCTAGCTAGCTGCTGCTAGTGGAACACTGCCTACGAGAGACCTGCCTTGCCAAGTGCGTGGGAGCTGGTGGGAATTACTGCCGTCTGCTATTCCCCACTCCCCAGGCAGATTCTTCTACACAGCAGATGCAGCTGCACTCCTCCCTGGACCATTACCCCAGTAGCCAGAGAACTGACCCCTGATCCCCACTGGGGCCACTGCTTGCACCTGCACATGAAAAACCAGAGTGCAGTCCTGCCTTATCCAGCCCCCACCTGGCATTGTCCCTCCACCCACCCTGGTAGCTTAACACAAAGAACAGAAACTTTTGGAAGCCTTATGGCACTGCCCATCGCCTAAGACACCAGAGTATCTCCCCTGGATAACATATGGCAAACACAAATCCCACCACCACCACCACAGCTGGCACTCTTTTGCACTCTGGGAGTCAACCAACATAGCCAATACATTACAGCATCTCCAGGTAGAAGAACACAGCACCCAGGAAGGGAAAAATGTATGTGTAACCTCACCTATCACCATGGCCTTCATCACCCTGGCTAACCAAGAGGCCCTGACTCTGTCCACATAACCAGTTCATTACTACTACAATCTGGCATTTGAGAAAGCCAACACACTAAGGCTATTTATAACCAAGGAATCTTAGAGTCTATGTCACTCCCCTGCCACCTCTATCAGCGCTGGTGCTGGTACCTGCTGCTGCGACACTTGAGGACCAGTCACATCACTGGATCCCTTGAAGACATTCCCTAGCACCAGCCTGGAGTACCCACTGGGTAGCTAGACCTAGAGGAGCAGCAGCATTCCTAGTGGTCTGATCCTCAGGGACTCCTACTTCTAGGGGAAGGACACATCACATGGGACAAAAGAATCCAAACACAGGCCTTGAGTCCCTGAACTTTCCGCTTGTGGGAAGTTTCAGCAGAGGCATAGGCGCAGTGCCGGGCTCAGCAGGGAAAGTCTGCACCTCTACCCCAACAGCCAGGAAGCCCTGGTGCTTGTGAAGGATCTTGGAGAAGGGAGTGCTTCTTCTCCCCCTCACCTACTGCTGAAGACACAGCAGGGGCTTCTCCCATGGGAGCTCAGCATGGATACATACACCTGTAGACAGCCCTTCTAGAACCCTTCAGGGTGACTGCATCCCCACAGGAGGAGTGCCCTCCAGGTTCAGGCTTGCACGAGGTATAAAGTCACAGTTCCTCTCTACATAGAACAGCAACATGCCTGCAGATGAAAAGAGGTGCCTGTCTGATCTGAATAGCTGAACACTGGGTCAGGAATGTAACTGGGAGGTGGATCACTTTCCTGCTGGTGTGGCAGGGAAGCAGAGTTGGCTCCCTCCCTTCCCTTTGAAAAGATTTCAGCAGTTTCACTGAGAGCTCCCCTGGCTACCTCCATCAAAGCTGGGACCTCTGTTCACCACTGGATATTACATTTACCCACCTGCTTTAGCCATGACCGGTTTTTAACCATGGATACTTCCCCTACTGGCCTGAAGTCTGAACTGTTCAACTGAGTAAACAAAATACTGCGGAAAATAAATTAATTAAAAACGGTACACCACTAGGGAATGAGATAAGCTTCAAGAGACCTCTGCCATTTCAATCCTACAGCAATCAACCTGGTCACACACCAAGCACATTGCTAATACAACCATCTGAGAAAGCCATCATACAAAGACTCTCTATAACCAAATAACTCATACAGTGTCTTCATCCCTGAAAGAACCAAGAGCCAAGTCAGGCTACAATAAACATTAAAGTCACATTCTCAAGGGAAAAAAAAACCCCACAAAAATAAACAACTGAAACAAAAATAAATTCAAGAAAAATTAGTCTAACCCAATGAAAAGGAACCAGAAAAATAATTCCGGCAACAAAACAGGGTTCTATAACACCTTCAAAAGATCACACTAGCTCTTCAGCAATGGATCCAAAATAAGATAAAATATTTGAAATACTAGATAAAGAATTCAAAAGGTTATTAGCTACACAAGGAGATACAAGAGAAAGGCAAAAACCAACAAAAAGAAATTTTAAAAACCACTTATGATATGAATGACAAATTTTGTAAAGAGATAGCTATTTTAAAGAAAGCCAATCAGAACTTCTGGAAATGAAAAACACATTTAGGGAATTACAAAATGCAGTGGAAACTTTTAACAGACTAAAGTAGAATAATTTCAGAATTCAAAAACAAGGCTTTCAAATGAATCCAACAAGGAAAAAGTAATTAAAAGAAATGAACAAAGCCTCCAGAAAATACAGGATTATATAAAATGGCCAAACTTAAGAACCATTGGTATACCAGAGGGAGAAGAGAAAGCAAAAAGGTTGGAAAACTTATTTGAAAGAATAATTAAGGAAAACTTCCCTGGCCTTGCTAGAGATTTAGATATCTAAATACAAGAAGCTCAAAGAACTCCTGGGGGATTCATCACAAAAAGGACATCACCAAGGCATACAGTCATCATGCTATCTAAAGTCAACACAAAGGAATGAATTCTAAGAGCAGTGAGACAAAAGCATCACGTAACCTATAAAGGACAACCTATCAGACTAATGGAAGACTTCTCAGCAGAAACCTTATAAGCCAAAAGGGAGTGGGGTCTTATTTTTAGCCTCCCTAAACAGAATAACTGTCAGCCAAGAATTTTGAATCCAGCAAAACTGTCATAAACGAAGGCAAAATAAAGTCTTTTTCAGAGAAGCAAATGCTAAGGAAATGTTACTACCAGACCAGCCTGCTAAAAGAAGTTCTAAATCTTGAAACAAAGGGTCAACACACCCCATAATAGAACCTCTTGACAGCATAAAACTCACAGGGCCTATAAAAAAATACCACGATGAAGAAAAGTATCTAAGTGATAATCAACATGACGACTGGAACAGTACCTTACATCTAGTAACAACAGTACCTTACTACTAGACCTAAGAAAAGAGATAGACAGCAACACAACAACAGTGGGAGAACGCAACACTCCACTAACAACACTAGACAGGTCATCAAGGCAGAACGTCAACAAGGAGACACTGGATTTAAGCTACACTCTAGAACATATGGACCTAACAGATATTTACAGAACATTCTATTCAATAACTACAGAATATACATTCTTCTAATAAGTACATGGAACATTCTCCAAGATAGACCATATGATAGGCCACCAAACAAATCTTAATAAATTAAAAAAAAATCAAAATTACTTCAAGTATCTTCTCAGACCACAATGGAATAAAACTAAAATTAACTACAAAAAGAACCCTCAAAACTATACAAATACACAGAAATTAAACAATCTTCTCCTGAATAATTTTTGAGTTAACACTGAAATCAAAATGGAAATTTAAAAATTCTTTGAAATGAGTAATAGTGACACAAGCTGTCAAAATCTCTGGGATACAGCAAAAGCAGTGCTAAGTGGAAAGTTTACAGAGCTAAATGCCTACATCAAAAAGTCTGAAAGATCACAAATTCACAACCTAATGTCACACCTCAAGGAACTAGAGAAATAAGAACTAAACCAAAAGCTAGCAGAAGAAAATAGAAAATAAAGATCAGAGCAAAACTAAATGAAACTGATATAAAAAAGACAATACAAAAGATCAATGAAAAAAAAAAAAGGTTGGTTCTTTGCAAAGATAAACAAAAATTAACCATTAGCTAGATTAACCAATAAAAGAGAGAAGATTCAAATACACTCAATTTGAAATGAAAATAGAAACATTACAACGGACACAACAAAAATAAAAATGATCATTCAAGACTACTATGAACATCTCTATGCATACAAACTTGGAAATCTAGAGGAAATGCACAAATTCCTGGAAACACACAACCCTACTAGCTTGAATCAGAAAGAAACAGAAAACCCTGAACAAACCAGTAACTAGTAGTGAGACTGAATCAAAATAATACAAAAACTGCCAACAACAACAAAAAAACCTAGGGCCAGATAGATTCACAGCCAAATTCTATCAAACATTCAAAGAGGAATTGGTACAAATCCTATTGAAACTATTCTAAAACACTGAGAAAGAGGGAATCCACCCTAACTCATTCCATTAACCCAGTACTAGCCTGATACCCAAACTAGAAAAGGACATAACAAAAAGGAAAACTACAGACCAATATCCCTGACGAACACAGATGCAAAAATCCTCAACAAAATACTAACTGAATCCAACAACACATCAAAAAGATAATTCAGGCTGGGCACAGTGGCTCACAGCTGTAATTCCCAGCACTTTGGGAGGCCGAAGCGAGCGGATCACCTGAGGTCAGGAATTAGAGACCAGTCTGGCCAACATGACAAAACTCTGTCTCTACTAAAAATACAAAAACTAGCCAGGTATGGTGGCATGCACCTGTAATTCCAGCTACTTGGGAGGCTGAGGCACGAGAATCTCTTGAACCCAGGAGGCAGTGGTTGCAGTGAGCCAAGATCACACCACTGCACTCCAGCCTGGGCAACAGAAAAAGACTCTGTCCGGGGCGGGGGGCGGGGAAAGAAAAAGATAATTCACCATGGTCAAGTGGGTTTCATCCCCAGGCATGCAGGGATAATTTAATAAATACAAGTCAATAAATGAGATACATCACATAAACAGAATTAAAAAAAAATATGAGCATCTCAATCGATGCAGAAAAAGCATTCAATAAAAGCCAGCATCCTTTTATGATAAAAAAAATAAAGAAAACCTCCAACAAACTAGGCATAGAAGGAACATACCTCAAAATAATAAAAGCCATTATCAGACAAACCCACAGCCAACATTATACTGAATGGAGAAAACTTGAAAGGATTCCTCCTAAGAACTGGAACAGGACAACAATGCCTACTTTTACCACTTCTATTCAATACAGTTACTGGAAGTCCTAGCCAAGGGCATCCAAACTGGAAAACAGGAAGTCAAACTATCTAAGTTTGCTGATGATATTATCATATACCTAGAAAACTGTAAAGATTTCTCTGCTCCTAAATTTGGTAAATAAATTAAGTCTCAGGTTACAAAGCACACAAATCAGTGGCACTGTTATACATCAACAATGACCAAGCTGAGAATCAAATCAAGACTCCAATCCTTTATACAATAGCTGCAAAAAATAAAATAAAATACCTAGGAATATGCTTAACAAAGGAGATGAGCGATCTCTAGAAGGAGAACTACAATACACTGCTGAAAGAAATCAAAGGTAACACAACAGATGGAAAAACATACCATGCTCATGGATTGGAAGAATATTATCATAATGATCATATGCCCAAAGCAATCTACAAATTCAACGCTATTTTTATGAAAATACCAATATCATTTTTTCACAGAATTAGAAAAAAGAATCCTAAAATTCATACGGAACCAAAAAAGAGCCAAGATAGCCAAAGCAATCCTAAGCAAAAAGAACAAATCTGGAGGCATCACATTACCTGACTTCAAATTATACTATAAGGCTACAGTTAGCAAATCAGGATGGTACTGGTATAATCAAACATAGATCAACACAACAGAATAGGGAGTCTAGAGATAAATTAAAATACTTAGAACCAACAGATCTTTGACAAAGCATACACTGGGGAAAGGAAACCCTTTTCAGTAAGTGGTGCTGGGAAGACTGGATAATCACATGTAGAAGAATGAAACTGGATTCCCTACCCCTTACCATATACAAAAATCAACTCAAGATGGATCAAAGACTTAAATCTAAGACTTGAAGCCATAAAAATTCTAGAAGGAAACCTAGGGAAAAGCTCTTCTGGACATTGGCCTAGGTAAAGAAATTGTGACTAAGACCCCAAAAGCAAATGCAAACAAAACAAAATAAATAAAATGAGACCTAATTAAACTAAGAAGCTTCTGCACAGCAAAAGCAATTATCAGAGTAAACAGACAACCTACACAACAGGAGAAAATATTTGCAAACTATGCATCCAACAAAGGACCAATACCCAGAATCTACAAGGAACTCAAATCATTGAGAAAAACAAATAATCCCATCAATAAGTGGGCAAATGACATAAATAGATATTTTTAAAAGAGATATACAAATGGCCAACAAAAATATTAAAAAATGCTCCACATCATTAATCATCTGGGAAATGCAAATTAAAACCACAATGACATACCTACCACCTTACTCCTACCAGAATGGCCATTATTAAAAAGTCAAAAAAAAATAGATGCTGATGTGGATGTAGTGAAGGGGAATACTTATACAATGCTTGTGGGAATGTATCTTAGTACAACCTCTATGGAAAACAGTACAAAGCCTTCTTAAAGAACTAAAAGTAGATCTACCATTTGATCCAACAACCTCACTACTGGGTATCTACACAAAGGAAAAGAAGCCATTATATCAAAAAGACACTGCATGTGTATGTTTATCATAGCACAATTCACAATTGCAAAGACATGGAACCAATCTAAGTGTCCATTAACCAATGAGTGGATAAAGAAAATGTGGTATATATACACCATGGAATACTACTCAGCCATAAAAAAGACTGAAATAATATCTTCTGCAGCAACCTGGATGGACCTAGAGGCCATTCTTCTACCTGTAGTAACTCAGGAATAGAAAACCAAATAGTGTATTTTCTCACTTTTAAGTGGGAACTAAGCTATGGGAACACAAAGGCATACAGGATGGTAAAAAGGACTTTAGAGACTCAGAAGTGGGGAGGGTGGAAGGGGGTAGGGGATTAAAAAACTACATATTGGGTACAATGTACACTACTCAGGTGACGGGCGCAATAAAATCTCAGACTTCACCACCATACAATTCATCCATGTAACCAAAAACCACTGTGTCCTAAAAGCTACTGAAATTCAAAAATGCACATATTAAAAAAAAAAGCACTAACATAATGCCTGGCATAGTAAGCTATTAGTTGTTATCTATTACCTAATTAAGCTGTTAGCTATTACTCTACACATTGTCAAATACATATGTAACAAAATTAATATTGTGATAACCATTATTATAATCCAAGAAAAATACATTTTATAACAAAATTTGGTAGTGCGTAAAATTTCAGCTTAATAACTAATTTTAACACTATCTTTATGCTGCATGCATTACTCCCCTTAGACATCAAATGAATAATTGAGGAAACAAGAGAGTTTGCAGTGATGTCATTTTTATCCCACCTACACTTTACATTGCATAATTTGTTGGAAGCTAAAATTGTTTCTCCTAAATATCTCTTCTAATTTGCAACTGACAGGATTTTAGTGTTTTCCTCCAGTTTCCCATTAAAAGGGAGAAAATATTTAAGGTCAAAGGAAATTGCTTTACAACGGATATCAAAATGCAAGCTTAAAAAGAAGAGGGATATCTAAACATTTCCTTCTTTCTTCACACTTTTCAGATTACTCTTTAAAAAGGGGTTCATCAAAAGTGAAGATTTAAGCCCTACCTCCCTCCACCTTTTGTTTTAATTTAAGGTAAGTCACCTTAGATCAGGAATCAAAGAACAAAATAACATTTTCCCTCCCTTTCTATACTTGCATTTCCTGCTGAACAGAAATATCCTACTAGTTGCTCTTAGTCTGTTGATTCTTGGTTGGGATAAATTTTCCATTGCTTGAGGCAGACCAGGGCTACCCACACTTTGCAAGTGCGAATGTATTTAGTAAGACAAAACTCAGTTGTCTAGATTTCTATCATCTACAAAAGGAAATGCAGCCAGGCATGGTGGCTCACGCCTGCAATCCCAGCACTTTGGGAGGCCGAGGCGGGCGGAACACGATGTCAGGAGATCGAGGCTATCCTGGCCAACATGGTGAAACCCTGTCTCTACAAAAAACACACAAAAAAATTAGCTGGGTGTAGTTGCACGTGCCTGTAATCTCAGCTACTCGGAAGGCTGAGGCAGGAGAATCGCTTGAACCAGGGAGGCAGAGACTGCAGTGAGCCGAGATCATGCCACTGCACTCCAGCCTGGCGACAGAGCCAGACTCCGTCTCAGAGAAAAAAAAAAAAAAGGGAAATGCATGCATTGGGAACAGGGTGAGAATTAAAACCAAATTCTGTCCTTACCTACTTTAAGGAAAAATTAAAACAAGGTTAAATAAATTGTAGAAAATGTTTATGAATACTTATCAACAATTTGACTTTTATGTAGCAATTTTTGAAAAGAGATTGCTTTATCTAAATATGGTTAGGTGATTCAAAACAAATGAACCTTCACTAGAAAATGTGATTCCAGAAAGGTAAAGTACAAAATAAATATTATTTATGTTATGGTAGCTATGAAATAGCTAAACTTTTTAAAAAGTGAAGATGGGAACCTTCATAAACTCTAATATGACTGATAAGAGCAGGCACTCCAAGGAGTTGCCATGTTCCCCAAAGAGGACCCGCTGCATGTGAGCATCCTAAGGCTGGCAGTGGTCCCAAAGTCTGGAAGTGTTTTACCCCTAAAGCATCAACTGCAAGCAATTTCTGGGTCTGTTTTGCCTCTGCCCATGACAAGAATCAACTTGTTCCAAAATTCCACAAAATATGTTTCTTTTATGTTGAAACTCTGCTGTTTCTGGGAAAGCTAAAAGCTAGAATTTTTTTTTACACATGTGGACAAAAGCTATATTTGGACCTTTTCATCTCTCAACAGAATACAGGCATTAAAAAAAATTCTCCTTGCTGTATTTTATTATGAGAATGTCACTCTTTCAAAAAATTTAAAAAGTAAATTTGTTTTCCTATACAATCCCTTTAACTTAAAAGTGCAAGAAGGTTTTATTTATTTTTATTTTATTTATTTTTTTAATTTTTTTGAGACAGAGTCTTGCTCTGTCGCCCAGGCTGAAGTGCAGTGGCGAGATCTCGGCTCACTGCAAGCTCCGCCTCCTGGGTTCATGCCATTCTCCTGCCTCAGCCTCCCGTGTAGCTGGGACTACAGGCGCCCACCACCACGCCCAGCTAATTTTTTTTGTATTTTTAGTAGAGACGGGGTTTCACTAAAACCCTGTTTCAGTGAAAACTAAAGGTCAGGAGATTGAGCCAGGATGGTCTCAATCTCCTGACCTCATGATCCACCCGCCTCAGCATCCCAAAGTGCTGGGATTACAGGCGTGAGCCACTGCGCCCGGCCAAGAAGGTTTTATTTTTAAAAACATTTAAGTGAAGCATTTAATCAAAATTAATTACAAGTTAAAATAAAATTACTTTAAGTGGAGAATAACCATGACTCCTCTTTACAGATCATGTTTTCTGGTCATCACATCTATAAACATAGGTTATATATTTTGTTTTTAGAAAATCAGTAACCATGATATCACTTTTAAGTACAGTACTTGAAAACTCATGAGATTAAATGATTCCTTACACTTCACATTCATTCATTTTTTGAGTCAGGATCTCACTCTGTCCCCAAGGCTGGCATGCAGTAGTGAGATCATAGCTCACTGCAGCCTCGAACTCCTGAGCTCAAGTAATCCTCCTGCCTCAGCCTCCCTAGTAACTGGGACTACAGGCAAACATCACCATGCCCAGCTAACCTTACACTTCACTTTCAATTCTCAGTAAAACCATTTGGGATGTCTTTATCTAATCCCCTGCAAAGCTGTACTACTCAGTCATATCTCAGCCTCACACAATGAAGACAAATAGATTTAAATCCAAGACAATAAAGACAACAAACTGGCTGGGTGTGCAGCATCTCATGCCTTTGTCCCAGTACTTTCAGAGGCCAAGGTAAGTGGATCGCTTGAGCCCAGGAGTTCAAGACCAGCCTGGGAAACACAGGGAAACCCAATTTCTACAAAAATACAAAAATTAGCCAGGCATGGTGTCATGTGCCTGTAGTCCCAGCTACTCAGGAACTTGAAGTGGGAGGATCACTTGAGCCCAGGAGGTCAAAGCTGCAGTAAGCCGAGATCGCCATTGCCCTTTAGCCTGGGTGACAGAGTGAGATTCTGTCTCCAAAAAAAAAAAAAAAAACAATAACCAAAAAAACCCTACAAACCATGACATTCTAACAATCTTGCATCAATCACATAAATAGATAAGAAATAGACAGAGAGACTATCAGGACTTCTAGAAATTCTGAAATAAAGCTTAGCATATGGCCTAATAACACAGTTAATATTTATTCAAACAAGCAGCACTTTCTTTTGAATCAGCTCACTTACTCTACACCAGGATTTCTGAATCTCAGCACTGTTAATATCTTGGACAAGAAAGGATGATGTCGTGGCTGTCCTGCACGTTGTAGGATGATGGGCACCATGCCCAGCTTCTACCCACCGGATGCCAGTGGAATCCCCAACCCCAGCTTCAACAATCAAAAAATGACTTCAGACAGTGCCATACATGCCCTAGGGACAAAACTGTCCCTGGTTGAGAATCACTGCTCTACACTAAAGAAAACCCAAGAATTAATACAGACAAAGTCCTAAATATGATTTTATTTGAAGTGATTTTATAAACAGACATAAAATTTAGTTAGTTTTAATAACGAAGTCAGACCTTGTAAATGGAGTCATTGCTAGTGGCAAGATGTGTTCACCCATTTTGAAGGAAGAAAAGATTCAAGGGACACTGTTTTAGCCCCATAAATGCTACTGGCACATGACACACCATCATGTCTTCAATCAGAAACATGTTCAAACTCAAAGGATAACCAGCCCCTTAAAACTCTCACACAGGTGTCATGATGCAGTCAGTGACTGTTCATGGTGAATTGCCTAAAAGTTATTTAATTTCTATCCTTGTGTTGACGATCAGGAAAATTTTAAATGAAAACAACCAATCTGGGTAGGAAGCAACCAGGAAAAAATAAAATTTAGGCAGACAGTTTACAATTTTGTACACAGACAACTTATCAACGGATCTTAGTTCCTTTCTCATTCCTTTCTCTTCATCTAAGGAAAGGTGTCCTTTCCTTGAGAATTCTCAGAATGCTGATAGTTTTACATACATGTAGAATTGCTTCTTGGCCTTTTGGCCAAGATCAAGCATGCATACCCATAGAAATTTTTTTATTAAAAAAAGATCAAAATGAGCACTGCTCATTTAAAGGTTTGCAGATGTCATAGTATCTTTATACTTATATCAACCAAAAACAGACTTGAAGTTTTGAAGATTAGCGAGTTCACCTATATAGTACAACATGGACTCAGCACTAAGAAAACTATAGCTTTTAAGAATACCCGGTTCGCTGAAAATGCAATATCCAATGTTGTGTTTATCAAAAATTAAATCTAATTTTTCCAAAGAAATATTTTACTTGAAAGTCTTAAAAGATCTTTTTTTGGCACATGAAAAAATAATTAACTCATAATGTGTATGAATTTCTAAAATCTGAGATCAGTCTTTTCTTTTTCAGTGCTTGAGTTTTTGTTTTTGAGCAGATATGAGGAAGTAGTAGTGGATATCAGAACAGCAAATATTCAATTTCTGATGGCAAGTATAATCTTGTTTCCTTCTGAATTAGCTTTAAAAAAATACTTCTGCTGCTACTTTTCTTTAACTGTACAAAGAATTGAAAACATATTACATGGAATTTGTTTCTTGCTTTTTCCATTTAACATTTTCTCATGTCTTTAAATATTACTCCAAACATAATTTTCAATGGCCAGTACATATGAATTCCATGGTAATATAACAACTATTTTCTACTTTCAATTTTTTGCTTTTATGCTGGGATGAAATTTTTATGTGTAATTATGTTTGCATGTCAGGTCATTTAGGATAAATTGCAAAAGTTAATATACTAGTTCAAATAGTAAGAACATCTGTATAGTTATACATATTAACAAAATGCTTTTCATAAAGCTTATGAATTTTACACTTCCATCACCATTTGAGAATACCAATTCACTGCATATTCAAAAACACTGAACATTTTCTTTAAGAGCTTGTCAGTTTTAAATATTAAAACATCTCACTTGTTTAATTCACCTTTTTGTGAAACAACATTTTTTAATGTTCACTAATTCTGTCTTTTCAAATTGTTTAGACTTTTATTCATCTTTTTCATTGTAGCATTTGTCTTTTTCATATTAAATTACTAAACTCAATATTAAAGCATATAAACCCTTGCTTGGCATCCAGAAATCTTTCATTTTTATGTTGTCCATTCAACCTTACACTTTGTGATTTTCCCATTACGTTATGCTTAGAAAATCTGTTCCCATTTCAACATAACTATTGACATACTTTTAGTCCTTTTGTTTCATTTTGACATCTATATTTCTAACACACCTGGAATTTATTTTTGGTGTGGTATGAGAATGATGATTTAGTATCTGGTAGCATGAAAGCCCATTAATTATTATTTCCAAAATTTTCCTATTTTTCCAGATTAAATTCAAAAATCATTTTGTTAGGTTCCCCATCTACCCCTCCTAAAAAGTCTCATTTAGATTCTTACTGAAATTCTAGTAAAATATAAATAAAAATCAGAAAGAATGTATAGAAGAATGTTGAATACTGGCGCCATCATCAGGCATCCTTATCTTGGACCTGTCATAGAAATACTTCCAGTGTTTATTTACTTTGTAATACATTGGCTTGTTGTTTCAGATAGAAATTTTTTTTTTAGTGTAATTTTAAAAAATCACCCATTTTTATTACTAAATATTTAACTGAATATAGAGTATTTTATCAAAGGCCTTTGCAACATCTGTTTGGGATTATGAATATGTGCTATTGTGCTTTATCCTATAGATCTCATGAATAAAGAAGTTTCTCAATAGTAAGCCATCCTTTAAATACCAGCATAAGTCCTATTCATCACACTGTATTGTTTTGAAATGTTGATTTTTAGTTGCATGTGCTTTAGTTAACATTTTTACATCTATAGTCTGGAACCTTTTTAAGGATAATTTTTTTGATAACTATTTAAATTTCAATGGTTACTATTTCAATTAGATATTTGAATTAGATGCTCGATTTTTTTTTTTTTTTTTTTTTTTTTTTTTAGGAGATGTGGTCTTTTTTGTCACCAGCACCCAGGTTGGAGTGCAGTGGCACAATCATAGCTCACTGCAGCCCGAAACTCCTGGGTTCAAAGGATCCTCCCACTTCAGCCTCCCAAGTAGCTGGAACTATAGGAGTGCACCACCACACCTGACCACAACTTCTTTTATTTCACCTATATTTTCCCTGAATGTCATTCATTTGGGGATTTCCAAACTTGAGCTCTAATTTTTCAAATCACATCTGTATTTACTGTTTATATGCCTTTTTCCCCTAAATTGGTGAGTTTAGATTTTTTTCTTTGGTTAGGTATCTTAAATTTTTGTCTCTATATGTGTCTTCCCTGTGCCCATCAAGAATCAACTATTTGATTTGTCAAATACCTTTTTCCTGTAGCCTAATTTATTTTTCCTTACTTGCAGAGTAAATCTTAAGGTGTTTTGTGTTGTACTGTGCTATTAACTAAATTATATGAAGTGTCTATCATCATTCACACATATTTGGGGGCAGGCGGCTATGAGGTACTATATACCTTATTAATTAATTAGAAATGTTATTCTAATTTTACCATAATCTACTGGAATCTTTAGAACGTATTTTTAAAAAATTGCTAATGTTTCAGCAAGCACTGTACTAACTAGATCTGGTCTTAGAAAATTGGAGACTAATTTGATTGTGTTTTTCCCAAAGACACTGCTCAATGTTTTATATTATTCATTCTCAGCACTTCAAGAGCAGAACACTTCAAAATAAATTAAGTATGTTACAGGGAAGAGGCAAAATGGAACAAAGAAACAAATTTAATTTTGGAAACTATA
The DNA here is from genome assembly GCF_000001405.40 of Homo sapiens. Classification (NCBI taxonomy): domain Eukaryota; kingdom Metazoa; phylum Chordata; class Mammalia; order Primates; family Hominidae; genus Homo; species Homo sapiens. The sequence continues at coordinate 150,103,578 of NC_000004.12, read as the reverse complement.
ATTTTAATACAATGTAAATATAAACAATTTAACTTTATGGAATTTGGGGGAAAATACACTTCAGAAGCCAAGCTTCTTTTTAGCAATGATAATCTGATTGTAGCAAAATTCAACACTTACCTAACGGCTATTCATGTGTTTTTGCAATATGCCAACTTTTTTTGTCCCTTAGGTTCCCTGATACATTGTTGCCATAATTTTAATTGCTTTTTCCTGTGCAATTTTTCATTTTTCAAAAATGCTCACTAATTACCTCCATTGCTCCCTATGAAACTTTTACAGACATTCCTATAAAAGTACTTTCTTTTGAAATACATTTTCCCTATTATATGTAAGTGGGGAAGAAAAGGTTTTTCTAAGAATGTTAAATACTTTTAATTTTGACTCCTGTGATACCCAAGTCCATAATGACTTTACAAATCAACAGTTATTCATAAATAGATGACATGCCATTTAACGTAGGATGTCTCCTCAACTTATACTTTTCCCTCAGAAATTTACATTTTCCTTCCAATAACCAAAAGAAGTATATGATAGACTTCTCTATAATCACTTTTGAGGTACTTAAGTCGCTTACATTTTTCACAAAAATGGTTAATTTTACATACATACACACACACACACATACACACACACACACAATCTCAAGTATGACTCCCAGAAGGATTTCTAGCACACTACTAAATTTCTATTGTTGACTATGTAGCCACCATGGCACAGGGAGTTTAAAAGTCAGATGGAGAGCTGGGAGCTAGAAGCATCTTACCTGCTTTCCATCCAGGGTGCAGAGCCTCTTGACGACTCCTGAGTCTAGTTTAATGGCTTCGGTGATATCTGTTAAGACTTGTTCAAAGGAATGAGCAGTCTTTTTATTCAGAAGGATCCGCACGGCTTTTCTAGGCTTCACTCCACTTCGAATCACAGTCACTAACTTGGGTTTGATGAAATCTTTACTTTCTTTTACTTCACTTTTCACAGAGGAGGCAGCAGCCAGCGCTCGGGATGTCCCACCCTTGATGTTCACAGACCAGTTTGGATTAATATTTTTGGTGTAATCGACTTTACGAAATGGTTCATTGGATGCACACACGTAACTCTCACCTAAAAAGCAAAATTTGATTTTATTAGCATGATTATCTCTATCATAGAAGCATTTGGTCTAAAGAACAGATGCTGGAAACCCATTAAGTGAACCCTTAACCTTAGTGGGTTCACTAAAAGGGGATGTTCACCCTTTTCCTTTGGCATTCTCCCACCTTCCTTTCTTTTAAATAGTCTAGATTGGTTTTGAGAGAATAACAAGGATTACAGGGTGAGAAGCACTGGACCAAATATGTTGACCAAATGTGCCACCTTGGATAATTCATTTCTCCACATTTTGGTCCTCAGTATCATTAGCAATAAACTGAAGTGGATGAACCAGTTGAATTCTAAAGTACTTCCTGATTCCCCAAACCTCCTATTTACTAATTAGTTTTAGAAATCTCATTCTGGTAGAAATAATTATATCACAACATATTGCTATAAAGAAATACAAATATATTTCTTCCAATTATAGATTTCAGCCCTAATCAAAGAATAATCACAACATCTTCACATAGCTGACTCAATTATACTCAGGTACAAGGTCACTTATTAAATTAATGAAGCACCACAAACATTATGGAAGAGTTCTGGCAGCTAAAAGAAATATACCTCAGCTACTTTTCTTCTTACAGAATGTAAATTTAAAATAACTATTGTTTAAATATACGCTTTTCTGTATCTACTTAAATAGGAGAGGACCTGAAGTAGTTAAAATGATGTGTTCATTACTCATGAAACCTTCTGCTTAATTTTTATTAAGTACAACATAAGAGCTATATTATTTGCCAAGTGGCTTATTAATTCAATGTTTACTGATATTTTAAGTTCCAAAATTTCCAAAAATTATATGTTGAGATACCACAATTTTTCTTTTAGGAAAGTCAGAATCACCCAAGGTTTTTATACTCTTGACTTTTTGACATACAAGATAAGAGGGTTATACTAAGGTTTTTCTAAAAAGAATCCATTATTTTTTCACATATTCAGTATAACACTCATCGTTAACAATATTAACATGAACCTTAAATATTATAAATACTTAAAACAGAAGTAACCCAAATAGTGAAAGAGAATTCCCGAGAAAAACCTATTAATATCCATATTATATTTAACTATTATCATAATGTTCTTGAAATCCTGATTAATGGAGAATTGTACAGTCTCCGAAGGCACATGAATAATTCAGTGACAGATAAGGCATACAAGAAGATTTTATTTTTATTTAATTAATTTATTTATTTTGAGACAGGGTCTCTGTTGCCCAGGCTGAACTGCAGTGGCGCAATCATGGCTCACTGCAGCCTCAACCTCCTGGACTCAAGTGATTCTCCCACCTCAGCCTTCCAAGTAGCTGGGATTACAAGCACATGCCACTATGCCTGGCTAAATTTTTGTGTTTTTAGTAGAGACAGCGTTTTTATTATGTTGCCCAGGCTGGTCTTGAACTCCTGTGTTCAAGCGAGTCACCCACCTTGACCTCCCAAAGTGCTGGGATTATAAGGCATGAGCCACCATGCCTGGCCCCAAGAATGGCTTAAAAAGAGAAGCAATGTCTTCTATTTAAGGGTATAATTAGGGCACTGCCCAAGATAACTGGGGAACCAATCACAGGCTTTAACACCATTTCTACACCAGTAAAGTGAAATCTAGCCCAACCACCACCGTTTAGAGATTTTTCATCTCTGTAGGCTTATCTAAATCATTTTTCACAGTATGATCATCTGGGAAAATGTCATATAATTTCAAAAACAGTTATCAATTTAATAAAATATAACTATAACCACACATATGCATTAATGGGCAAAACAGAATTTTGCTTTAACTTTATAGAGAAAGTAACTCTCACATCAAAAAGCTCTTACTATTTTTATCTATCATAAAACTTTAATTCTATTTTCGATTCAAAATATAAGATGGAAGAGAAAAAAGAATCTTAGCAAAAGAAGGTAATTTTTTTTAAAAAGGGCAGGGATAAGTAGTAAGTCAGCTGGGGGAAAGCCTGTCCCAACATAAAGAGTAACAATGAAAAAAGAAACAAAACAAGAGCAGATTTCATATATCAGATTTCCTTGGTCAACCTGTTTCTACACAGTTGACATATCCACAAGGAGAGATGCTTCCTAAATTTCTCTGCATTTTGTTTCCTTACACAAGTTCAGAATGTTAGAATGAAGTAGGTAAAGGAAGCTCCTTAATTTGCTTTTGTGCAATTACAGATAAATTTTAATTCCTTCCCATTCTCCCTTCTTCCTTTCATAATGTTTCCATTAAAAATTTGTAGGCTGGGCATGGTGCCTCATGCCTGTAATCTCAGCACTTTGGAAGGCCAAGGCAAGAGGAATGCTTGAGGCCAGGAGTTCAAGACAGGTCTGGGCAACATAGCAAGATCCTGTCTCTACTAAAAATACAAAAATTAGCAGGACATGGTGGCACACATCTGTAGTCCCAGCTTCTCAGGAGGCTGAGACAGGAGGATCACTTGAGCTCAGGAGTTCAAGGCTACAGAGAGATATAATCTCACCACTGCACTTCAGTCTGGGCAACAGAGCAAGATCCTGTCCCCATAAAGCAAACAAACCAAACTTGTAGACTAGTTCCATCATAAACTTGTATTAAAGTTTTGAGGCAGGCTGGCAAATGCCTACAAGGTTAACAAATGCCTACAAGATAGGGCTCTCTACATCCATGGCAGACACAAATAACAGTTCAATAGCCTCACCCTCTTCTCTGCACCCATGGCCCTGTTTTCTTTAAGCCTAGACAACTCATTACAATGTACACTGAGTGCCTACTATGCACAAGCTCTCATGTTAGGTGCTGACACGGTATGAAACCCACTTTAGTAATCTTGGCATTCAACATTACAGCACATAGGTTCAGCACATGGTTTTAGTGTTTCTGTGTACTGGCCACACAAACCCCTAAAGTATAGATGTCATATACCTTGACGACAACAGCCATCAAGGTACCCAAGCTAGCTTGTCTTATAATGTCCCCATCCAAATCAAACAATCTGCAGATTGTAATTTTGTCTCTTATATAGATTTGCCTACAAGGAGAGAATATGCTGACAAAAGAACTTAAGATGTTGGTTCCCTGGGCAGTTAGTTACAACTCTCGATGTTAATCCATCAGGTTGAGTGCAACGGCCCATGCCTGTAATCCCAGCCCTTTGGGAGGCCGAAGAGGGAGGATCCCTTGTGCCCAGGAGTTCAAGCTCAGCCTGGGCAACACAGGGAGACCATGTCTCTACTAAAAAGAAATCAATAATCATTCTTGGTTAGATACTATGCACCTGCAAGATTGATTAGAAGCGATTAGCCTCCCCCTACACAGATTCTTGGTACTGTAGGGATTCTTGTTTAAGATTCGTGACTCCCTTGCCAACTTGTAGGTCTCCCATTTCTTCCATTCTCACAAGGACATAGCTGAAAAAGTACATCCTGCATCCTACAGTATTAAATCTTAATGTACCAATATAAAAATAACAGTGTGAGAGGCCAGGCACGGTGGCTCATGCCTGTAATCCCAGCACTTTGGGGAGCCGAGGGAGGTGGCTCACCTGAGGTCAGGAGTTTGAGACAGCCTGGCCAACACGGTGAAACTCCGTCTCTGCTAAAAATATAAAAATTAGCCGGGTGTGGTGGCGGGCGCCTGTAATCCCAGCTACTCAGTAGGCTGAGGCAGGAAAATCACCTGAACCCAGGAGGCAGAGATTGCAGTTAGCCAAGACCGTGCCACTGCACTCCAGCCTGGGTGACAAGAATGAGACTCTGCCAAAAAAAAAAAAAAAAGAAAAAGAAAAAACCCCACAGTATGAGAGACTTTGTTAAACTCTTGCCAACGTATGTTAAAACTGCCCTCACCAAAACAAAGTGACAGGTGCACTAAAATCTCAGACTTCACCACTAGACAATTCACCCATGTAACCATAAACCACTCGTACCCCAAAAGCTATTGAAATAAAAAATTAACAAAATAAAAATTAGAGTTCAACTAGGACCACGCATATGTATTTTTTTCATAAGTAGATAAAGCAGTCCCAGAACTGGGCTGACTCATAGCTAGACTTCAATGTTATTACAAGCTGGTCTGTCACTCAGAGTCAAGCCATTTTGTTCTTCTGTTAGACATAATCTCACAGACTATATCATACGAAGTCACTCTAAGACTTTATGATAAAGTGACACAAAAACAAGGTCACTGTGCAATCCACAATACCAAACATCCCCCTCTTGCACTAAGTGAGTGACTGCCATTTCTTTACCACCGTAGTTTTTTCCTCAATCTAGTCTGCCCTCCCTATAACTAAGATTTATAGAGGTATCCAATCATAGGATTGTCCTGCCTTCTGACAGCACCCAAGACAGAGTGAGCCCCCGTTTCCTTAGATCCTTCCTAATATTAATCAGCCAGAGCCCAAATGCTATGATAGGTTCTAACACCCTCTTACTAAGACACCACATGGTATCTTATAAGGTGTGTTCTTCTTCATTGGAACAAGTAATAAACCCAACTTGTTCAACTACATGTGTGTGCCCAGTGGTCTTTGGCTAAAGGGAATTTAGATACATATATCCATATTCATTCTCCTTTCCCTGCCTTCTCTCTCTTTCAAGTTCTTTGGCCATAAAACTGTAAAAAATTTAGGGGAAATCATTTTGCAAATCCCGATCATATGAGTACTATATACAAAGAGGGTTTTGGTTTCTGTATAGAAAGAGGAAAAACAGAAGCATAAGGTGGTTATAAAACTTAACTGTTTTCAGGCATGGTAATGGAACAGAAAGCATTCCTTCAATATCCTATAAGACTCTTTCCAGAGGCACAGCTATGGCTTTTTACCTTTGATGTCCATTCAAAGACACTTTGCATTACTGCATATATAGCAGGTTGACTCAGTGTTTACAATTATGTAATACAACTTGGTTGGGTATATGTTTAGAAGGCCGTTAACTTTCATCCTTACTCAACCAAATGAACTGCCTCTTATTCAAGAAGAAAGAGGTCATTAAAAGCTAGGTAATTCCAGCCAGGCACGGTAGCTCATGCCTGTAATCCCAGCATTTTGGGAGGCCAAGGTGGGCAGATCATTTCAGGCCAGGAGTTCCAGGCCAGCCTCACCAACATGGTAAAACCCTGTCTCTACTAAAAAATACAAAAATTAGCCACAAGTGGTGGTGCATGCCTGTAATCCCAGCTACCCGGAGGCTGAAACACTAGAATCGCTTGAACCCAGAAGGCGGAGGTTGCAGTACCACAGCACTCCAGCCTGGGTGACAGAGTGGGCGGGACTCTGTCTCAAAAAAAAAAAAAAAAAGGCTAGAAATTTCCAATTTCTCACTCTCTGCAAACCTTCATTCTTACACATTTATTTCCATCTGTGCCCATTTTTCGCACGTCCTTTTCCTTTCAGTGACAGAGTGCTCTCCTCCTATTCAAAGTTAAATCCCTCTAACAGGACGTGGGTCCTTCTCTCCTCCCATGCTGAGGTTTCAGAGCCATTCTTTCTCTCCTCTCCAGCCCTCTTTATAGGATTATACACAAGTGTGTCCCACCTTAAACACATGAACCGCCCAGCCCCACCCCATTCACTCTACTCTACCTAATGTGCTTTTGGCTTCCATTCACTGCCAGTCCTCATCTGTTTTTCCACTTCATCGCCCACTCTTTGCTTTTAAGCCACTGGAGCATCACTTGTGCTCCCTGGGCTCTGCTAGCTGAAATGTGGCTCGCCCCAGTTCCCAAGTACTTCTTACCTAACTGCCAAATGCAAAGCACATTTTCTGTCTAATTTCACTCAGTGTCTTCAGTGTCTTCTGAGGGCACTGGACACCAGTCCTAATCCTCTTCATGCAAATCCTTTTTTCCCTAGCATCTATGATCTCCCTTACCTTTACCTCACATTTCTTAGGTTGCTCCTTCTCAGTCTGCTTTTCAGGATCCTCTTTCCACACCCACCCAGGCATCCCTCATCCTCCTTAGACTTTCTCTGGGCAGCTGCATCTTTATCCATGGCTTCAACCACCATCTACACTCTGAGGAATCAAACATCGATGACATTTCTGGCCTAGATCTTTCTCGAGTTCAACCCACTAACAGAATATCCCTCTCTAGATATCTATGAATATCTCACATGCTACATATCTAAAACGAATTTCACTCTCCATTACTGCCACCCTGATCTCACACTCTCCTCTTCCTAAAGTCCCCAAAGTATTGAACGGAATAACCACTGTTCAGTCATCTAAGCAAAAACCAAGCTTCCTTCTTCACTGCCCTTCCCCCACATTCAACAAAATTGGCAGAACGGTTGACTTTGGTCTAAACCCCTCTGGAAACCAACTCCTTCTACCCTGCCTTCTCTCGTTTCTTCCCGGATTAGAGTAGTAAAGAGCCCCATGTCTGGGCCTCACCCTCCACACAGCTGTCACAAGTTTTTAAAAAATGTATATTTGATTTTCTTGTCTCTCTACTGCCCTTAGAACAAAGGCCAAACTCTTCAGCACATCACACACTTCCAGCCTCATTTCCCACCACTTCCCTGCAGGTTCCTACATTAGTGTCATATCAGCATGCTTGCAATTTCCTTTCAAACTTCTCATACCCTCTTTATTCTCATTCCTTCTTATACGCCGGAAATAACCTTCCTCCTCTCTCCTTGTCTCTCTTCCACTGACCCTTCAAGATTAAGCACCTCTGGCAAAGAGTTTAGTAAAGCAATAGGAACCTTCATACACTGAAAAGCTTTTAAATTGGTTAAATCACTTAGGAAAAACTGATTGGTTCAATCACTTAGGTTGGCATTATCTAGTGCTAAGTTAACAACACACATCCAATGACCCAGAAATACACTCTAGGAAAACAGCCTGGAGAAACTCATTCACATAGACACTCTATATACACACACATGTTCATAGGAGCATTGCTCAACAGCCAAAGATCAGAGTCGGCCCACATGTCCAACAAGAGAAAGGGTACACAGATTGTGGTGAGGTCACTAATGAACTACTACATACTAATGAAAATGAACAAATGAGAGCTATATGCAACAACTTGGATGAGTTTTATAAACAATGGTGAGCAAAAGATGACAAAAGAATATGTGTGCTATGATTTAATTCATACAGAGTTTGAAATGGAAAAAGTAAACTATATCGATTAGGGATGCCTTCATAGGCGGTAAAATCATGAAGAAAAGCAAGAGCCAGGCTGTTGTTGCCATGGGAGAGAGAAGACTTGTAAATGGGAAGGGACACAGGGAGAGCTTCTCAGATGCTGGCAATATTCTATTTCTTGACATGACTAGTAGTCACAAAGAGGTTCACTTCATAATTCTGGCTGCGTGTGTTTTATGAACTTTCTATAGGTATATTATAGTTGAAAAATAAAAATTATGTCACTCCTCACTCTTTTTGTACTGAGCTTACAATATATTAATTTCTCATAATTACAATTTATTTGTTTCTGCTAGTGGTTCTTAGTGGAGAATTTCTTTAAAAATCAGGTGATTTTGTTGCATAAGTACAGACACCCAAGCCTCACCCCAGTTCAACTAAGCCAATCACTGGAAAGTGAGAGTGAACTGAACATGTGGGTAAGGTGTTTTGATTTCACAAATGACTCTGAAAACAGTCCCTGGTTACAAGCCACTGTCTAGACTAGAAGCTCCCTCAAAAAACTGACTGTACCTTCTTCATATTACCAACACCTAGTACAGGACCTGGAATACAACAGGCACTTAAAACATGTTTGTCAAAGTAATGAAGAAAATGCGTATTTCCAAAACAGACTTACACATTTCATGGTTTGCATTTGCATTGCATCCAGGCAAAATAAGCACATAGTGTTACAGTTTACTTAGAATGACTTTGGGAGGCTCAGGGTCAGGCTCCTGAAGGGCCTCATGCATGGTCTGAGACACTCGTAGGTCATGTCAGTCCATCAAAAGTCAACTGAAGGCATCTACGGGCACTAGCAGGAGATGAAGACACCAAGTACCTACCAGTATCTTTTCCATTTCAGACCATTAAAACACCAAGAGTCCAAGCGCACTTTGTAGTCTAATGAATGTGATATGCCTTTTAATCAATGGAATATGTATTTACATACTCTTTTTTAAACAGTTGAAGCACAGTAATCTCTCTACATTTAAAATCTCCACTGTTAGATATTAACCCCTTGTCAGACATGTTATCTGCAAACATTTTCTCTCATTCTGTAGGTTGCCTTTTCACTCTGTTGATTTGTTTCTTTTGCTGTGTAGAAGCTTTTTAGTTTGATGTAGTCCCACTTGTCTATTTTTACATTTGTTGCTGGTACTTTTGGTGTGATACTTGAGAAATCATTGCCAAGACTAATGTCATGAAACTTTTCCCTTATGTTTTCCTTCTAGGAGTTTCAGATCTTATATTTAAATTTTTAAATTATTTTGAGTTGGTTTTTATGTATAAGGTTCCAGGTTTCAGTTTCATTCTTATGCATGTGGATATCCAGTTTTCCCAACACCATTTGTTGAAGAATCTGTCCTTTCCCCATTGTGTATTCTTGGCAACCCTGTTGAAGATACAGCTGACCATACATATTTGAGTTTATTTCTAAGCTCTTGGTTCTGTTACATTGTTCCATGTGTCTGTTTTTATGATAGTATCATAATGTTTTAATTACTGTGTCTTTGTAATATATTTTGGAATCAGGAAATGTAATGCCTTTAGTTTTGTTCTTTTTTCTCAAGATTGATTTGGCTATTTGGATATTTTGTGGTTCTGCATGAATCTTAGGTTGTTTTTCTATTTCTGTAAAAAATGCCATTGAGGCTGGGCGTGGTTTATGCCTGTAATCCCAGCACTTTGGGAGCCCAAGGTGGGTGGATTGCTTGTGGCCAAGATTTCGAGACTAGCCTGGCCAACATGGCAAAACTCTGTCTCTACTAAAAATACAAAAATTAGCCAGGTATGGTGGCACAAGCCTGTAATTCCAGCTACTCGTGAGACTGAGGCACGAGAATAGCTTAAACACAGGAGGTGGAGGTTGCAGTAAGCCAAGATGGCACCACTGCACTCCAACCTGGGGCAACAGGGCAAGACTCCGTCTCAATAAATAAATAAATATGTCATTGGGATTTTCATAATTGCATTGAATCTGTAAATCACTTTGGGAAATGTGGGAATTTTAACAATATTAAATCTTCCAATTCATGAACACAGGATGTCTATCCATGTATTTGTGTATTCTTTAACTTCCTTCAATGTTTTATAGTTTCCAGTGTAAGAGCTTTCACCTCCTTAATTTTCCTGAGTATTTAATTTTGTAATGCTATCATACATGAAATTTTCTTAATTTCCTTATTAGTTTGTTATTAGTGTATACAAACACAACTGATTTGTGTATGATGATTTTGTATCCTAAAGGTTTACTGAATGTATTAGTTTAACAATTTTTGTGTGGTCCTCAGGGTTTTCTACATATAAGATCATGTCTTCTGCAAACAGATAATTGTGCTTCTTCCTTTCTGATTTAGGTACCTTTTATTTCTTTTTCTTGCCAAGTTGTTCTTGCTAAGACTTCCAGTACTAGGTTGAATGAAGTGGCAAGAGTGGGCATCCTTGCCTTGTTCTTGATCTTAGAGAAAAGCTTTTCTACTGTTAACTATGAGATTGGCTGTGGGCTTTTCATATATGGTCTTTATTATTTTGAGGTAAATTCCTTCTATACTTAGTTTATTGAGTGTTTTCATCATGAAAACATGTTGAATTTTATCAAACGCTTTTTCTGCATTCTGCATCTATTAAGATTGTGTGATCTTTATCCTTTAATATTCAAAAAGTATAAGAAATAGGACAAAAACCCCAAAACAGAGATTTTTAAAAAGAGAAAGGATCTGAATAGACATTTCAAAAAAGACATACAAATGGCCAAGTATATGAAAAGATGCTCAACATCAATAATTATCATGGAAATGCACATCAAAACCACAATAGATGTCACCTCACTCCTGTTAGGATGAATGGGTTTTTTTAAAAAAGGTATTAGAGAAGATGTAGAGATACTGGAACTCTAGTACACTGTTGGTGGGAATGTAAAAGGTTATGGCTGCTATGGAAACAGTGTGAAAGTTCCTCAAAAAATTAAAAATAAAACTTTCATATGATCTAGCAATTGTACTTTGGGGTATATATCCAGAAGAATTGATATAAGCATCCCAAAAAGATACTGGCACTCTGATGCTCATTACACCATAATTCACAATAGCTAAGATATGAAAACAACCTGAATGCCCAGTGATGGATGAACTGATAAGGAAAATGTGGTATATACATACAATGAGATATTATTCAGTCTTTAAAAATGAAGCAAATTCTGCCATATGCAACAACATGGACAAACCTGGGGGACATTATGTTAAATGAAATAAGCCACAGAAGAACAAATGTAGCATGGCTTCACTTACATAGGTTATGTAAAAAGTCAAATTCATAAAAACAGAGACTAGAATAGTGTTTGCCAGGGGGTGAGGGGAAGAGAAAATGGGAGGCTGCTGCTCAATGAGTACGAAGTTCCAGTTATGAAGATGAGAAAGTTCTGGAGATCGGCTGTACAACACTGTGCCTATTAGTTAATACTACCATACGTTGCACTTAAATTTGAAAGGGCAGATCTCATGTTAAGTGTTCCTAACACAAATACACACACACACACACACACACACACACACACACACACATAAATGTTCCTTTTAGGACAAAGAACTACATGGAATCTTATGTAGGTGGAAATTTTAACAATAGCAGTTTTAGGCTACTTTTCTATCAGTTACTATAAAGTCTCTCATACACCTCTGTTATAGTATGTCCAGTAACTGCCTAACACAACTAACTAGTTTGTAATTACAAACTGTCTTGACATTTGTGGCAGATATTGAGTTGTATAAAATTTGGACACTGAGACTACGCCTAACTCTAGGAGTAGAAGCAAGCACTGAACTTAATGATAAAAAGGAAAACTTATTTACAAATCTAAAGTGCAAGGACTCTTCAAACTTAGAGAAAAGGATACACACACACATACTTAAATATGGTAACACAGAAAAAGGAAGACAAAAAGGAAAGAAAAGGAAAGACACTTCAGGTCTAACATCAGTAAAATCTTAGGAACCTAGAATTTTTCCTAACTTCGGAAATTAAGAAAAACATTGCTTCCAAAAGAATGTAACCAAGGAAAAGATATTCGAGCATATTTGCCTCTACAAGATGATTCGATACCCTTCATCAAGCGCAGCGTTTGTGTGAGACCGGGTGGATTATAATTTTAAGGTCCATTTTAAATACATCACAGATGAGTTCCCACATCCAGCTAGCTAAGAAAAAATACAGAGTAAGAAAAAGTAAGACTGATTTATTATTCCGTCATGGCAAACAACTTAATTGAGTTTCCTGGCCAAACCGCACAGAATGTAAACTTAAAGGAATTGGCAGACTAACACAAAGTGCACTGCTCTGGCCCAGATGCTGTTCCCACTCCATACTCATTTGCCTTGTCTCTGAACCATTACTTACATATTTGCTCAATGAATACAACACCTATTTCTGCAGAGCGGGGCTGGGGACACAAAATAAGATCACCTCAAAGACCATTACTTTTTCAATACACCTGCAGGCAAGTGACTGAACCAAATCATCTCCTAAAGTCACATCCAGTTGTATGGTCTGTGATACCTTCTACCGAGAAGGGGGTACAAAATCTGCTTTGACCCTACGAATATCTATGAAGAAATAGGTATGTCCACAAATCCATGTTTTAGCATTGAAATCTGGGAGGAGTTTAACTTAAGGCCAAATAAATTAGCTAAATGTAAAAACGAAAACCCACCCAGTAACCAAAAAGCTTTGTAGCTTACCCACTGAGGAAGAAATCGTATCTAATCTCCTGGGTAGGATGGAACCAGCAGATCAGATCTGTGATCTGGTTTTTTTGCTCCTCATACATGGGGCCAAGAATATCCCAAAATCTACAGGAGCTCACTATGGGAATTTTCATTGTGCGTTTTTTTGTTTTGTTTTGTTTTGTTTTTATCATTATTTTGAGATGGAGTTTTGATCTTGTTGCCCAGGCTGGAGTGGAGTGTAATGGCGCGATCTTGGATCACCACAACCTCTGCCTCCCAGGTTCAAGAGATTCTCCTGCCTCAGCCTCCCGAGTAGCTGGGATTACAGTCGTGCGCCACCACGCTCAGCTAATTTTTGTATTTTTAGTAGAGACGGGGTTTCTCCATGTTGGTCAGGCTGGTCTCAAACTCCCAACCTCAGGTGATCCGCCTGCCTCGGCCTCCCAAAGTGCTGGGATTACAGGCATGAGCCACCGTGCCCAGCCCATAGGGCGTTTATTTTGATGATAAAACTTTAAATGTTTATGTAATCCTATTCTGGAACATCTGAACAACTACTTCTAAGTTAACAGTCTTTTGGCTTCAACTACTCTAACTATGCCAGGAATCAACAAGGAAAAAGGGAAGTGGACTTCATACGTATAAAAGACATGTTCACAGCAAGTTAAGGCGAGAGGACAAAATTTTGCTCTACAGGAATACTCATTAGCTGTGCAAAACTGACTCATTACACGGCATTCTGACATACAGCATACCTAACTCAGCACTCAGTGCCACGGTCACACTGGGAACACCAATTTAGTTTGAGCAGAGTATCTCTAGCTTTATATTGCTATTTTGCATTTTTACTGGTAATGCACTTTTGTTGGTATTTACACTGTCAGTGTGTTTGGGTTGTATCACTATGTAAAACCTATATACATAAGCATACCTAATTTTATATTTACAAACATTTAAGTGACAATGTAACTAATGTAATTGAAGTAATTAAGGCAATACTTGGCTTCTGCAATTTGGATGCTGGATTTTTATATTGTTTTTAATCTTAAATGGCTACCATTGTTAAAGTTTGAGAAACAATGCAACCTTAAGGATACTGAGACAGAGAAACCTTCACATTGAAACGTGGCCACCTAATATTTGTAAATAAACAGGGCATAGTACATATAGGGTCAGTCCTTCAACTGGTGCATTTAAATAGAGGCAAAACTTTCCTCAAAAGTTTCCTCAGCTTCTGAAGATCTTTGCTGAACACTCTCCTCCTTAATCTCTCATTCCTTTCTCCACTGTGCCTTTATGTTAATCTTGCTGTGAGTAAGAGGAAAGCTTAGCCCTCAGTTTTAAGCAAGTGATTGATAATGATGGTAACTCAAAAGTTTCAGTGCAAGTGATAAAGAATTCAGAAACCAGATGTTTATCCAAAAAAGAGGTGATGATGTTTAGAGGAAGAGAGAGAAGGGGAAATACAGGTTGGGTATTCCTTATCCAAAATGCTTGGACCAGAAAGGTTTCAGATTTCAGATTTTGGAATATCTGCATTACCCTATGAGTATCATGCAAGTATTATTGATGTTTTCAACAGTATCTTTACACCACAGAACGGAGAATAAGCAACAAAGCAAAACAGTGAGTAATGTACATAGGTCTTAACCCCACGTAGAGCATTGTGGAGAACCTGCCATTGGTGCAGCCGGCCTACGCATGTGCCATTTTATTACTCCTTGTGAGTGTGCTTTCGTGGGGGAACTGGGCATGCACAGAAAATATTTATCAGAGCTGAAAGGGGCTGGAATGATCTTTTTTTCCCCTTGGGGAGGCTGAATAAACTACAGGTTGTGCACCTGCATTTTGACTGCAACCTGTCACATGAGGTTAAGTATGGAATTTTCCATTTGTGGTATCACATTAGTACTCAAAAAGTTTCAGATTTTCAAGCATTTTGGATTTTCAGATGAGGGACACTCAATCAGTAGTAGAGGAAAGCATGACCATCATCTCAAAACATCTGAAGGGTGTAATGGCTTTCACCTGTAATCCCAGCTAACCGGAGACTGAGGCGAGAGGACTGCTAGAGGCCAGGAGGCCAGCCTGGGCAACAAAGACTCTGTCTCTAGTTATAAAATGTAAAAAGAATTTAAAAAGAAAAAAGAAAAAAATCTGAAGGCTGTCATATATAAGCAGAAAAAAAAAGATATATATACGAAAAAAAAAAAGCTGAGGACCACCACCATTTATCAAGCAGCCACTGCATGCTAGGACTCTGCTAAATGTTTAAATACATTGTAAAATTTAGGTAGAAACTTCCAGAAACTGGCTTTGATCACTAAACTAATAAGAGACAAGTTTACACTGTACTATTTCTCAAGTTCTCCCACACAGGCTTAATGAACAACAATATAACCAGTAATAAGTTTCTAGAACGCCTTTTTTCTTGATTCTTCAGCAGATAAGGCAAAATACTATTAAGTAAAGAGACCAAGATGATGAGCAAGGACATCAGGGGAGAGACTCTCAATGACTGCCTTTGAGAAATAACTGCATCTGTTGGGGCTCAGAAAACAATACCCCAAAATGAAGGCCCAGTAGCATCCTCAGAGGCAAACGTTTTTCTCTGATCTTCTGCCGCCCTCCTGGCTGCTAGTCCCATTCACCTCCAAAGCTAGCCATAAAAACTAGAATCCCTCTTCTCCAAGGAAGGTCATAGAAACCCAAACTCTTTTCCCCCAAAGCCAGCCATAAAATCTAAAAATATTACTCTAATTTCCCCTTCACTTTGTATGTAAAAACTGGCTATAAAGAAATGATTTGACCTACCTGGTTTGACTGTAGGTCACAAGACCCCCATTCCAGAGAGGGTCCTGCCCCACACCCAGAAGAAAGGAATGTTGCTCACAGAGGCCAAGAAGAATCTAGACAGACAGGCCTTGCTGGGTGTCCAAACTCAGTCTATTAACATTAAATCATGCCCTTTTGTCCAATCATATTTCTACAGGGCTGTCCATACTTTGTTGAATTTAGGCATAAAAATGGACAACTTCCCCTGTATCTTTGGGTCTTAATTCGGATGGCTCCTGTGTATGCATGTTAAATAAATTTGCGTGCCTTTTCTTCTATTAATCTGTCTCATCTCAGTGATTTTCAGCAAACCTCCTTGGCCTCCTCACATTGCTATTTCAAAAGTTAACAAAGTAATCTGAAGTTTTAAAAACATATAGTGAAGGAAGAGATCAATGAAAATATTTTAAAACATCTATTGTGAACATTTTGCATTTTGGTTGCAAGTAACTATAACAAATAAACAAAAGGTAACAGAGTAGGTCAAAATTGCAGATTATTTTAGTCACTTAGTTTGAAATGTCAGTAAATGTTATAGTGTAATGAAAAGTACTTAGGGCGACCTCACCAAACCGGTATTTTACCATTCCTTTAGTCTATAAGGAAAAGCTTCTGACAAATTACAATATAATGACTTCTCCTTTAGGCTGTTGAAAACACGGCAAATAGGACAAAATATCCCGGGGATTAGGATTGAATTATAACATGTTTTAAGGAATAAAAGAATATTCATTTAAGCTCTTGATTTTATTTCTGACTCACAAAATTAAAAAATTAAGATTGTGTTAAAATTAAGCATGAAAAAATTAGCAAAAACAATTGCTTAAAATGAGAATGCTAAAGATGAACACAACTAAGCCTTAGCTATGGCAGAGAACTCCTGTAGACACTGAAAATATTAGCGGGCTTAGAATAATCCTGGGATTTAAACACATAACGAGAAATAAATATGAAAGAATCTGGTTGTGGGCCGGGCACGGTGGTTCACGCCTGTAATCCCAGCACTTTGGGAGGCTGAAGCAGGCAGATCACGAGGTCAGGAGATCGAGACCATCCTGGCTAACACGGTGAAAACCCATCTCTACTAAAAATACAAAAAATTAGCAGGGCGTGGTGGTGGGCGCCTGTAGTCCCAGCTACTCGGTAGGCTGAGGCAGGAGAATGGCGTGAACCCGGGAGGCGGAGCTTGCAGTCAGCCGAGATTGCGCCACTGCACTCCAGCCTGGCAGACAGAGTGAGACTCAGTCTCAAAAAAAAAAAAAAAAAATAAAAAGAATCTGGTTGTGATAGCTGTCCAAAGAGAAAACTCAAGTCAGACATCTCAATCTCAGATACTAGTGAAATTGATAACTTCTTGGGACATAAATATACTGCATCATTTTTCTTGAAGAAAAATATATTAAAAAATTGAAACACAAAGGGGCAAGGAATATTTGCCTTTAACATGAACTTATGTTACCTCTGTAAATCTGGCTAACTGTCCAACTGGCTATCTTAATAAATAAAGGTTTTTTAAAGCATCTACATCCACCTATACCCAACTATTAAAACATCTTAAATAGGGCACAAAAGTAAAATTAATTAAAAAAACACCACGTGCCAGAAGCATTTGTTTCATGGGATAAAAGGATAAACAAGACAATTGTGGTCCCACCCCCTGTTGGGTTTGTAATTTTCCCTTTCACGAGGATGGTCTATGGAAAAGATCCTCCTGTATGTTACTGAGGTGTTTTAAGAACTCCATCTAAATCTGGGTAACTACATCTGATCAAGTACCCAGCCAACTTTCAAAGAAAGACATGGAGCCAGATAGAGCCAAAATCATTTCTCTTTCCCACCCCTAGAAGCATTTCCCAAGATCACTGAACTTTAGAGGCGAAAGAAGACTGTATTAGTCCGTTCAAGTCGCTATAACAAAATACAAAAAACAGAGTGACTTATAAACAGAAATCAATTTCTCACAGTTCTGGAGGTGAGGACATCAAAGATCAAGGTGCTAACAGATATGGTGTGTAGTGAGGGCTCTTGGTTCACTCATGGTGACTTCTCACTGCATCCTCACATGCTAGAAGGGGCAAAACAAGCTCTCTGGGGCCTCTTTGGGCACTAATCCAGCCTATGAAGTCTCTGCCTTTATGATTTATTCACCTCCTGCTGTGGGTTGAACACATCTCCCAAGCTTCAGGTGTTGGAAATTTAATTGCCATTGTAACAATATTAACAAGTGAGGCCTTGAAGAGGTGATTAGATCATGAGGGCACCACCCTCAAGAATGGATTAAAGCTGTTATTGTGGGAGTGGGTTAGTTATAAAAGGAGGGAATTTAGCCCCATTTCCTCTCTATATATCCTACGTTTGCTTTCACCTTCCACCCTTCCACCATGGGATGACCCTCAACAGATGCCAGTGCCGTGCCTTGGACTTTCTAGCTTCTAGAACTAGAAAATAAAATAAATTTTCTTTATAACTTACCTAGTCTGTGGTATTCTGTTATAGCAAGAGAAAATGAACCAAGACACCTCCCAAAGACCCCACAAACAGAATGGACTCCATTTCCTCTCAGGTGGTAGAATGTAGTAGTAGAATGTAGTAGTTAAGAACACAGAGTTTCAGAAGCCAGGGAGAAAGGGCTCAAGTGCCAGCTCTACCTCTTACATTGGTACAATGCAGCAATTTCTCTACCATCTCTGAGCCTCAGCTTCCCCATCTGTAAAATGGGGATGACAATGCAGCCATATTTCAGAAGGTATTACAAGGGTTAGATGAAATATGTAAAGTACCTCACACAATGACTGCTCATAAAACATCTAGTAAATGGTAGCAATGCAGAGAAGAAAAGCATCTCTAATCCTTACGGTAATGGTTTACTTTACGAGTAGAAGACATAAAAACACAGATGCAGTGGTAGCATGGGCAGGAAGGGATACAGAAAAAAGACCTAGCCAGGCGGTACACACCCCGCAGCAACTCCTCTCGGCCTCACGAGCAATGAAGAAAGCAGTTAGATGATCACTGCCCAAGAGAATCTGGTTTCCTTTATTTCATATTACAGGACCATAAAAATATCCTTTTCCATAGTTTAAAAACCCATTAGATATTAATCTTGTCTTATAACTTCCAGAGTATCACTGTGTCATACTCTAATCTCATAAATGCTCTCTCACATATCCCCTTTCCTTCCCCAACCTTTTAGGATTTATTCTTTAAATGAAAATTTTCCTCTTACCTCGGGAAAGAGCTTCTTATGCAGCTGTATTATAGCACATCTTATTTTCCTTGTTTTTAAGGAAATGAGATGGGACAACCAGATTTATAGAAGGGGATATTATGGAAGAGTCATTCCCTCCAAAATGGTTAGCACAGAATTTCACCCAAAATTATACGTTTATCTAACATGTAATCCAATTTTCCAAAAACATATATTTTCACAAATATCTAGGAATCCCATTAAAGCTTAACTCATACAAAACTTCCCTAGACAACTAAGGGACTTAGAGGTAAAATCATTGTCTGAGTTATTTAATCAATGAATTTACTGTATTTAAGATCCCTGACCTCAGGCTTCTCTCAGTTGAGTGCAAAAACAGATCCAATATATCATGAGACTACAAAGCTAAGTGTTATAATAGAAGTAAAGAAAAATGCTGTAAGCAGAGGAAAGTTATAAACTTGACCTCAGGCCTCGGCTCCAATGTCTGTTCCTCTAGGAAGCCCTCCACATCACCCCGGCCAATATGGCCATCCTGCCCCATGTCATCACCACTTCATTTACAGCACTTTAGCTGAAGCCATCTTGTTTGTATGTTTACTGTCTCTCTCCCAGGAGAATGTGCATTTTTTGAAGGAAGAGACCATAGGCATTTGACCATGTCTAGGACATAGTATGCCCTCAACTAACCATTTGAGACCAACTGCCCAGAGAAGTGGGAAGAGACTTCATAGGTGCTATTTGAAGTGGGCCTTGAAGAATCCAGGGGTTTCACAGGTAAAGAACGTTTTGCAGCCCTGAAATTCAATATTAACTTTCCAAGTCCAATCACCATGCATGACTTTAGTGTGCATCATTTTCGACTCCTATGTGCAAATACCTTGTAACTCATGAGTTTATTTCCTTCTTACCATAATAAGTTCCACAGTTTCTATTATTATAAAATTTATTTTTCAGGAAAAAACAACTAAGTATAATCTAGGTTCTTATGGAAATTCATTTTTACTTAAAAATTCTCAGAAACGTATTTTGGTTTATTTAACACTTTCAAAGAACTGACCTAACCAAACAGATGCGGTAGATAGGTTTGGTAGGAGGACCTCAAACTTCATGGGCTTGATTTCTTTACAATCTTATTTTTCTTACATGTCCCTGTTAACTTCATGAGGGAATGAAAGTATCATTATCAAAATAACCAAAACTCTCTCATATGCCAAAAAACAATCAGCTTATTGTTTATGAAGGGATAAAAGGTAGAAATAACAAAATGACATTTTATTTTGGAATGAGAGAGGCAGACACAGGTAGCTCTTAATGCCTTTGACTCTTGGCAAGCACTTCATCAGAGATATACACCCCATTCTGTGATTGTTATCTGGACATGTGCAGCCTCATCGATTTTCTGGAAGATGGGTTCTGGCTAGGGAATGGCAGCCCAAGCCATCATATGCTCCAACAATAACCCCTCAGATAATTAACGGGTACATACACATTTTTAAACCAGAAGAGACCTAACTTAGGTGGTCTGCCAACTTCTCATCCTAGAGAAAAGGATGCCAAGGCCAGGGAAGTGAGGTGAAATTTTTCTCAAATCTAGTCAGTAGAACTCAGGAATCCTGACTTGGTCAGGCACTTTTTCTACTGTCCTTGGTTATATCTCTTTAGGTCATCAAAACTTTATAAATATTTCAAAATGCTCAGAAGGAGAGAAGACCAAACGCTCAGAAGGAGAGAAGACACACGGAACAGAACTAAGACTAGGAATTCTGAATCAGTCCCTAATAAGAAAGCTAAAGAACAAGTCATCTGGACATTCTCTGTTGGTTATTACAGATACTGAGCTCAGCAGGCTCACAGCTTAAGACAGCTCAACTAATTTTTCCAATATTGATTAAGAGCCACAGTCCTGCCGGAAGAGGTCCCCCAACTAGTTTTAAAGAATAAACAGGATTACAGGACTGCACAGCATCAACTCAAACTTAATCCAGCAAGGATGGATAAATCAATAAATTGAAGGTGCTTGCTGGTTTAGTGTAGTGCTGGAGGAGTGCCAGCTCACACTAGAACAGCTTTTAGTCTCCAGAGACTCTCAAGGTCAAGGGCAGAAGAAAAAATAATTTGGGCCATGCAAATTTCTTTTGTCATCTGAGTTCAATGAGATTGGGGCTCTGAATGAATGTTCATATCCTACTGTTTTGAGTCATCACTTTCTATTCTTCACTCAAGACATTTCAGAAAAAAACATACCTCTTAAACTACAAGTTTCATGGGATCGAAGAAGTAGAGCCTAGTTGAACATAATGTTGTAAAATACTACCTGAGAGAGCTTTATTAAAAATAATCAACCAAAACGAAATAAAGCAGTCAATTTTGACAATGTGGTGAATATATTACAGACTTATTTTTACTAATGCAAATAACTTCACAGATAGCTGCTTAGTTCTCCTACATGAAAAATCTGAGCACACAATTTTAATTAAAAGTTGAAACTACTTACATTCTGGAATGATTGACAGTAAGCATTCGTGATTCTTTTTCTTTTTTTCTTTTCTTTTTTTTTTTTTTTTTGAGACAGAGTCTTGCTCCATCGCCCAGGCTGGAGTGCAGTGGTGTGATCTTGGCTCACTGCAACCTCCGCCTCCTGGGTTCAAGCAATTCTCCTGTCTCAGCCTCCTGAGTAGCTGGGACTGCAGGCGCCTGCCGCCACACCCGGCTAATTTTTTTTTTTTTTTTTTAAGTAGAGATGGGGTTTCACCTTGTTTGTCAGGCTGGTCTCGAACTCCTGACCTCAGGTGATCCACCCACCTCAGTCTCCCAAAGTGCTGAGATTACAGACGTGAACTATTGTACCTATATTTTCTTTAAAAAAAAAATTGCATTGCTATGGAGTATTCTACTAATTTGGGGGAAAACTGAAGAATTAAACAAAGACCCATTGTCAGAGAGAGTTCCATATGACAAAAAAAGTGTCCAAGTTTTCTTCTTTTGCAGTAATTTTATTGTATTAAAAACTTCTTCAAAGAAGTGGGCAAAGTCATAAAAAAAATTTTGGCTGTGCAACTATTTGTTATATTATTTATCATATTTTGGTATGATTTGGACTCCATAGATAATGTTTTTTCCAAATCCCCATCCACTAAAAATCAGTGAATGATTTGAAGGAAATTTGTTAAGTCAATTTGTAGTTGAAACTACAGTTGCAGAAGTAGACCCAGTGGACATGCATGCGGTGGGCGGTAAAAGACGCAATCTATACTAAGTACTCCTATTAATGGACATGCATAATGTCCATCTTATCATCTCTCCTATGAGATTCATGTTTACGTTATGTCAATTTTATGTAGTAAATCCACTGTTAAAATTTCTTTAGAGAAGGATATTAACATTGTTGACTCTTAAGAAACCATACCAGGAACAGTAGTATCCCAATGGCATGTTGAGTAACAAGTGCTTAAGCAAACAGGCATTGCCTTGATCCTGCAAATCTGATCTTGGGTCAGTCAAACAACTGGTTACTCTGTTTTAAAATAGCTAGGCAAATATTGCTTTTAAGTGTTTAACATGATTAAGAAAAGCAACAAGGCCCTTTGAACATTGTATCTTCCTTTTTTACTTATACTCCTCCAGCTATCCCCTTACCTCCTCAAGAAGCCCTTAAAACCAAAACACACAACTGACAGAATGGGTGAAGTCACAAGCACATACATATGTAGACTGAAGAGACAATTTAATTTTGGCTGGGTCGCGTTCTAGGCAGGGCAGCAAAAACTTCTGACTAAATAGACAAACTCAACGACCTTTAGTTTTCCTCCATGTGGCTCCATTAGCTCAGCAGAGGTGAATCGTAGACGAGAAAGTATATGCTGCAGGCACTGTGAGGCAAGGCATGCTGCCTAAGTTTCCTCATCTATAAAATGGGGATAATGCCTTCAGGACAGAAAAGCATGCTGAGATAATATAAGAAAAACATCTGGCTTGATGTTCAGCTTCCTCTCCCTGCCAAGCTATTGCTATGACTACATGGAATGTGCCATTTGCATTAAGAAAGATGCACAAGAGCGGACTGTATGTAAACACGCAGTCAGCACATACCTG
The DNA here is from genome assembly GCF_000001405.40 of Homo sapiens. NCBI lineage: Eukaryota > Metazoa > Chordata > Mammalia > Primates > Hominidae > Homo > Homo sapiens. Next base: position 150,080,470 of record NC_000004.12, on the reverse strand, counting down.
GGTTCTGCCTGGTCTTTCTGGATGTTATTTAGAACTGGAAACAGGTTCTTAACCACTGATAATGCCTTTTCTACCTGAAAAGGATGAGGCATACGTATTGCAGGAATTCAAGGATGACCCAACATCCAGCCAAGCAGTCTCTTTGACCGAGGCATGGTTGACACAGCAGAATTACTAATTTTTAATAAGTCCCCACTGCTGAATCCAATGGCCTCTATCATTCTAATTAGGTACTCTTATTAGAGGATAAGGCTGGAGAGATTGACCTTGATTTACCTTTTTTCCAACCAAATGTGGAAAACCCTTTAGCACGGTGATTGTTAACCAGGGTCCCACATTAGAATCACCTGGGGGGGGGGCTTTTGAGACTCCAGACGCCTAACCCACACCCCAAACCCAACCAATTTAATCAGGATATCTGGGGGTTGGGGGATCAGGGTCCCATATTTTTCGAAGTCCCCAGTGTGATCCAAGATGAAGCCAAGGTTGAGACCTGCTGTCTAGGATCATCCCTCTTCACCTCAAGTAACTTCTGCTGCAAGGCAAACTAGGAAAGCCAACCTAGAGCATTTCACAACCACAGCTTCTGACAGCAGTCACAACAGGACCCCGAATACTGGAACATGACAGGAGCCTGCACCAGGGTCCACACCGAGGGTCCAACAGAGCTTATTAGTAGGGGATTACCCAGCTCCCCATGGGAGAACCATTTTCTCAAACAGTTTGCACTTCAATACAAATAAGTTCAACAATCTTAGGAGATGCCACCAGTGCCTAAATTGGCCTGACCATCAGGAAATTTTTTCCTTCTTTAAGAGACAAACCTCTTGGGAAGGAAAGTCAGTGTGTATGTGGGCACCCCACCGGCCCCCACCCCCAGCCAATCTCTAGAGAAGCAGACAGAAGCATCAATTCCCGTGCGGCTTGGAAAGCACCCCGCGGGCTCCCCGCTGCGCCGGCTCACGCCCACTGCACCTGCCGGCGCTCCGCCGCACCTGCCGTGCGGCGCCCTCCCCTCCTACCTTCCAGCAGCTCGTCCAGGCTGGTGACCTTCCGGCTGCCGTCGATGGTGTAGATAGTGCGGACACCCTGGGGCAGGTTCACGTTGTCCGACAGGGAGCGGGTGAGCTCTATGAGGAGCGCATCGAAGGACCGGAAGCGGTCGCTGGAGATGGCAAACACCAGGCCCTTGAAGTAGCGGTCCCCGTTCCGGTAGAAGCGCGCCTTCTTGGCCTTCTTCTCCGAGCTGAGGGCCTGCAGGGTCCGCGTGCGGTAGAAGCTGCAGTGGGCACTGTGCGCCGGACTGGGGATGAGCCCGTTCCCCTTGGGGCCCGAGCTGCTGCTGCCCCCGGAGGAGCTGGGGGCCCCTCTCCGCGACCCCGGCCGCGGCCTTTTGTCCCGTTCCTCAAAGTGCTCCAGCTCGATACTCCTGGTGCTGGCCATCGCGGCTGCTCCGAGGGCGTCCGCAAAAAGACGTTCCGGGCCGACTAAGGGTGCGAGCGCCGGTGCAGGGACGTCTGACTGCGAGGGCCCTTAACGCGCCGGGACACCTGGCTCTGGCATCCCGCCCTCTCCGCGCAGGTGGGGCCGAGGAGCCGCGGAGGAGCCGACCCGCCCGCGCCCTCAGCTAAAAGTGTCCGCAGCGCCGAGCTGCCCAGGTCATTGTCCAGTGCGACTTGCTCCGTGCCTCCCGCCTGCCGGGGAGCCCCACGCCCCCGCAAGCGCCTCCTCCACCCGGCCACGCCTCACAAGTCCCGCTCGGGAGCCGACCGGGAGAGGCAAAGTTGGGCCGCCCGAGGCTCGCGCTGGGCCCGCGGGCGCCCACAAAGCTCGGGCGTCTGCCGAGCGCTCCCGGGAGCGCCGAGGGGAGGAAGGAAGGAAGGGTGGGGCGGGGCGCGGAGCGTGGGAGAGGCCCCCGGGGGAGTCGCGCGGGCCCAGGCCCGGGGTGCAGCGCCGCCGCCTCGGCCGCGCCCGGATCCCGCCCGCCGGGCAGCGCGCGCCGTTCGGGGCTGAGAGGGCCGTGTCTGGCCCCTTCCTTCCCTGGAGCGCGGCCCTAGCGGGAAATAATGCAGCCCGCCTCCCACGCAGCGGTCAGGCCCGGCCCACTGGCAAGCATCCGCGCTCTGGCCTCCCTCCGCCGCCGACAGGCTGTCAGCGCTGGAGGAGGCTTCCCGGCCCCGGGGATGCCAAACCGCGGAGAAGGGGAGGAGGGGGCGGAGGAGGGGGCGGAGGAGGGGGCCGAGCGCCGGCGCGGGAGGAGCAGCTCCTGCGGGTCCCGGGCAGCCCCGCCCGCCTGACGGCTCCTGCCCGGCGCCGCGCGTTAATGGGCGCAGCCGCGACGCGCGCTCCTCCGCCTGGGAAACGTAACCGCGCAGGCCAAAAACTACAAAGGAAGGAGATTCAAGGGCAGGGAGCACATCCCCAGCCAGCATCCCAGTGAGGACCCCAGGCCAAACTACCGCAGAAATCCGAAGCCCAGCATTGACTTGGGGCACACCATTCATTTTTTTTAAAAAAGATTTGTTGCTTTATTAGAAAATCCTTTGAGAAAACAGCCTCCACTGTTTCCATTGCAGATTCGCTAATATGGTACGTTCAGTAACTTTGAATGAATGATGAGAAGTTATTGGGTGGTAGAGGGGGTTATGTAATCAACGAATATTTATCGAGAGCGTACCATGTGTCAGGCATTGTTTCTGTCACTGGGATGCCCTAACAAAGGAAAGAGAGACTCTGCACCCACTCCCCCCGCCCCGCATATTTAATGTTGTCAATTAAAGCTTCTTACCTAAGAGGCCTATCATTTGTGAGCACCCATCATAGTGGAAATCTTAATGCCGTAGTGTCTATTCAACAATAAAAACATCTTTTCCAAGACTTAAGAGAAATACTAGTTACTTGCATTTTGTTATTAGGAAAAATAAAGCTCAAATATGTTTGATCCCAATTTGGCACGTGAAACCTTAGAACATTCAACACCTGGTTTTCTGAGCAGCCCTAGACAGCAATCCAAACTGACCTTTCAGGAAGAAAGGCATAGTTGCTTTTTTTCGGGTTGAACTGAGTCCTGGAAGAGCATGAATAAAAGAAGGTAGAAGCACATGCAACGGTCTAGCATCTGTGAAGTTGGTGCGCCCCACCAAACACACGCACACACACGCATACACACCCTTCATGGCAGCTCCAGAAAGGTCTCCTGCTCGGTGCACAATACTACTCCTAAGGCAGTTCTGGGCATACACCTGGGCATACCTAACTTCCTGCGGGGTTGGGGCATGCTAGGAAGTCAGAGCTGATCTGAGGCTTCAATGTAGTTTTTCTAGAGGAAAATCCTGCAGCATCATTAGGTCCACCACCTTAAAAGGCCTCAACCTAGATCAGTTAAATCAGAATTTCTGGAGACGGGCTTCTCCAACAGTATTTTTTTAAAAGTACCCCTAAGGTATATCCAGAGTTTCCAACCACAGGCTGTAACACCAGGAATCAAATAAATCAGTGCTTCTTCTCAAACTTTAATATATTTACATGTCATAGGGGAATCTCGTTAAAATGCAGATTGCTATTCTGTAGCTCTGGGGTGGAGTTTGAGATTCTGCATTTCTGATGAGCCCCTGGGTAATGCCAATGCTGCTGGTCTTGGTACAAGACTTTGAGAAACAAGAAACTAAATTGCAAATTTATTGAGATAAGTTTCCATCTAAGTACCAGTAACTCCACAGAGCCCATCAACTTGCCTTAAGATGGCCATGTTCATTTGTATCACTGTTAGTATTTCTTAGGGGGAAAAAGACTTTGTAAACTATTGCTGTAGAAACAAATTATCCTAAACTTAATGATTTACAACAATAAACATGCATAATCTCAGCATTTTTGGCAGATCGGAAATCTGGGAGCAGTTTACCTCAAAGCCTCATGTGATTGCTGTCAAGATGTTGACAGGGGTCACAGCCATCTAAAGGCTTGACTGGGTCAAGAAGATCCATTTCCAAGACAGCCCATTCACATGAATGGTAAGGAGGCCTCAGTTCCTTGTCATGAGTACCTTTCCATAGAGTTGCTTAAGTGTCACCATGACTTGTCGGTTGGCTTCCTCTAGAGCAGGGGTGTCCAATCTTTTGGCTTCCCTGGGGCACATTGGAAGAAGAATTGTCTTGGGCCACACAGGAAATACACTAACATTAATGATGGCTGATGAGCTAAAAAAAAAAAAAAAATCACAAAATCTCATAATATTTTAAGAAAGTTTACGAATTTGCATTGGGCTGCATTCATAACTGTCCTGGGCTGTGTACAGTCCACAGGCCATGGGTTGGACAAGCTTGCTCTAGAGAAAGCATCCAAGAGAGCACAAGGTGGAAGCCACAATGTGTGTTATGATATAGCCTTGGAAGTCATACACTGTTATTCCCACAATATCCTGTAGGTTACACAAGGCAGCCCTGTTTGATGTGGGAGGAGACTACACTAGGGTGTGACTAGGAGTCAGCAATTATTGGGGTCATCTTGCAGACTGGTACCACGGGTTTCAATCTTTCAATCTTTAGAACACTAACATGCACTTCCTCACTCAAAGATCCTTGATAAGAGATTTGGCCCTTCTTAAATAGTGAGTACAATTATACAATATGCCAGTATTTTTAACTCAAGGTGGATTAAAGACTTAAATGTAAAACCCCAAACCATAAAAACCCTAGAAGAAAACCTAGGCAATATCATTCAGGACATAGGGATGAGTGAGGACTTCATGGTGAAAACACCAAAAGCAATTGCGACAAACGCCAAAATTGACAAATGGAAATAAAGAGCTTCTGCACAGCAAAAGAAACTATCACCAAAGTAAACAGTCAACCTACAGAATGGGAGAAAATTTTTGCAGTCTACCCATCAGACAAAGGTCTAATATCCAGAATTTACAAGGAACTTAAACAAATTTACAAGGAAAGAAACAACCCCATCAAAAAGTGGGCAAAGGATATAAACAGACATTTTTCAAAAGAAGACATTTACATAGCTAACAGACATATGAAAAAAAGCTCAACATCGCTGATCATCAGAGAAATGCAAATCAAAACCTCAATGAGATATCATTTCATGGCAGTCAAAATGGTAATTATTAAAAAGTCAAGAAACAGTAGATGCTGGCGAGGCTGTGGAGAAATAGGAACACTTTTACACTGTTGGTGGGAATGTAAATTAGTTCAACCATTGTGGAAGACAATATGGCAATTCCTTAAGGATCTAGAACCAGAAATACTATTTGACCCAGCAACCCCATTACTGGGTATATACCCAAAGGAATATGAATCATTCTGCTATAAAGACACACACACACACGTATGTTTACTGCAGCACTGTTTACAATAGCAAAGTCATGGAACCAACCCAAATGCCCATCAGTGATAGACTGCATAAAGAAAATGTGGCACATGCACGCCATGGAATACTATGCAGCCATAAAAAAGAATAAGATCATGTCCTTTGCAGGGATATGGATGAAACTGGAAGCCATCATCCTCAGCAAACTAACACAGGGACAGAAAACCAAATGCCCCATGTTCTCACTCATAAGTAGAAGTTGAACAATGAGAACACATGGACACAGGGAGGGGAACAACACACACCAAGGCCTGTTGGAGGGTGGGGTACAAGGGGAGGGAACTTAGAGGACAGGTCAATAAGTACAGCAAACCACCTTGGAACACGTATACATGTATACCTTTGCACATTCTGCACATGTATCCTGGAATTTAAAGTAAAATTTAAAAAAATAAAAATATGCCAGTATTTTAACATTATTCCCTAACATTATATCCTTAAGTTAAAGAAAGGTTACTGCTTTTCAACAGGGGTAGGGGGAAAAGAGAAAGTATTTCCAAAGCTGTTACTTAGTTAAAAAATGTTTTTTTGATCCTACTCTCCACACTTGTTTTCTTGAAGAATCTTATTTGTGATCCTCTTATAAGAATTGAGATGCAATCACTTTTCATAAGGTATCTATGAAAAAATATGATATAAAGACCCAGTTGGTCAACATTTGAAGATTTGTTGAGGTAGGAAAAAATTAGTTTCAGTATTCAAATTCTAATGCAAACAAAATTTGTAGGTTCTAGGTAGGCAACTATTACTTAACTTGGCTTACTTCATGATATTCAATTTATAGAACCGAAGCAGATTTTTTTCCTTTCATGCAGTTGCAGAATTTGCAGAGTAAGACATTTTAATGGGCATTTTCTTTGTTGAGATACTCATTTTTTTCTAACGAAGAAAGGCCATCTGATTATTAATCATTGGTCCTTCCAGAGATGGTCTAATTCTCTTGGTGGTTACAAGATCCACCAACTCTGTCTGCCACACCCTGATTTAAGGAGCTTCTTTAGGAAGAGCTGGCCACAGATGCCTCCTCACTATCTGGAAGCCCACTTTAACCTTAGATGTCTCTTGGTTGTAAAAAGTGTTGTTAGAAAAACCCTCTTTTTAACTCCCCTTAACCTAACACTTACTTGAATAAAAACTTTTGTGCCAAGTATTTTTAAAAAGGCTTCATTTTTCTGCTAAAGGCCATTGGAGAATTTCAGCCCAAAAACTCTTCTCCCCTTTTTGTGTAACTAGAAATGACCCCTTTTGCTTTTTATTTATAATACTTATAAATCATGGAATATCTAGTGGATGTGAAAATTTTGTTGGCAGTATGCAAGAAGGGTCTTCTACAAACCACTTGGGGCAGAGAAACTCAACTGGGCATAAAGGAAAAGAAATTGTTCTCTTTGTTCTCTACACTTCTCTTTGTATCACACACCTGTGATACAATTTTAGAGCTGCTTTTAGCCAGGTAGTAATTCCCTCTCCTGCTTACTCCCTCAACCCCACTCCACCTTGACTAAGAAATACAATGCAAATTTTTATCTAGCATAATTTGTTTAAATGAGACTTTATTAAATATTTCATTATGGGTCTTTACATAAGAAACTTGCCTTGAACATTTCCTGGTGTTTGCCTCATGCTGCTTTATTCCTCAAATGCTATGGTTAGTCTTCACTTTTGGCAAGAGACTTCTGTTTTTAAAGGCAGTTTTCCAGTGACTCCATTACTTATTACATAAAGGATGCCTCTGAACCTTTCAGATTGCACTGTGCTGAGACTTTTTGCTGTCTCATGTTTTCATTCCTGTTCACTATGTGCCAAGAATTTCTCCCAGAAGTAAAAAATGATGAAATAACTAAACTATTTTAAGTGAGAGCACCCGGTGACTATAGACTTAAATTTTTGAAACTAAGCATGATTCTCATTTCAATCTTAATAATTATAAGTTCTAGTGCTTTCTGTTAAGCTTTAATGGGGAAGGGTATAAGGTAAGGCAGCTCAAAAGCAGACTCTCCATCTCTACCCCATAATCTGTACCTAGACTGGAAAAAAGGCTCAAACTGTTTTCTCAATAGTTCTTCTGCCTTTGGAGCTTCGTTGTCCTTTTCACCCCTGATTCTTGTAGCACTTTACATAGATATTAATGATTTCTTCACAAATAAGTGAGGGAATAATTGAAACTACCTTTTCAGGTTCAAAAAATTTGAATGTACCTGTTTGGTTAAGTCTTTCAGAAAATCTAAATTTTGGCTTGTGGCTCATGCCTGTAGCCCCAACACTTTGGGAGGCTGAGGCGGGAGGATCACTTGGGCCCAGGAGTTCAAGACCAACCTGGGCAACATAGGAAGATTCCCATCTCTACAAAATATTAAAAAAAAAAAAATTAGCCCGGCGCAGTGGTGCGTGCCTATAGTCCCAGCTACTGCAGAGGGTGAGGTGGGAGAATTGCATAAGCTCAGGAGGTCAAGGCTGCAGCAAGCTGTGATTGTGCAGCTGCACTGCAGCCTGGGTGACAGAGGGATGAGACTCTGTTCTTGAAAAAAAAAATTGTAAGTTTAATTTTTAAATGAAAATATCAGAAGAATTGAAGAAAATAATCAAATATGCATGCTTTAAATATATATGGCACACAACTACTGTTTTTTTCCATGAGAAAATTCTGATTCTTTCTATGGTAAACTTCCATAAAGTGTCTAGGACAAAGACTCCATACATATAATGTAAATTTATATGTCATGTAAATTTTATATATTCAAAATTATATTTTTATTTTGTCATTTGCCAGTTCAGATGCAACAATTATTGATGAAAAATAACAACTTTAAAATCATATAGCAACTTTTTTCTTAGGAATTTGAATTTGTTCCTCTTAAATCTTCGTAAGAAGAAAATCTGGGCAACTAGTAGAATTCATACTTTCCAGATGAGGAAATCTAGGCATAAAAGTGAAAGATCATGAAAAGTACCACAGTACTCTCATTTTGTTTCTGTAGGATGAAATTTCCCAAACCCAATATAAAATTTAATCTTTAAATCTAGGTTTTTTGCTTCATTTAAAATTTTAAAAAATTATTTTTGTTAAAATTGATCATGATTTTAGTGGTTTTCTCCTCTCGGTAGTACCTTCAATGTTTATACAAATACTGAATGTGACAAACTATGTTCATGTCATTCTACATATCAGATTAAAACAATGATGGTCAAGAGTACTTAAAGGATAATAAATATTTTATAATGATTAATAAGTTGTTATGACCTAGTTAAGGAAACAGATTATAGACAAGGAAATAAGAAAGATTAAGCAGCAGAGATAGAAATTGCCTCCAGGGTATGCTAACTCCAGAAAATGTTCACTTCAAGCTTTCAAAATTCATTAATCACAAGAATGTCTGTCTCTTCAGGAATTATAGCTTAAAATTAATGATTCTTTAATTTACAGTAAGTTTATATTGCAAATTATCTGGTTATTTTAGGACAAACATTCTGTATACCCTACACACACATATTTGAAATAGTCAAATGTTAAAATATATATATCTTATTAATGGGAATAAGGATCTACTCAGACTTTAGTCAACACTCCTTAGCAAATCTGTACTCATTTGGCTATGTATTTAGTTTTTTTTTTTGTTTTTTAGTTTTTCATTGGTACTTCCCAGAGTCCTATCACCCTATCTGAAATAACTAATTGATCATGATTTACCGTTTGTATGAAAGATACAGCAGAAACACTGTGTGTGTGAATATATATATGTATCTGAGATTAAACACTTAAGGCAAAGAGATATATGCATGTGATTACCTGATTGTTTTTATCTTAATGTAACTGATATGTTCATCTTTAATAACTTGGTTATGATATAAAGCTACATTTCATTTTAGTATTAAAATTAATTATAATTATTATTTATTATTATTACTATAATAATAATATTTTTCTCCTTGGGCATTCTCCCTTTAGTGATAAGCCCATGAACCCCTAGGATCTTAGTTGGTTCAAAATCTTAGCCAATATCCTCATGAAGAAAAATCTCTAAAATGAGTCAGTCCTCCAGGGACCTCTGTTTCAGCTCCCATTGCTGTGTCAGTGCCCCACACTGTCTGACACCCTCTTCTGACCAATGCAAGTGCTGGAACTGTAGGCCCGGAAACAGTTTCAGAAGGTATGGAGAAGGAAGGGTTTTCCCCAACCCCCACCAAAACAAATAAATAAAATAAAGTCATCGTGCCAACTTGCTATACATCTACTAACTGGAAAGAAAAATCTGTTCCAAGGTGTTTATCTTCTTTACCACTTAGACATGGAATGATTGGTTTTGGCCTTTAGGTTATAGAATTGCAAATACATAGAAAATAGGCTATGTTGAAGTAATTACAAGAAATTCTCCTTTAAATTCTTACTTGTTAAAAAGGACTATCTTAATGTCTTCAGCGTTCTCAGATTTCTTTAATAGACCTGGCACAACCAGAATATGTAAACGATAGGTCCCATAACAGTATGGAGATACCATAAACCACTATTAATAGCCTAGTTGTTTTTCTTGGAGTTGTCCTGAAACTACCTACTTCATTTCATGTCATTTACCAGCTTGGTCACACAATTCAGTGGGAAATTCTGAAAGTCACTTGGAATGGTAAGTGAGGCAAGGCCAGCAGAGAAATGCAGTATGGAAGCCCTGATCTGTCTCTACACACAACTGCTTTATATTTTAATAAATCTTAATTCAAACAGTGTCTAAACTTTTGCTGTTAGACGTGTTGTTTGAATGGATGATAAAATTAGTCACCTTTTCCTTATTACTGGTATGGTCAAAGACTTTCCCTGGAGCAAAAGTTTTACCCTAATGTGGGTTTTGTTAGGGGTGATAAAAAGTTGTTTGCTGAAGTTAATTTAAATTCCTCCAAGAAGAAACTGTGGTCAATCCCCAGATCTCTTTCAGTGTGTGTTCCAATGCAAGATTTTCCAAGATGATATACAAAGAAATGTATCTTCATTCAATAACAGAAAAATTTATTGTAATAGAATTACCAGTAAGGTTGCTGCTGCTTTTTTTAAAACAATCTCACATTGACAGAAAAGATGCAAGTTCAGTACAGAGAATTTTTTTGATGAATCATTTGAGAATAAATTCCCAACAACATGATGTCTCACCAACCCTAAATAATTTATTGTATTTTTTTAAATAAATAAGAACATTCTTCTACACAACATGATATAACTATTAAAGTTAGGAAATTAACATCCATAAACTACCACCAGCTAATCATGAGAACCCATTCAAATTTTGCCACGTCTCAACAATGTGCTTTTCAGTAAAAGAATCCAGTCCAGAATCATGGTTTGTGCTTGTCATGTCTCTTTAGTCTCCTTTAGCCTAGAACATTTCCTTAGTCTTTCCTAGGCTCTCATGACCTTGACACATTTGAGGGTTACAGGCCAGTTATTTTGTAGAATTTTTCAATTTGGGGTTTGTCTGATTTTTCTTCAGATTTAGATTTAAGTTATGCATTTTGGCAGAAATATCACAGAAGTGATGCTATGTTCTTTTTATTGCATCATATCAGGCGTGGCTTAATTTCAGTTTGTCTCATCATTAATGTTCCCTTTGATCACTTGATTTAGTGGTCCCTGCCAAGCTTCTTCATTGTAAAGCTACAGTTTTTCCCTTTGTAGTTAGTACCTACTTTGTAGGAAGGCATTTTGAAACTTATGTAAATATCTTATTCTTCTCCAGATTTTCTTTCTTTTTCTTTTCTCTTCTTTTCTTTTCTTTTTTTTTTTCTTTCTTTTTTTTTTTTTTTTTTTTTTTTTGAGGCAGGGCCTCACTCTGTTACCCAGGCTAGAGTGCAGTGGCGTGATCTTGGCTCACTGCAGCCTCTGCCTCCCAGGCTCAAGCAATTCTCCCACCTCAGCCTCCCAAGTAACTGGGACTACAGGTGCGTGCCACCACGCCCTGCTAATTGTTGTATTTTTTGTAGAGGTGGGGTTTCGTCATGTTGGCCAGGCTGGTCTGGAACTCCTGAGCTCAAGCAATCTGCCTGCATTGGTCTCCCAAAGTGCTGGGATTACAAGTGTTAGCCATTGCACCCGACCCTTCCTAAGATTTTCAATATATTCATTTATTTTTTCAGTTTGGATTCACAGTATCCTATTCAGTTACTACAATTACTTATTTGATACTCAAAATATTCCCAATTTGACCAGTGGATCTGAGCTGACTCCTATGTGCTTTTTTTGTTGTCCCCATCATTTTTGAGCACATCCTTATTTTTGGTGGTGTGCTCTGGACTCACGTTATACTTTTACTGCCTTAGTGCTGGACTTCCCATTTCTCTTTCTTTTATTGGAGAATATTTAGGAACTAAGATTTGAGCAATACATATACTCATTGCTGTTGGGTTACAAATCTTGATCCTTGCAGTGGACAGAAATAGTGAATATCTGTATGTGTAAATACACACACATATATCTTGATAGCCGTCAGTTCACACCCACCGCCACCTCCCTCACATCCCACTCAGACCCTGACACCCCAGGTTGGGCTGCCTCCTGGCATCCCCAGGATGCTGTCCGCATCCCCCTGGTACTTGGATACCGCACTGGGCAGCCTCCCATGCATCACTCCTCCTTGACCTTCTTGGGCTCTGATGCCCCTCAAGGTCAACTTGAAGTCCCACTCCTATGCAGTGCCCTTCTCACCTCACCCAGGCTCCAACATACCCTGCTGGCTGCCACTGCTGCCTCTTGACCTGAATGCCTCCCTTGCCCCAGCTCAGGGTCTAACGCCCTACTCAACCCCCTAACCCTGTGGCTACCCCCCTTCTGCCACTGGAAGAGATGCCTACTTTGCTTGGCCCCACCTAATGGCTTTAGGATTGGTTGTTTTGAAAAGGAAAGAGGAAGAGCTAAATTTTGTTCCTAAAGTTTGCAATTGGTAGCATTCCCTGATTGACTATTGGTAGCATGCCCTGATTTTTACTCGTGAAATATCATCTGTCCCTTTGAGTACATGTGTTTTCAGCAAGACTGACTTCACCTCCTGCTGCAGGGTGAGCATGTGACTCAATCCTGGCCCGTTAACTGCATTCTCCTGGCAACAGTGATTAGTATTTGTTTTTTTGTTTGTTTTTTGTGGGTTTTTTTTTTTACACGTTGTTGCTTAGATGAAAAACTCATGTATTCATATGTGACTTATTTTTCTCATACTCCACATACAATTCATATGCAAATTGTCCTTCTTCAAAACATACCCCAGATATAACCATTTCTCTCTTACCTCCGCCATCTGTTTGTACCTACTTACAGAGGTGGCCGATTCCAAGCCACCTCCTCTTGCACCTGGCCTCCTTCCTACCTCTGGTCCTGTTCCGCTATAGGGCATGGTTTTCTAACTGCTTCAAGTGACCCTTGTTGTTGACTAGGCACAGTAGCCAAAGTGAGTCTTTTAAAATTTGAAGAAAGCAAATATTACTCCTCTGCTCAATAGCCTGCATCGGCTTCTGTCTTAGTCCATCTGCATTGCTATAAAAGAATATCTGAGTCTGGGTAATTTTTATTTTTCACAAAGGCTAATTTATCTCATGGTTCTGAGGCTGTACAAGAAGCATGGTACTGGCATCTGCATCTGAGGAGGACCTCAGACTGCTTCTATTCATGGCAGAAAGCAAAGGGGAGCCAATGAATAGAGAGAGATCACACAGCAAGAAAGAGGCAGTGAGAGAAGAGGAGTTGCTGGGCTCTTTTTAATAATTAGTTCTCGTGTGAACTAATGGAGCAAAAACTCACTCCTTACTGCAAGGACATCATCAAGCTGTTCATGAGTGATCCAATCCCATGACCCAAACACCTCTCACTAAGCCCCACCTTCAACACTGGGGATAAAATTTCAACATGAGATTTGGAAGGGACAAATGTTCCATCTATATCACCTTCTTCTTATACTCAGAACAAAATTTAATTACTTCATACACTGGTCAACCAGTGCCTGTACCACAATGAGAATTCCCTGAAGAACTTAGAAAACTACAAAGCCACTCTGATTTTATGGACCTGGATGGGACCTGGACACTGGTTTCTTTGAAAAACTTCCCAGTCATTCTAAAATGCAACCAGAGCTGAGGACCACTGCCTGCATGATCTGGTCTTGGCTACCTGTCAGGCCTCATATATTATTACTCTTTACCACTCACTGCAGTCACCCAGACCTCCATGTGGTTCCTTAAGCATGCAAAGCAGGATCTCACCTCAGGGTTTTGCATTGCTGGATGCAATAACTTCTGACCCAAACTACCTGAAGGTTGGCCAAGCTTCCCTGGCTGAGGGCACAGTCCTCCATGAGACTGCCCTCACTTCAGATAACAGCAGCAAGCTCAGAGGTTCCCCAGCCATCTACACTTCTGACCCACCAGCTACAATTCAGGAGTTTACACCATCTCTTAAGGCTTGATAATCTAGTAGAATGACCTATGCAATTCTGGAAAGCGGTATAGCCATGATTACAGGTTTATTATACCAAAAAAGATACAAACAAGGACCAGCCAAAAGAATAGGTGCATAGGGTGAGATCTGGAAGGGTCTCTGGCTTTTATGTCCTCTCCCTGCAGAGTTAGGATGCATCACCCTTCCAGCACCTTTATGTGTAGCATATGCACAAAATATCATTAAACAGGGAAGCTTATTCAAGCTTCATTGTCCCAAGTTTTAATTAAGGTTTCATTATATAAGCATGCTAGATTGAATTATTTGCCATATAATTGAACTTGACCTTCAGCCCATCTTCTTTCTCTGGAGGTTAGGCTGATATCATATGGCTCAAATCCCCAACCCTCTAATCACAAGGTGGTCTTTCTGGCATGGTCAGCTCCCATCATGAATTACCTCCTTAGTCTGGACTACCTAAGAGACCACCATGAATAACAAAAACACTCCTATTACTCGGTAAATTCCATGGATTTGAAGGTTACCTCCCACGAGCCAGGGATAAAGGGCCACCAAATTATTGAGTATATAACACTGTATAAGGACATACCTGACCGGATCTACCCTGGAGGTTTTGTTTACAATCTAACAAAACTCTTACTTGCTCAAGCCAGGTTGAGTTGCATTTTTGTCATCATCAAGAATCCTTTGTGACACACAAATCAATTGATTTTCCCCCGTGTCTTTCCTCTCTAGTTCATTTTGTACATAATTGTGGGGCGAATCATTCTTCATAATGACAGTTCCGATCTTGTTACCCCTTTGTTAAAAAAGCTGCCAGCAATGAGTTACCTGAGATGTCTTTTCTTCATCTAATAGTCCAAAATATTTAGTCTGACATTCAACGCCTGCATAATATGGTTCTAATTTTCTTAATCTTCTGCAATTAATCCTTGTATATACATGTTAACCAGAATGAACTACACTTGCTTTTCCTCAAATGTCTTTTGCATTTTTCCACCCTGTGCCTTTGTTAGGTTATTTTGTTTACTTGGAATGCCCAGCCCTTCTTTCTATTTGTCAGATTATACTTATTTATCTCGTCCATGAATTTTTCTATAATAATCCCAGCTCGAAGTAATCTTTCCCTATAAATTCTTCATCAGAGAGTACTTTCTACTTCTCTAATGATAGCTGTCACATCTTGTGTATTAATATTTGTCCTTTATTGATATTTAAACACAAATTATATTAATTAAATCAATATTTAATGAGCTCTAACAATGTTCTAAGAATACAAATATGAATAATTGCTTTGTGCTTCAAGGCAACCAAGTATTTAGTAAAAGAGTAAAATACATCTTTTATCAATACTTTGTATCAATCTCCCATTCTCTCCAAATATTTTGTTTCCTATACCCTGCCTCTTCTCTCCTTCTGGAATTCCTGTTAGATATAAGTTGGACCTTTCAATCTATTCCCCATGTCTTTTCTTATGTTCTACATATCTATCTCTGTCTTACTCAGCTATAGATAAATAGAACTTTATCTTTCAAATCAGTCTTCAAGTTTACTAATTCCTTCTTCAGCTTACTCTAATATGCTGCTTAACCAATTTACCCATGGTAAATTTAAATGGCTATTCATTTCCAGAAGTTTGAATTATTTCTTTTAAATTTTTATCTTTTTTTCACAGTGACTTGCCTTTTTTTTAATGCCTTTTATATTTCAAAAATCTAAAACACATACTTTAATCATGGTCCTTTAGATTGCTTTCCTATATATCAAGTTTTGAGATGGAATGAGTTACCTGAGTCTCTGTTAAGTATTCTTTGTGAATTTTTATTTTGAGCTCCCCTTTAGTCAGGCTTATTTTTGTCTCTGCTCATCTCATGCTGCATAGGTGATGAAATTTGGCATTGATATCCTTCAGTGTCCCAGAGGCACCACTGACCCAGGACCATGATAATTTCTAGGCATGAGATTTCTTTCAGAAACAAGTAAATTCAGACTATACACCAAAGAAAGCAACAGGCTTGGAATATTTTTTCTCACAAAAGACTTATTTTTCCCCCAAACAGATTTAATTGTCATCTGCTTGATCTTGTTGGCTGAGATTTTTAGTACTCTTTGGCAGGGATTAAAGCTTTTGAGGGGCCTAGCTTTATATAGACATCTCAGTTCCTGGCCTCTGCTCAGGTGAGGATAAGAGGCCTTCTGGACCTGATGGCATTAAAACCCTAGTTGTTACCAAATCAATACTGCTGCTTCCATTCACCTCCCAAGGTTGTCGCAGTCTCACTTCTTATATTTATCAGTCTGGCTTTTAATTCCCTCCGTGTTTCTGGCCGTCTGGCCCTTGGGGACTCCTGTTTCTTCTGGACAGATCAGCTAAAAATTAACTTTTTTTTTTTTTTGGCTATTTTAAACCCAGTGCTCCTAAGGACTTATAGTTTTCATAGTAGCTTAGTCTACCATGTTGCTGAAACCAGAAGAAAAAGTAGATATGTATCCAACTACATAATATCTACCCCACCAGATACATACCATAATAGGCAACTGAAGAAAATCCTGTGGAAATTCAGAAAAGGTAGTCATTAATTATGGTTGAGGGCTTGAGAAAGTCTTAATGGAATAACAGTTGAGTTGGGCTTTGAAAAATGGATAGATTTTAACATGAAGAGGGAGAAGAGTTGAGTACCTGGTAGAGGAAATCCCAGATAAGGAATGAGCGATCATGAAGATGCTTGTCATTTTGTGAAGTAGATTATAGTCCTATGTGGTTGGACTTACATACAGCCTTATTAAAGGCCGTCTTTGGGGAATGTGTAAAACCTTGCTTACATACAAGGTCTCTCATGGTGCTTTGTGTGTCATACATGCTAGATATTTACCAGGCAAACAAATACACGTGAAAGAATGTCACCAAGAGAAGGGGTGGAGGCTGAGTATGCAGAATAATACTCAACCTCACTGTGTCTCAGTATTTTCACCTAAAAACAAGAGAGTAAAAAGGTAAGACCCTTCAAACTACTTTTGGTTCTAATATTCTGTAATAACAATTTCTATAACTTAATACCAATCCTAATTAGTTCCAGTTTAAGCAAGGAAAACATGTAGATAATGTTTTGTTAAGAGTAAATGAATTTGGTTGTCTATCTGCCATAGGGAAAGAAAGTGAAATGTAGTCTTGAAAAATGCTGTATAATCTGTTGGTCAGAACAAAGAGAATCAGGTTGATCCATTACAGGGCTATTATTTTATAACCTATTCAAAGTTGCTGCTATTCTGGGCTTAAAAAAAGAGACACTGCTTAGCACTTCCCTTTTAAGATTCCAGTTTTCAAGAGCTTTCTCTGTATGGAGGCTTCAGTTTCTAAAAATAAACAAAATAGGAAGATTTCTCCTTGGAGGAAACATTTAGCAACAACCACAAAAGTTCAAAAGGGAAATTCATTGTCCAACAAGAGGAAGGAGAAAAATCTAGCTTCCTTCCATTTAAAAAAAATTATTTTACTTGCTGAGTTTTCTAAAAGTTCCTTAGATTAAGAAGGAAAATGGGAAAGTCAAGAATATTACAGTTTGTATTTGAAAGGAGTGAACAACCAACCATCACTGCATCATTTAAGAATATATTTTTTAAAAAGCATAAAAGATACAAGCAATTATGGCTCATTTTTATGTTGCCCACAACGCATTTATTCATTGATTCATTCCTTTATCTATTAAATATTTGTTGAGCACCTAATGTGTGTCAGATGCTGTGCCAGGCACTGAGCTGGAGATGTGACTTGACTAGTAGCTCCGTAGTGGTCCCTCAGCATGGTAACCTCAGTCTTTTATTCTATGTGGTAGATATTGTGGACTGGCTAATTCCATTTGTAGTTCATCACTCTTCTAGTATGTTTTTCTCTACTGCAGAGTTTGGAAAGGTGAAGATTTCATTTCCCAAGACAGATTTTTCCAATTTGGTATACTTGCATGAGATCTGGGATGCAAAATTGAAGTGGAGCCTATTTTCCCGACTTTTGCCTGATTTCATTGGCAAACAAAGTCATGAACTGTGAAGTTTTCTGGTAGCAATGTTATTGTGTTTATTCTCCAGCTCCTTGTGGAGAGGAAGCTGAAGGCCATGTTCAGCTTCTTGATTCCCACTTCCTAATTTCTTTATTACAGCTATGACCATGTGTTCTCGAACCCAATTGCTCCAGTGGTGGCCTCAGAGGAATAGTGACTTGATTCTAAGGAGTAGATCTAGGATTCATTTCTAGAGACCAAGCTCTGTCAGGGATTTTCTTAACAATGAATTCCATGTGTTAAATCCTTTTCCGTTTAAAATATGAGGAGTGGTTTTTCTTTGCTACATTGAACATGCCCAGTACACTCTCTACTGTTATTTAGGATTATATTAGAACTCTTAGAGATGCAGTGTTTTGGGCCATTTTTGTTATATCTGATCCTTATATATATTCAGTTTATCTTTTCTTGCCAAATATTGCAATGGAAATTCCAGGTGGTCACTGGAATTTGCAATATGCTACAAAGTGTAAGAGCACATGCTCCCAGCCAGACAACTTCAGGTTCCCCAAGAGAATGTGAGCATCTCAAGAATAGGAACTTTGGTTTACCATGGATTCCCCAGGTTCTAGAACAGTGCCCGACACAAAATAGCCAGGCGTGGTGGTGGGCACCTGTAATCCCAGCTACTTGGGAAGCTGAGACATGAGAATTGCTTGAACCCGGGAGGCAGAGGTTGCTGTGAGCCGAGATCGCACCACTGCACTCTAGCCTGAGTGATAGAGTGAGACTCCATCTCGAAAAAAAAAAAAATTCTCTTGAATGAATTATTTCCAGTTCCTCCTGTAACACATACTAGCTGAATCATACACCCTCCTTGGGGAAGCCAGAGTCCATGCCTGGTGGTACTATACTTTACCAGAGGCAAAACTTCTGTGGCTCTAGGTAGGTTAGGCGTGGGTCCCAGGGCTGATGTAGGTCCTGTCATTATGGGTGTAATGGAGATTATGTTGAAGCCTGGCCTTCCCTCAAGGCAGATGTGGGATAGCTCAGGGAGTTGGGAAATGAATGGCAGTGGCTAGGATTCTTTATTGAGCAAGGAGGTGGAGCCAAGCAAATCTGAGGTATGCATATATGGAGTCTAACACACCCATTTGTATTCACATGTGGGACATCAATAGTCAGATGTACAGGTCTTCTGCCAGCCTAGCCTAGCAAAAATACAATGTTTTCATTGCCTGATGAGAGCAGTGTTTATTTATCTACTGATGATCACCTGATTGTCATTGCTCAGTCACAAATGTTATTCCAAAGAGACAAAATTTTTTTTCATCAGCTAAAATAGCTTCCTGGCATGATGTTGAGTAAGAGTTTAGAGTATGACAAGCAAAGGGATCCCATATTAGCCATGTGACTTGAGCAAGTTTTCAGACTTCTCTAAGCTTCAGTTTCCTAATAGGCCAAAGGGAGAAAGTAATAGCAGATAGTGGTAAATATTAAATTTATGTATGCAAAACACAAAGTCTTCCTGTCTTCTCTAGCTTAAAAATGTACCCAGTAATTAGTACTCTCCTCCCCTTCCTCTCTAAGGATTTCTACTCATTCCCTGAAACTTATTGCTTTGTGTAGTACATCATTCATTTGGGATTCTCATGCATTATTCACTGAGCAGCTACTACTGAAAAATATTGTGAATAGAGGCTATGGAGGATACAGAGATGAATAATAAATAATTATTTGTGATGCAGTAATAAATACAATAGTAGTTAGTTGAATTACCCGAAATTGCTGTTTTTATACGTCAAAAGTGGCCTACTTGTTCCAGTATCATAGAGTGCAACTTTACTGTTGGTGTGCTTCCAATCCAGTGATAAACACATAAGTACCTTAGGAAGTATTACAACGGAATTACATGCTGCTGCAGCTTGAATGCCTCCTTCAAAACTCATGTTGAAATTTAATTGCATTTATGATGGCATTAAGAGGTGGGATCTTAGAGTTGATTAGGTCAGGAGGGCTCTGTCCTTATGAATGGATTAACACCCTTATTACAGGAATGAGTGAGTTATTGAGGGAGTGGGCTCCTGATAAAAGGATGAGTTCAGCCAGATTTCCTCTGTCTTATGTGCTCTGCTCACTTGCCCTCTACCATCTATCTTCTGCCATGGGATAGTGCAGCAGGAAGGTTCTCATCAGAGGCCATCACCAGACTCTTGGACTTGCCAGCCTCCAGAATCATGAGCCAAATAAATTTCTATTGTTTATAAATTACCTAATCTCTAGTATTCTGTTATAGCAGCAGAAAACGGACTAAGACACACACTGAGTGAGATGTGGGTAAAAGAGAAAGAAAGATTACTTCTGGTGGGAAAGTTATGAGAAGAATTTGTGGAATAGGTGGGGTTAACCTGAGCCTAAAACTTGCAGAAAAGGGGCTTATCAGTCTTATAAGGTAGAAGCCTGAAGACAGCATCACCCTGTGTTTTGACGCATTGAACTAGTGCACAGCTCACTTAGTGAGCTGCCAAAAGTGAGCTTGGTGGGTTTATTTTAGAAGGGCTAAAGACATTCAATTTGGTTAAGGAGCCAGAGGGACAATTTTTTATACAACGGAGGTTGAAGACTGTGTGTCTGTGGTGAAAACAGCAAGGTCCCCCAAAGAGCTCTTAAGTTTCGTGATTCATTAGTGTTTTACCTTGAATACAAATTTGATAAATTGATGAGAAAATGTAGTGATGGAATGCACTTCAAACTTAACAATTACAACCTGTAAACTACAAGAGCTACTTTTAAAAAAGTATGGTAAAATACACAGGACATGAAATTTATCACTTTAACCATTTTTAAGTGTGCAGTTCAGTGGCATCAAGTATATTCACATGTTGTGCAACCATTACCACCATCCATCTCCAGAACTTTTTTCATCATTCCACACTGAACTCTGTACCCAATAACAATAACTCCCCATTCCCCCTCTACCCAGCCCCTGGCAACCACCTTTCTACTTTCCATTTCTATACATTTGACTACTCTTCATATTTTATATAAGTGGAATCATATATTGTATTTGCCCTTTTGTGACTGGCTTATTTCACTTAGTATATGTCTTTTAAGTCCATCCATCTTGTAGCATGTGTCAGAATTTCATTCCTTTTTAGGACTGAATAACATTCCATTGTAGGTATGAATGTGCCACATTTTGTTTATTCATTCATTTTTCAATGGATAGTTGCATTGTTTGCACCGTTTGGCAGGAGCTACTTTTAAACCAATTCCAGGCAGCAAAATCTAGGCTAGTTTCAGAGAGCTAGACACCTGCCAGCTGTGGCTGAGAGGATGAGATGTAAGCACTCATCATCTTCTAGATGCCCTGGGAAGTGGAGGTGAAGCTCATTACATATGCTTTTTTTTCAGGCTGAGATGGAGCCAGTGAATCTCTAAGCCTCCAGGCCCCAAGCCATGTCCTGAGATGCCTTTAGAAGATGGGGTGGGGAGACACACTGATCTGGGAGACAATATTCCACCAACCATATCACATCCCACCACCCACAGCAGACTGTACTATTCTATTATTTTTTTTCCCTGTGGATTATTTGGGCAAAAGCTTTATTCACTGAAAGTCCATTTAATTCTTTTAAAAAATAAGGCCTCAAGGACAATGGCTTTCTTTAGAAGTAGGAATACATGGCAACTCATTGACTTCTCCTGTTTATCTCAATCCTATTGCATCCTTTTCCTGGTGGCATCACGCAGTCCCAGGAAGGGACAGTGAGCAGAACCACACTCCAGGGGCACACCAAATGAGACATAGCATTGCCTTTCCTATTGCTAACACCTCTTAATTTTAAAAATTGTGGCTAATATCCTCTCACTCCTTCTATAGAGGAGAAGAGTGGGATTTTTCACTTAGTTTTGCAAAAATATGTTGGTATGACATATTTTCTAATTATAGCTTCACCATCATGGCATAATGGTTGCTTCAAAGCCCAAACAGTAGTAGATCTTGAGGCATATAATACCCAAGCTCTGTTAACACATCTGTAATTACTGTACACATGCTTACTGCAATGCTTATCTTTCTTATCTAGGTGTTCTTGCTCAAAGAAAAACACAACTGTGCTTCTATTTTCAGCCTGTTTATATGCTGAGGTCTAGACCTGCCTAGTGATACCTGGGCTCTGCCATGGATGTCACATCCAGCAGCCACTCAGAGGTGACAAGGGTATGCAAACTGACAACACAGTGCAATTGTAATTTTTCATTATTTAAGATTTTGTGTACCAGATCTCAAATCTTGGAATCTTAACCCTATGATTCTCCAGCAAAGTAACACCCTCCCCATCTAGGGAAGCAGGATAATTTCTACCCTCACTGCCTAACCTGCTTCTGTGGAATGTGAGTGGGCAGATGGTGGAGAAAAGGCTCACAGGCATCAGAATAAGCTCACAATAATGTGTATCTATCTTATTAGAATTAATTCACTAATCTCATTGGCTAGTTTTTAGAAGATGAAGCAGCAAAAGTCATAAGTTATTTTAAAAACCTCTTCTGTATTTTAATGTTTGCCTCATGAAAAGTGTAGAATTTACCCACAAAAGTCTAGTAAAAACTGGCACTATCCACACTCCCTAATGTTTCTGACACCTTGAGTACTGTTCCAGAGTGTGGGATTGATAAATTAAAAGTAATGATAAAATATTTATAGCTATTATTTTGTTTCATGTCTTGAAAAAACTGAAATGGTGGGAAGAACATAGAAGGAAGAGTCAGAAAAAGAGAAGTAAAATCTTATCTCTGCCATTTACAAGTCCTCAAACAAATAATTTAAGTTATTCTGAACTGCAGTTGCTTCATTTAAAAAAATATAGATGATTGTTTTCTCAGTAGTATGGTGTAGCAATTCTAAAATAATTTTCTATGTCTTCTAGGCATGAGCAAATAGAAAAATATATTGAGAATAATGGGAGGTGTATTAGTTTGTTTTCATGCTGCTGATAGAGACACACCTGAAACTGGGAACAAAAAGAGGTTTGATTGGACTTACAGTTCCACATGGCTAGGGAGGCCTCAGAATCATGATTAGAGGTGAAAGGCACTTCTTACATGGCAATGGCAAGAGAAAAATGAGGAAGAAGCAAAAGCAGAAACCCCTGATAAACCCATGAGATCTCATGAGACTTATTCACTATCACGAGAAAAGCATGGGAAAGACCGACTCCCATGATTCAATTACCTCCCCCTGGATCCCTCCCACAACATGTGGGAATTCTGGGAGATACAATTCAAGTTGAGATTTGGGTGGGGACACAGCCAAACCATATCAGAAGCCAAGTTTTTTATTGTAAGTAAAGGGATTTATAAATATGGAAAGGGAGAAACAGGAATGAAACCTGCAGTGTTGGATTGGATGTTGGAAGTATCAGAATAAACTCACAAATTTTTTTTTAAGATGTGGTCTCACTCTATTGCTGGCTGTAGTGCAATGGCATGACCATAGCTCACTGCAGCCTCAAACTCCTGGGCTCAAGCGATCCTCCCGCTTCAGCCTTCCAAGTAGCTGGGACTTCAGTTATGTGCCACCACACTTGGGTAATTAAAAAATTTTTTTAGAAGTGGGTTTTTGTTATGTTGCCCAGGCTGGTCTTGAACTTCTGGCCTCAAGCAGTCCTCCTGCCTCAGCATACATTCATGGATTTTATAGGGGAGGGGAGTAGGGAGAGAGACAGGAGGAGAGAGAGAGAGAAGGGAAGAGGACAAAAGAGGAGGAAAATGTGGAGGGGGTAGAGGAAGAGGAAGGAAGGAAGGAAGCTAAGTAAGGCTGATTCCAGGGTTGCCATAGGAAAGTACAAAATGTGCCTGGAATAACTTCATGTGTCAGAATGACTAAGCAAACTGAAGTCCCTGGGAATCTGTGGAAATCTTGGGAAGAGATTGGGCCATGTGGGATGAGTGGCTTGTGTTACTTGTATCTGGGTTAATATAGTGAGGCCAAACCAAAACTTCTGATGACATTCTTTTCCTTAGATTACAGTATGATGGGACTGAGATATGTTGGTCTCCTTTTTTATATCTACTATCTAGAGCATAATATAAAGCTAAAGAAAAAAAGAGTAGATTATATCACTTTCTATGTTGTAGATAATTCTAAACTGGAGCCCAGTGGAGCTAACTTGACTCTTAATTTTCATTGCATCAACTCCCTAGGCAATTTTAAGATTCAGTGATGGTGTCTCACCATTCTTAGAATGACAATGAAAGCCTTTACCATTGTCTACAAGGCCCTGTACAATTAGTCTCCAGCTTTGTTCCTACTCACTCCCAGACATACTTTTGGCCACCCCACCCCACCCTAACCTATCCTTAGGCTGACCTACAGGTTGAGTTTTGTATTCTGTTTCAGCCTTTGCTTATGCTCTTCCTTCTGCTGGGGGTACTCTTTTCTACCCTTTTTGTTGGCCTAACTCCTATATTTTCTTCTAGTGTCAGCTCAAAGTCACTTCATAAAAGATGCCCTCCTTGTACTCCTAGTCTGGGTTTCTTGATCTTCTCTTTTATAGCATTTGCAAAATTGACATTTAAATATTTGTTTGCGTAGTTATTTGTTTTATTTCTGACTCTACACAAGATTATATAAGCTACACCAAGTCAGGAATGGTAAAACAGTGCCTTACCCACAGTAGGGGCTCAGTACATATTTGAGGAAGGAAGGAAGGAAGGAAAGGGAAGGGAAGACATAAATAATTAATTGTTTTAAATAATAATTTAGAGATGATTAATTATTGGTGGGTCTGACCTGCAGACCCTGGCCGAATGACAGATGAACAAATGCACTCAGACACAGATATCCAGTGAAAGAGTGAGCTAGGGGACTGGGCTGCCCACAGACACTGAAGAGGGTGCTGTAAAGAGTCAGCAGTCATGGCCTTGACCAGCTGGTGCTGTGGGCATTTATTTGGTATAGATTTAATGACAAAGGCTTTGAGTCAACACACCTGTGGATAATTAACATGGTCGCCCTCCCCAGATCAATTCTGTGCATGAATGATCAAAGATCAGTCTCAGGATAACATGAGTAAACAAGCTATTTAGATAAATTCCTCTACATTCCTTTGTTATTTGCTTTTTACTATTAGCTCAAGGTAAGAGGATGAGGCTGCCATAACCCTTTCCTAAAGCTTTTGCAAAACCCTCTGGCCTTCCAAAAAGGTTTGTGTTTTTCCTATAATTTTCTCTTATACTTTCTCCCGCCACCCTGACTGAACTCCTACAATTGTTTTATAACATAATATTACTTCTTTTGAAATATGTTAAATTTCCTGAATATTTGTTATTTTTTCTCTCTAAAAATTATTAGTGTTATTTTATCTTTAAATCGTTACAAATGAAAATATTTAAAACTAGTATTCCATCCATAATTTTAGTTTTTTAGTTGCTTCCTTACAATCATGATTGGTAGTTTTACATGCACATGCATTGTTGTGCTGTTAAATGTTTAATAACTAGCTCCTAAAGTGTGGTTATAACACAAATATTAGTTGATATTTTCATTTACATTAATGTTTAAGATAAAGTGAGAAAATTAAAAAAGTATTGAAAGAACATCACTCATTTATCAATTAGAGGAGCACATTTTTATTTTTTATGTTTTATTTTTCTTTTACTTTTTATTTGAGACAGGGTCTCACTATATTGCCCAGGCTGGTCTTGAGCTCCTGGGCTCAAGGGATCCTCTTGCCTCAGCCTCCCAAACTGCTGAGATTACAGGTGTGAGCCACTGTGCCTGGCCTTAGAGGAGCAAACTTTTTACTAAATTGGATAATAATTTTTCAATACTGGAGGGATGTTTCCTCAGTTTTTTATGCCATTCAAACAGACATGATACATTTTACAATTTAATTTGCATTTTAACATATTCTTTACCATTTTCTTAAGTCTAGACAAAGAACAAAACAAAACAAAAAGTCAATCCTGATTGTCAATTTCCTAGGCGTAATATTTGTCAGTTTCCTTGGCATAAACACTCCCATTGTGGCAAATTTCAGACTATCAATGCGATATCAAATAAGGCAGAGTTGGAAGACGTGCGCAGTATTATGCCCTGACATAGTAATGTTCATCTACTCAGATACGATAGATGTAAATAACTTGAGGGCTATAGATAATGCAGTAAAATAATTAGGACATGATAAATGTGTTACTTACTTTTATAATACAATTTGTTTCATTTGATTTTTAATAATGGTTGTGTTTGACAACTGGCTTGCAAAATTCCTGAAAATTTAACAACTGGTTCTTTTGTTTTGTTTTGTTTTTGAGGCAGAGTCTCACTCTGCAGAGACCAGCTCGGTCAGGGAGACTGTAATCCAGTGGCGCTAGAGGAATTAAAGACACACACACACAGAAATATAGAGGTGTGAAGTGGGAAATCAGGGGTCTCACAGGCTTTAGAGCCGAGAGCCCTGAACACGGATTTACCCACATATTTATTAACAGCAAACCAGTCATTAGCATTGTTTCTATAGATATTAAATTAACTAAAAGTATCCCTTATGGGAAACGAAGGGATGGGTCGAATTAATTGCAGCAGGAACATGCTCTTAAGACACAGATCGCTCATGCTTTTGTTTGTGACTTAAGAATGACTTTAAGCAGTTTTCCACCCTGGGCGGGCCAGGTGTTCCTTGCCTGCATTCCCATAAACTGACAACCTTCCAGCTTGGGCATTGGGGCCATTATGGACACGTTATAGTGCTGCAGAGATTTTGTTTATGGCCAGTTTTGGGGGGCTTGCTCCCAATATCACTCTGTTACCCAGGCCTGAGTGCAGTGGCACAATGTCGACTCACTGCAACCTCTGCCTCCCGGGTTCGAGCCATTCTCTTGCCTCAGCCTCCCAAGTAGCTGGGATTACAGGTACCCACCACCACGCCCAGCTGATTTTTGCATTTTTAGTAGAGATGGGGTTTCACCATGTTGGTCAGGTTGGTCTCGAACTCCTGACCTCAAGTGATCCACCTGCCTCAGCCTCCGAAAGTACTGGGATTACAGGCATAAGCCATCGCACCCAGCCACAACTGGTTCTTATAACCTGATACAAATGACCTTCAGCACACTGCTGCAATATATGCACACAGCACATGCGCAATGTATACATAGTCATGCTTTTAGTGTAGATACAATTTGTATTCTGCTTTTTCCATTTAGCTTATTTCATTTTCTCATTATTAAATTTAATAGCTCATTCATTAATAAACCAGACATATATTTAAATATATCTCTTTTGTTGGAAATTTATTTGCTGTTTTAAATTATGATAAAGTCTATATTAAACATATTTATACAGTTTTAGTTTTTCCTCTGTGGAAATATTTACCAAGTATATGCTTCTAGTAGTGGGATTATGGGTAAAAATATTTTATGATTTTTACTTCTAATTACTTAAAAATACCCACACTTTATTTAGTTTACATGTGAGGGTAAATTATATCCAGGAATGTTTTTTAGTGCCTGAATAGTCGGAAAGAAATAATAAATTTGCAATCCAATAACAGTGTAGGACCACACTGATCATTGATATTAAACTTGCCATGTGCAATACTGATTACACTGGTGCACAAGTGCTTGTGTTCTTGTTTGTTTTGGGAAAACAGACAGAGCATTAATATTTGCAGGGGTATGGAGACAGCCTTTCACACACTGGCAGCAACAGGTATCACTTACCAGTTTCCCTGCATCCATTGTCACATGACCCATACTGGCTAAATGACACTATCTGCCCAAGGTACAAATGTCTTCTCTGTCCTGGGATAGTTTCTTCCTGAGTTTAAACTCCTACCTAGTTCCTATAGGAGGTGAGCCCCAACGCTGCCTCACATCCCAGAATTCACATAATAGGGAAACTGATAGACTTGGGCTGTTCATGGCTTGATTTTTAGCCACTTGCTATAGTCCTTCCTCCAGAATCCACCCCAGCCTGTTGTATGCCTGCTTTGCTTCTGACCTAATTGCTCATTTCCCCATTTTCTGCCTTTCCTGATGCTTGGAACTATCTTATGGGCCACATTGGACATGATTTAATTTCTCCTTTATTTACAACCGCTTGGAGTGGCTTGGGTAAAAGTTGCTTTCATATGACTGAATGTGAAGATTCTGTATTTCAGAGTCTCTCTCCATGTCCTCCTGCATTTCATACAGTGTTTCTGCCTAGTTCTTCATGTAAGCGCGCATGTGTTCAGCTAACAGATAGTTATCCTAGACACAGCTAAGGATATAGTGAAGACCAGACAGACAAGCTCTATGTTGTAATGGAGCCTACATTTTAATATGCAGAAAAACAATAAAGGGTAAGGGATATTAACACAAAGCAAAAGGCATGTACAGCAGAAGGATGAGGCTGGGTGAATGGCGAACCATGTCAGATGAGGTGATGAGGTGGTAGGGGAGGCTCTCGGAGGCGGTGACATCTGACAGACATAAATGGCAAAAAGAGACCAACTAGGTGATGCTCTGGAGGGAACAATGCTATAGATGGAAATGCAAGAAATCTGAAACAAAAATGAGCCTGATATGTAGAAGGAAGAGAAAGAAGCCCAATGTAGCTGAAGTATAGCCAGAGGTGGAGAGGGAGGTATGAGCTGAGGACGGAGAGGTAGGCAGGGTCTACATCTCAAAGAGCCTTGCAAGCCATTTGATTTGATTCTTAGCAAAATTGGAAGCCAGTGAAGGATCTTCTGCTGGCTTATATTTTTAAAAGTGGGGCAGGGGAGTGTGAAAGCTGGTAAATCAGTTAGCTAGGTGGTGTCTTAGTTTGTAGGGGCTGCTATGACAAAATACCACAGACTACATGGCTGATAAACAACAGAAACTTATTTCTCATAGCTCTGGAGGGTGGAAAGTCCAAGATGAAGTCACTGTCAGGGTTGGCATCTGGTGAGGGCCTGTTTCCCGGTTCATAGATGGTGCCTTCCTGCTGGGTCCTCACATGGTGGAAGGGGTGAATGAGCTCTCTGGGGCCTCTTTGATAAGGGCGCACATCTCATTCCTGAGGGCTCTGCCCCATAACCTAATTCACCTTCCAAAGGACCCACCTCCTAATACCATCACCTTGGGGATAGAATTTCAACATAAGAGTTTGGGGGAAACATGAACATTCAGTTCATTGCAGGCGGTTAGTTCTGCATTCCAGGTGAAAAATGGTGTTGGTTTGGAACTTTGCACCAGGGTAGCAGCAGTGGAGGTAGAGAGAAGTGGGCAGATTTGGAATATGTTTTAGAAGTGGAACTAACAGCATTCTACTTGTGAATTGAATGTCTGAAGGTGGAAGAAGAACCAGAGCCAAGACTACTGGTGTTAAGGCTTGAGCAACTCTGTGTGGATGGTTATTCATTTACAGAGGTAGGGAAATCTGAATAGCAGTTGCTTATTGTTCTTATTTTGTTTAGAAATCAGGAGTGCCATTTTGAACAGCCTGTATTTGAGATCCAATGGGTAGGCGTTAAGTAGACATTTGTAAACATAGCTATCTAACTCAGAGGAGAGGTCGGGCTGATGATGTGCTTTTAGGAGTCATCAGAATGTAGATGATATTTAAAGCTGCAGATTGTATATGTTCACTTGGAGAGAGTATGTCGCCAAAGAAGAGGGCAGAGAAGAAGCAATCGGCAAAGAAGACAGAAGGAATAGGCAAGAGGTTGCAGGGAAACCAGGAGAATGTGAGTAGTAAGGCCAAGAGGGGGAAGGTCTCAAGAGGGAAGGACTGGTAAAGGGTGCCATGTGCTGCTCAGAAGCAAAAACATGTGAAGATGGAAGCATTTCATTAAGGTGGCAATTTGGAAGTTGGTGACTTTGACAAGAATAGTTTCAGGGGAGTGGAGGCGGTTGAATACTGAGTGAAGTAAGTGTGAGGAGCATGAATATCAACCACTCTCCTTTTCTGACAAGTGTTGCTGTGTGCGAAGGCGTGGAAAACACACTAGTTGCCTTCTTAACATCCATCTTCCCCTTTTGTCTAGAAGCAGAGCCTCACATTTTTCCTAGACTTTGCTATCTAGACTTCGCTATCTAGACTTCATTTCCAGCCACCCTTGTGGTCATATGACCAGGTGCTTGACATCATGTTTCCAGGCAGGTTTCTTAAACGGTAGCGATTCACCTGGGAGTAGTCCTACTTTTGCCCTTCCCTTCTTTCTTTTTCCTACTGCTTGGAATGTGTCATGTGATGACTAGCACCACAAAAGCAGCCATTCTGGGCCATGAAGTAACTTAGAGCATGACATCCAAATCCAATGCAGTGGGAAAAAAAATGATACAAAGATCCAGGTGTCTGATAACTCAATGGATTGCCTACATTTGGACTTCTTTAACATGAGAGAAGAAACACTTGCATTATTCTCCACTCGCCCCCACTGTTAACCACATCTATTCCTAAATAATGCAGAATCAAAGCAGAGAAGTGGGCATTACATTGGATAGGTACAAGGTCAATATATTTTGTTAATTTTTAAGTTGAATGATTCAATGAGTAGGAATTTGATACTATAATCTTTGGGAAAATTCCACTGTTCTTCAACATACCTATTATAAAATGCCATTCAAGTTTTCATTTCTAAATTTAAATTTAGTGTATCAGTCAGGGTTCTTGTTTGCAAAAAATAGAAACTGACTCTGGCTGATTTAAGCCGAAACGGAATTGACTCAAGGCAATCAGTGCCTAATTGAATTGTAATGGCTAGAAAGTCAGACTCGCACAATAGGCAGTACACAGGACCACAGATAAGAATTATGCCACAGAATCAACTGCTGTCAGATGAACTCTGGATGTCCCTTCTGTCTGCACCACTCCTGGAGGCTGGGGGCTATTGCCAAACAGATTATTCCCCACCCCCTTTGTGTCATAAATGTCTGATTCAAAATCTGTAATGGGGCATTTGATTGACACGACCTTCTTCTTGTGCTTTTCCCAGAGCTGCAGGGGTATTTGAGAAAGCAGCCATCTGGCCTAGGCTTCTAGAATGAGAAGTGCCTCCCACACAGACCTATATGGGGGTTCACATGCCAGGTGGACAAAAACAATCATTAAAAACAGCAGTAAATATCTATTATGTTTAGTTTCTCAAATATAACTTCTAGTATTTATTTTTAAAACAAGTAAGTGACCCATATCTTGGTAAATTCAATATGGAGGTTTTTGTTTGTGTGTTTTATTTTGTTTTGTTTTTGAGACAGAGTCTCACTCTGTCACCCAGGTTGGAGTGTAGTGAGTGGTGCGATCTCAGCTCACTGCAACCTCAACCTCCTGGGCTCAAGTGATTCTCCTGCCTCAGCCTCCTGAGTAGCTGGGACTACAGGTGTGCACCACCATGCCCAGCTAATTTTTGTATTTGTAGTAGAGACAGGGTTTCTCCATGTTGACCAGGTTGGTCTTGAACTCCTGGCCTCAAGAAATCCTCCCGCCTTGGCATCCCAAAGTGCTGGGATTATAGGCATGAGCCACCATGCCTGGCCCCTCAATGTGGAGTTTTAAAGTATATTTGGATTATGTACAGAAAGATAAAATGTTTGAAATGGTAGTAAATTACTAAAATGTATAGAAAAAATTGAAGAAGATACATTCGGATAGTAAACTTAGCTTCTGGATCATAAGAGCTACTGCTGAGATAAGGTGGGAAAATATGAATGTTCAATAACTATTTCTTTCAGCACCATACTTACCTAATTTTTAATTTTAACATGAATGTTTAAATTTTATAAAACGAGAATATCCTGTGTGTGTGTCTTTTGAGTGCAGGGTAATGTCCACAGCAGGGGAGAACAATTGGGAAATTCATCCACTGTCTTTTGTAAACTTTTTTAGCATTAACAATTTATCATTTGTTGAGTACTTAATATGTGCTTAGCATTGTATGGGGCACACACATTTTCCTATTTAGTCCTTACAACAATCCTTCAGGTCACCCCACTCTACAGATAAGGAAATTGAGGCCCAGAGAAGCCAAGTAACTTGTGAAAGTTCTCACAGCTAGTAAAAGCCATAGCTAGGATTTTAATTCTGGTGTAGTGAGGGCAAATGTAAACAACTCAGCAAAGGACTGCCATAGGGCACTGAAGAAAGCCTAAAGCCTTTTGCAGCTTAATTCATATCAAGGATGATTCCAATTTATGCATTATATTGGGAGACTAGATGCTAGCTAGATTTCCACATGATTTAGGTAAATGTCCATATGATTTAGTATGTTAGATGGAACATAATAACAACAAATTTGATTTGACAGTTTGTTCTGTTGAAATACTTGCAACTCTGTGTTGGTAAATGTGACAATTTTCACATAATTCAAGCTGAAAATCTATTTATAAATAGTGGCTTTGGCCCAAATTTTCTAGATTGCATGTTTATGCTAACAAAATTTATCCATTTACTTTATGAGTAGTTTGCACAATTAGTGGAATAAATAATCAAATTTCTAGTTTAAGTAGAATACTGTCTAAACTGATTTAAATTAGTCATTTAATGCAAGTTGTGGAGACATACTGACATCTCATTTTGTGTGAGTGTATATATATATATATATATATATATCTGATTGTAAATATTATATAACCTTCATGTTCATATTTCTGTTGTTTTACAGTAGAAACTAATAATGAATGAATCATCATATCGGATAGTGTTACCATCAAGAATTTTTAAAAAGCCATTTTTACCAAAGGAAATAAACAAGACAGAAATACATTAATTCTCATTCCAGCATGACATGAGGAAGAATGCTTACTGTTTGACAAATTGAAAAACAAAGGATCTTTGGAGAGATAAAAATGAAATTTGTAACCTTCTAAGAGGATGTGGGGTTTTTTTTTCCTCTCCTTTTTTTCTTCTCTACTCATGCCTTGGATTTTCTGCTTTCATTCATTTGTGACAGTGAACTCTATTGAAAGTGACTTTTCCCTTTCTTCTTTTAATAGAGAGAAGAGCTGGAGGTTACTAAGCCTCTGGGGTTCTCTGTGTCTTGAGCTAGAGAAGAGGTTCTTTGCTTGTTACCTGTATGGGCTTCAGTGGGTTTATGGAGTCCCTGAAATCACATGCAAAATATTGTGTGTGGGAATGTGTGAGTGTTTTTTTTGGGAAGAGTTCCCCTAGTTTTCATCATTGACTCAGGATGCTGTGACTCTGAAAGGGTAACAAACATTGCTCTAAGAAAGAAAAAGCCCCTTTGAATTGCAATCCAGTCACCTGAGCACCAAAGCAGTCACACTGGCTTTAAATCAAAAAGGTTGTTCGAGAGAAGACGCATGGTTGGAGTCAACATGCTATTACTTGTTATTATAAACAACAAATAGATTGCTTTTGAGTACTGTACTATAAATAATGCATTTAAAGAGAACTTTATTGTTTCCAAATCACTTTTATCTATATTTACTCATTTAAAAAATCACAATAATCCCCTGCTGAGGTTAGATATTATAATTATTGTTATCCCCAATTTAGAGCTAAGCTCTGGGTGATTGAAAGATTCAGAGATGAGCTCCTCTCTCATAAATGATTGGACTCGAAGTGGGTATCTGCCTCGAACTAGGTCAGAGGGTCCTCTATGTGAATCTAGAATTGTGACCAAAACCCAAACTGTCTGCCCCACAGTGCTTGGAGATGTTTGTCTTCTACCTATTATAATCAGCAAGCTGTAGAAAGAGGAGGAGGGGGAGGATGAGAAAAAGGAGGGGGAGAAGGAAGGAAGGGGGTGGAGGGAGAGAGAGAGAGAGAAAAGAGGACTGCTGTAGAGTCCTGTGTTCAGAGTTCAAACTTTATAGCTGCACTTAGGTTCCTGAGACAGGCATCTCTCACGGCATCTGTGAGAGAGCTTGGAATACACGTGGGATGGACTAAAGAAGACATTTTAAATTTTTGTTGAAATGTAGTGCTTGAAAACGAAGTAAAGAGCTTATTGAATTTAACTCCTATGGAAGAAGTGCTTCCACTTGACCCAGTGTCTGCAAGAATCATAAAGAAGCACATAAAAAGTAATCTAAAAGGAATTCCTATCTTTCTTGGGTTTCTTAAGTATCAATTCGTAACCCCTAGGAACATTTGTTTAAAAACCACTTTCATCTGATCCTAGTTCCCCAGTCCTATTTTGGAACTACTCAGAGAACACATTGAAAAAATTCTCCCTTCCACTCCAACAGGCATGGATTTATGTCTCATTGTTCCCACTTTGTTTTTTCCTTTCTTTCTTCTCCTGTTCTTTCTTCTTATTATCTTCATTGTCCAGCATAAAAATATGGAAACTTGGGAGAAGGGTATGGAGGGAAGAGGAGAAGTTTTGAGAGAAACTAGTAATATTTGCATGTTAAGAAATATCATCCCTACCATATGTATTAGTAAATTTCCATTATTTTTCCTAAACTGATGTGAGTTGGTTCCTACCATTTCTAAAAAGGGATCTTAAGTAAGATGTTAATGGAGATAGTGGTGGAATTGGGGTGAGAACAATATCTGGCCTTTTGACGTAAAATCTATTGCTCCTTTTAACCTCCCTGGCTATGTTTGCATAGACTTCTACTGACAGAAATGAGGATTAAAGACTGGATACTTGAGAAATGTTTTCGTATTTATTACTTTATGAGCTCCATGAGGGTAGGCATTATGTCTGTCTTATTTATTTCTGTATTTTTTTGTGCCAAGCATATTATGGATATGTAAAAAATTGTTTATGCTAAATAAATGGATTAATCAATGAAAGAATTAACGAAGCCTCCCTCTTCAGTTATTTTTTAAAATATTTTAATCTTATTTACATTTATGGAGTACCTTGACAGAAAATTATAATAGATAAATATATACCATATAATTCCCATTGCTATTAAATTTATGTTGCCTTTTAGAATAAATATTAAATTTCTGATAATTTTTTATTGTAGTGCCTGGTTTTTTTCCCCCTTTGGTTTATATCACAAGGGAAACTTTTCCAATTAACTGTGATTTCTGTTGAAAGCTTTTTAACTAAAAAGGGCAATCAGTCTTATCTTCAAGTTAAGGCTTTTGTGTTATATGTTAACCCACAAGGGAGGGAAGCTAATTTTGCTAATCAGAAACAGCTAGCTCCGTTTACATAGCTCAGGCCTAAAAAATGTGGGATGGAATAGGAGCATGGGAAGGAATTGATGAAACAATATTTCAAGTCAGGTTTTCTACATATGTCGCGATGAATCTGTATTGGCATTTCAATGAATACAAATCATAATTGACTTGGTTGAAAACCTGATGAGTGTATCGTATCTTAGTGAGAATAGCATTGGGCTGTGGAAAAACCTTGACTTTCTGTTCTTACAGCCCAACAACATTTGTAGCAGGGGCTACTTAACCTTAATATTCCTGATTGATACTCCTAAGGACCTGAGTTTTTTCTCTCAGAAACTCAAGCCTTTCTGCTTCCATTCCTCACCATCTTTTGATTTGGAAGGAAGTGAAGGCATTATTCCTGGAGCAAGAGGGAGGCACAGGAAGCACCATTTCCTTCTTGATGTCTTAAACTGAGTTGAGATATCAGTGTGGAGCAGAGTGCAGGGGACTGAAAGATAGGGTTCAAAACTTGACTCTGGCACTTTCTGGCTTTGTAACCTTCAGCAAATTAATTCTTTTGATCCTAAATTTCCTCAATTACAAAGTGGGAATAACAGCACTTTTACAGGTTTATTTTTAAATGAGGTAATATGCTAAATATTTGGTATACAGTATACCTCTAAAAAAGTAGTCCTTTCTTCTTTCCGACCCAATCTCTCTCTTTCACTTAATTTTCCATCTCCATGAAGGAGAGCCTGTGTCCTTACCAGGACTTCTGAGATTCCTTTGGCTCTTGGGAAGAATTACAGATGCTGCAGCAGTTTACCTCTTCCTTGCACCTGTGTCTCCAGGAAAACTGCGACGCTATGGTCTGGTGAGTTTGCAGGGAAAAATGTCACACTCAGCAAATCTCTACCTACCTTGCCTGCTCCAGCTCTTGAACACCAATTTATAGGCCTATGGTCAACCATTTTGATGCCTATCCTACTTTTCTTGCATAAGGAACTCATAAAGCACCCACCATAGAATCATGGATGACAACAGGAAATGATACAGTAATTGAGCAAAAAGATCATCTTCTAAATATTTTAATAATTTAGATTTGCATGTCAGGATAATTTGCCCAAACCAGGATAAATTTTTAATAGAAAGTGGATATTGGATAAATGCAAATTTTGCATTGTGCCAAAAAAAGCCCTTTAAATTATTTTCACATATGAGAAAAATACTTTATTGATGGCTATGGCTTATTACATTTGCTAAGATACAAGCAAAAAATTCTAGCTATTAATTTGAATTGGAGTTACTTATTCTCTCAGATTCTGTGATTCTTTGTTAAAGGGGTGAATTGAATCTCTGTCAAAATAAACCCATCGTTGACTTCTGTAGTATATTTTAATCTTTCTACCTCGGGTAGCATGGCCAAACATCTCAGTTTGCCCAGAATGATAATTTGCAGAATGTTGTTCTGGTGTAATTATTAATATACTGAAGCCATATTAATATGTCTGTTTTTGCTTCCAAAGGTGGTTTGGACAATGAAAATGTATGGGTATCACACTTGATATTTTTTCTTTGGAATTTCAGAAGTAAACTTGTAGTCTCAATTACCTTTAGCATAGGGCTTCTGTGAAAAGAAGTCAGAATTTTGGGGGCTCATGAACTTGGATAGAAAAAAATATACATTTGTGATCACTAACTCTAACTGCCCTTCAATTATGAGCTTAGTTATTAATAATAAACCACAACAGTATAGGTATGCCTGTGAGTTTGTTACCAAAAAAAACTCAGACATTTTCATATCACATTACAATTGTTGTGTATATTGCAAAAATATACTCATTATTACTTTTAAATTAGAAAGATCACATGAAATCATAATCTTTATGACTATAAATAGTGTGCAATGTTGTTAGCCAGCTATTGATCAACTCTACCATCCTCAAACATGAAGTCGTGTATTCTCAGTGGTGCCCTGCACATTCATGCTGCTTTACAGTATTTTGTATCTACAATTATTTGTTGATCAATATGAGGAAGAGATGAGTAATTTTTATTGTTTAAAACTTTTTTCAAAACTAGTTTAAATAGGAATTCTTAATGGTCTATAAGACAAGAGCCTTTTGAATACAGTACGTGGGTCTTAATGTCACCATAATGGATACCCTTGGAAATATACAAACTTTCTTGACTAAACTGCTAATATGGAACATCCTTGCCAGCTGTCAACACTGGAGGTTATGCTTTACCCTCTGAGGATGAGATGCAGAATTCTTTGCCAATTTCTTTAAAAGAGAAATTTGGAAACACTCCAGAAAGCTTTACAAGTAATTTTATTTTGATGGCATCAAAGTTGAACCATGGACTATCTTTTCTTTTTCTTTTTAATATAAAGCATATTAAGTTGATAATCTACCCAAAGAGGAATTTATTAGTCTTCTGTTGAAAAACTGAACTACAACTGAGATTTAACTAAAAAAAAATCATGGAGAATTCATGGGTTTCTTGAAAAAAGCTATCTCTGTCTTGTAAAGTAGCTATGAAAGCTTCAATCCATTTGTAGTAACTTACCTTTGCAAATCAAGATTTTTAATACCTGTGACACATAATAACAAAAAAAATTAAAATCAGTTGTTTTTTTTTTTTTTGAGATGCAGTCTCACTCTGTTGCCAGGCTGGAGGGCAGTGGCACAATCTTGGCTCACTGCAACCTCTGACTCCCTAGTTCAAGCGATTCTCCTGCCTCAGCCTCCTGAGTAGCTGGGACTACAGGTTTGTGCCACCACACCCAGCTAATTTTTGTATTTTTAGTAGAGACGGGGTTTCACCATGTTGGCCAGGATGGTCTCGATCTCCTGACCTCATGATCCTCCTGCCTCGGCCTCCCAAAGTGCTGGGATTACAGGCGTAAGCCACCGCACCTGGCCAAAATCAGTTTTTTATCCAACATGACAGGCCTATAGCTTTTTCAAAGACTTCTCCACAGCTTAGTATTCTTATTAAGAATAAAAACAACATCCTCCCAAGTCTTTAAAAAATAAATTTATTTTTAATTTGTCTATATTTTAAATATATTTTATTTGATACATTGATATAGAATCAAATGGTGTTATATTACAAGTTTGTTTTTCAAAGCTACTTTGATAACTATATTTCAGTATAAATGATTTTTTAAAATAAATCTGTGAATTTCATTTTATACATTTAAAAACATTGTTCTAAATGGGATCTGTAAGCTTTACCAGATTGCCAACAGGATCCAGACACACAAAAAGGATTAAGAACACTGGCTTTGAACCAATATCTCAGAGTAGGAGCTTCCAGGAGGCATAACAGCTAAACTTTCATTTATTCACCAAACAGAATTTTAAGTCCTTAGATATGAAAGAGATTTTAATGGATCACCTACCATATAGATTCACGTGTGCATTATTTGAGTAAATGGCTAGAAATATTAAATACTACAGAGAAATAAAGGTAAGTTTCTATGGATGGTCAGAAGAAGAGATCACTATTGGGAATAGCAGGGATTGCATGGAAGAAGCGATGTTTCTGCTGGTTTTGGTAGGATAGAGTATTAGGTTTTCCAGATAAACAGAATCAATAGGATATGTCTATAAACAGGAAGAGATTTATTATGAGGAATTGGCTCATCTGATTATGGAGGCTGAGAAGTCCCATGGTTTGCAGTCTGCAAGCTGGAGCTCGAGGAAAGCCAGGGGTGTGATTCCCATTCTACTTGGGAAGCCTTCAGAACCAGGGAAGTCAATGGTGTACACTCCAGTCCAAGGGCAGGAGAAGATTGATGTCCCAGCTCATGCAGCTGGCAGGAAGCAAAAAGGGCTAATTTCTTCTTTGTCTCCCTTTTCAGAATCTCAAATATAATGCCTGCTCACACTGGGGACAGCAGCCTACTGAGTTCAGCAATTTAAATGCGAATCTAATCTGGAAACATCCTGCTATGGACTGAATGTTTGTGTCCTCCCCACCCACAAATTCATATGTTGAAATCTAACCCACAAGGTGATGGTATGAAGAGATGGAGTCTTTTGGGAGGTAATTAAGTCATGAAGGCTCTGCCCTCATGAATGGGATTAGTGCACTTGTGAAAGAGGTTGCAGAGAGCTCATTCACCCTTTCTGCCATGGGAGGACACAGCAAGAAGGTATCACTTAAGAGAAAGTGGATCCTTACCGAGTGCCAAATCTGCTGGCATCTTGATCTTGGACTTCCCAGCCTCCAGACTGTGAAAAATAAATTTCCGTTGTTTATAAGTTAACCAGTCTATGGTATTTCAGTATAGAAGCCCAACCAAACTAATACACACCCTCACAGACATACCCAGAAATAATGTTTAATCACCTCTTGGCCCAGTGAATTTGACATGTAAAATTAACCATCACAGATGGGTGAGGTCTGAATATTTTTAGGTGGGAAAATTTATGCTAGGTTCATCCACAGAATCATTCAAACCACCTCTGAGCCACTGTTGATCTCTCCTTCTCCTTCTTTCATATGTGATCAAGTCTTGTCACTTCTGCCTCCTTACCATTATCTTATATCCATCACCTTCTATTCATCCCCTGTGATACTGCCTGTCTTCATGGGGGCTTATTACCAGGACTACTGGAGAAGTCTTCTACCTAAACCTCCATCCCCTTTCTCATGTCTTTTCCACACAGGCTATCCTAACTTCAATGACAATAATAGTTTGGTTGTGTGCAGCAGTAATGATAAAGAAACATTGCTTGAGTTATGGTATTATGTATATATAAGCCTCACATCAAATGTTGAGTATTCATATATAATATGCATGCTACATTGGAAAGGATGCAGTAGGGCAGTAGTTATCAATCTGGGCAACACATAATAATCATCTTTAGAGCTATTTAAAAGTCCTGATGCAGGAGCCTTATCCCCAGTGATTCTCATTTTATTCCCAATCAGACCAGCCTCCTGAACTGTCACTCTCTGTTCCTGGCTAACTCTCTAGTTTTCACATTTATCTTGCCCACCTTGTAGCCTATCAAACTCCCGGTGGTTCCTCCAATGCCCATGATAACCCCCTTGTATGCAATGCACTTTTCCACGTTGTCTATCCATTTTTTAAAAAGACTCAGTCCATCTCTGCTAGGATAGATTTTTAGTCAAGTCCAGGTAAAATTATTCACTCTCTGCTTTTTACCCCCTTTTCAATCTGTATATACTGGAATCATAGCAACTGTGCATTTTTTTACATGTGTTTCTCTTTTCCCCATGTTCCTAATGGCACTGAAAAGGAAGTTGTTTTCCTCATGTCATTTTCATAAAGATATTTTCAACGATCTTAAAACCTCACATGCATAGCTACTGTTATGTGGAAGTACCACACTTAAACTGGTAAAAGTTAGTTTTTTCCTGTATTTGCTTATACAGCACCTTATCAATCCCATTTGTACTAGCATAAGTAATAAGATCCTGTTTCTCTGTCACAGACTTATTTGTAATAAAACATGTATGAGAACTTGAGGTGGGAGGCAGGTGGAACTCATCTCCAGACCAGAATGAAGACTGACTGAAACAGGGAAGTGGTGCTGAATGTACCTCCTGCTGCTCATCACCATAAGACACTCCCATCAGTGCCATGACAGTTTACCAATGCCATGGCAACACAAGGAAGTTACTGCCTATTTTCTATTCCTGAATAACCCACCCCATAATTAGCATGTCATTAAAAGTGGGTATAAATGTGACTGCAAACTGCCCATATGCTGCTACTCTCGACACACTTCCTCTGGGGTAACCCTGCTCTGCAGGAGCAATCCCAGAGCTGTAGCACTGCTGCTGCCTCAGTAAAGCTGCTTTCTTCAACCACTGGCTCACTCTTGAATTCTTGCCTAAGCGAAGCCAAGAACCTGCCCTACATCAAACTCAAATGGGAATTTTGGGAAATGCATTCTTCTCATTAATTATTTCAAAAATCCCCCCTGGAATCATTACAAATATAGCATGAAAAAGTGTCCATCAAAGTAGAATTAAGCCCAGATGCCAATATTTTATTTTGCTCAAGAGTTTCACATCAACATAAAGAAGTGGCAGCTGCTACTTTTACACAAATGGTAGAATCCCCCTGGCAGATGGGACAAGCTCAGCCATGGACCCCTTGGAGGCTATAGGAGTAGTACTTTCTGAGCTCACATTTGCAATTCTGGGCAAAATTTGCAAAATCAGTTCTCAGCAAGGAGTCTCTATCTGCATACTAAAATTAGATCAGTACAAATATGAATGCCTCTGACCTGGTTTCCATGTCAAATCATCACCCTCTGGCAACACTGATCTATCCATCTTGATTATTTATTATAACCCCTGGCTTTGAAAATGTAACCTTAAATTTTATATTATGTTATTTCCCCTATTTCTTCATGACTTTCAGGTCATTAATCATAGTCCAGAGAAAATTAAGTTCTCACTGCATTCTTTTATATACCCTAAAGGATATAGACCCCCTCAAATAATTAAACTCCAAAGAAAACATTTTAAAATAGATTTATTCCCAAAACGAGAATTTTGCTGAATCTTTCTTTATCTCAGTCTTATCACCATTAGGTTATATAGTAAAGTTGTAACAACAAATTACAACTATGTAAGAATCTCTCCTTTCTATGTACTACTTAAAAAATGTGGTTAGAAGGCCACCCGCATGAGAATCAAATGCAGATATTATTCCACCCTTAATGAGGAACTGATACTTCTAACAAACACCCCAGGTGATTTCTGTGAACCATAAAGTTCGACAACTACTACTCTATGTCATTTTGAAATTACACACTCCAGATAAAATGGCTTTCTGAATTCCTCTTTTCATAGTCTGCTGGGTGCAACTCTGGCTTCTGCTGGCATTTATGCTTCTCGTGCTGGTTTGACTATGTTTGTCCCTCAAGGTCTAATATTGACAGTGAAGAAATTTAGCTCCCTGTGCCCACAGACCGAATCCAGTTATTATAAACCTCATAAAGGATTGTTTTTATTTTTCTTACTTCTTCCACATTTGACATCTTTAACTTCTAATCTTAGGCTCTTAAAATGGGGTTATTCTCTTGCTTACTCAGCAAAAAGGATTATTGTAGATACACTAGGCACTCTTTTACAAAAGTCCATATGACCCTCTGCTTAGTATTATAATGTCTGTCCAGTCCCTGCCTAGATTCAGTTAAATAACGTTTGGATAATAATGGTAAATGCTTGCAAGAATTACGATGATTATTCAGTATACAAATACTTTACTATTCTCATTTTCATAATTTTAATTCTCTCCTTAATCCTAAATATATGTCCAAGATATATTCATCAAAAGTTTTGTTAATCATTATTGCCAAGTAATTTATAAGAACTGTCAAAAGCCTGCAGAACGTGTAGATGACCACAACTTTATAAATATTTCTCTCTTCCTTTCTTAGGTGAACATGTCTGGAATTGCATATTCCCAAAAGAAAAGACTCTTATTCTCATATTCTCATAAGAAAAGACCCTTAAAACCAGAGTATCATTACCTTGCAAAGGAGCACTCAATAATAATTTTAACATTTCCTGCCAAATACCCTAGCTTGTGGTAATTTTTAAACATTGTATAAAATGACACACATTCCACATATGAGGTGTAACTAAAACATAAGACAAGTCACACATGAAAATGGTTCTCATTACTTTATAATCACACCTCATACATAATCTCAGGCAATCAGTCATGGAATATAATTTTTAAAACCCTCACCCTATGGCCCACCTACCTCTAATCCACTTCCCCTCTGGCCACCCCAAGGTGAGAGAAAGTAGATTGCCATCCAAAGACATCTGGTTTGGAATACAGCAGAGCAATCAAATATCCTCGGGTGGGATGTCAGCAGGGATCTGCCACCACTAAAAACTCAGCACGTATGTGGTCTTGGAATTATTTCTGGCTGTTTCATGTAGGGCAGGTCTAGGCAAGATTGTGCGGTAAGTGAAGCCTCGTTTCTGTACTTCATCTCTCCACAGTTTCCAGAGCTGCTCTGTTGTTTCCTACAGCTGAGAGTCTTCTTCTTTGGCTTATGCGCCGCAGGCAGTTCTGAATTAATCTTTTCATCTCAGTTCCTACTAATCAACATGTATCCATCACATGTTCTATCCCATCCTTTGGTTCATT
Organism: Homo sapiens; assembly: GCF_000001405.40. Lineage (NCBI taxonomy): Eukaryota > Metazoa > Chordata > Mammalia > Primates > Hominidae > Homo > Homo sapiens. Next base: position 150,037,460 of record NC_000004.12, on the reverse strand, counting down.
TCACATCACAAGAATTTGTGCTGAGCAGCTATTATGTGCCAGGCACAGTGCTTGGTGCTGCAGATACAGAGATGAAAATCCATGACTTAACTTCATGGAATTTGTGGTTTAGCTTGAAAAGGCAAACTATCAAATTTACATGAAGATGGTTTGTTTTGGCTAATTGATGTATTTTGTATTTTAAGGACAGAAACAGTGCTTGGCACATAGTAGACACTCAAAAAGTATTTGCAGGTGAAGTAATGATATGCTCAAAGCTAAGTCTGTAGTGGATGCTGTGGGAATGAGACGGTTCAAGAATCATGTCCTGAAAAGATGACACCTGAGCTAAGTCTGGAAAGGATGAATAAGTTATTTAGGATAAGGCAGGCAGAAAAGGCTTTCTAGGCAAAGGGAAGAGTATGAGCAAGGCATGGAGATTTTAAACAACAGTGTTTGCAAGGACATTTTAATAATGGGTTTTTACAAGACTTGAAGGTACAATGCAAGGAGTGGTAGGAGGCTCCTTGGCTCCTTGCTTGAGAGGTATGTATAGGTGAGGTTATGTAGAATCTTCTTTGCTACTCTATGAAGTCTGGATTTTATTTGTAGCCAAGAGGGAATCATTGTAATATTTACATTTTTCATAGATCTCTGATTATAAGTAAAGAAATAGATTGGAGAGGGACATGTGTAGAGGCAGAGTGCATATTTGGGAGGCGACTGGTAATAGATGAAGCTAAAGATTAATTATAAAGATGAAGACAGAGCTAGTTGTAAGCTGATACATAACTAATCTGATACAGTTACCCTTGTTCATGTGTTAACAAACCTTTATATGTCAAAGATCTTTTCTTTTAGGTAAAATATGGACATACCCTTGACCTTAATTTACAGGAAGCTCAAAACTGAATGTTTGCTGACTGTTGTACAGGTTGGTTAGAATGGCTAGTGGTAAAATTATTCCAATATAGTTTCAATATGTATTTTTTAATTTTAGATTTTTTTGTTGAGCTAGCTTATATACAATAAAATGCAAAGATGTTAAATGCATAGTTTTATGGGTTTTGAAAATTGTATACAATTGTGTAAGCAACCCCCAAATTGAGATCTAGAATATTTCTATTACCCAAGAACATCACTTCATTCTGTGCTTGATTTTGCAGGTACAAAGATATTATTTCCCATAGATCCTCTCTGCTTCGGGCAACCATGGTTCTTGGGTTACCATGGTTCTTCTACTTTGTAAAACTGAACTCATATAGTATTTACTCTTATGTCTGGCTTCATTCATGCAATATGATTTTGTGAGGTGCATCCATATGAGATGTATCAATAGTTTGTTCCCTTTTATTAATGAAGAGTAGGTATTTCATTCTCCTGTTGATAGACATTTGAATTGTTTCAAGTTGAGAATAAGGCTGCTGTGAAATTTCTAGTAAAGGTCTTTATTTTTGTGTACACAGTTTTAATTTCCTTTGGATAAATACGTAGGAGTGGAATTAATTGGATATAGAGTAGGAGTATGTACAGTTTTGTCAGAAATGCTCGGTGGCTCACGCCTGTAATCCCAACGCTTTGGGAGGCTGAGGTGGGCGGATCACCTGAGGTGAGGAATTCAAGACCAGCTGGCCAAGATGGTCAAACCCCCTCTCTATTAAAAATACAAAAATTAGCCGGCCATGTTGGCGGGTGCCTGTAATACCAGCTCCTCAGGAGGCTGAGGCAGGAGAATTGCTTGAACCTGGGAGGCAGAGGTTGTAGTGGGCCAAGGTCGCGCCACTGTACTCCAGCCTGGGCAACAAGAGCAAAACTCTATCTCAAAAAAAAAACCAAACAAACAAACAAAAAAACAACCTGTTGATTTCTCAAAATGGTTGCAACAGTTGCTCCACATCTTTAATATTCATTTATTGCCAGTCATTCTGATAGCAGCCATTTAGTGAGTATGATATTATATGTCACTGTGTTTTCAATTTGTGTTTCCCCAATGACTAATGATATTGAGTACCTTTTCATGTACTCATTGGCCATTGTATAACTTCTGCTTGCCATGTACTGAGTGAAGGCTCAGTTTTACTCAGGGGGATCTCTGAGCTTTCTGATCTCGTCCCCGTTGTTCACTGGTCATTCCCTTCCTCTTGGATAATACTTGGTATACCTCACAGGTATTTCTTCTAGCTCTCTTGTTCCACTCCTAGCTTTCCATGTTGTACCCTGTGTAAAAGCTTTGTAGGAAACAATTGGCAAGTGAGTGTAAAATTATTGTATTATTGGGGCTTTCTGGTCTCCTCCTCTGAAATGCCAGCCCATATATAACCATTCAAAACTTGTTAAAAGCTAGGTTGGTTTTTCCACGCCTTTATCAGCAGCAGGTTTACTGTTGTTTTCCTAACAGGGATATAAGCATTCATGGATCTCCCTTCTCTTAAAAAGACTGGTTCCTTTTTTGGAATTTAGTTCCATATAAGCTCAAGTTCATTTATGTTCACTTCTCAGTTCTTTGATGATTCCTAAAAACTATGATTTATTTTGATACTTTAGCTTACTCAGCTTGTTCTTGTTAGTGTGAAAACAGTAGTCATTTGAGACTTTCTATACCCTAACAAGAAGCAGAAGTATATTAATTTTTAATTTTAGCATCTTATTATTGAAAACATTTTTTGTATAATTAAGCACTGCAATTTTTTTAGAAGTGGCTTAATTTTATTGGTAGGAATGATAAATGTGTACATTGTTAGACTGGTAGAGTTAGAGCTACTCTTCAGGTATAGTGAACTGGGAAGACAGTCCTTCACCCAGGACTTTTCAGGTATCTGAGTAATGAAACAGGGAGGCAGGAGATGGGGAAAAAAGTTAAGGGGATGGTTCTCTTAGCTCATACTGAAGAATACCCATGGTTGTGCATATATTTAAGGAAATACTTCCATCCATATTACAAGTAAATGAGTTTGCACTGTAAGTGGAATTTTCTGGAGGGGAGGGACAGCAAGACTATGCTGCCCAGGTCTTGTATTATTATCCCCTTGGAATCACCTAATGATTATTGCTGTTATTGTGATGGTCCTAGAGCACTACTTCCTCACTTAATAAGTACAAGTGTGGAAAAAATTATTTGTGGTGGATTTGTATTGTGTCAGCCTAGCTAAGCTGGGATTGTATTTTCCAGAAGTCACTTCCTTGCATACTTCTGAGTTAGGGGCCCATAAAAGATCATTTGCATGAGATTTGAAAGTTGAGGAAGTAGCTAGCTGTATTCTTTTTATGTCTGGAAGGCCAATCCAGAGGCACCAGGTGCTCTCCTGCTCATGCATATTATTTATCTTCTGGCTCATTTTCTTGGCTGGGCATACAGCCAAGGCTGCAGCTCCTTTAGTTCCCGCTGGATCCTCATGCAGTTTCTCTGACTCCTGGACCACGTGCATATTGAACTCTGTGATAAAGGGCACCAACTTCTGTAGGATACTGCATCATCAAAATGGAAGGCTTGGAGGCAGTGAGAAACCAACACAGCTCTGGTCAGTCTCTGTGAGTTCCAGCTTGTCTTTGTTCTCCTTCACTTCACATCAATCTTCCCCATCCAGCTTTCTGTCCTGCTTACTTCAGGATCCAGCACCAAATGCAAAGCCAACAGCTTCACATAGACTGGTTAATCAGATCCCACAATTGTCTAAGGTCAAATCCTTATAATATATCTCTTTCTCTCTCTCTCCCTCTATATATATATCCTTCTGACTGTTTTGTTCCTCTGATGGAGCCTTAACTGATACATGAACCTTCTCTTCACACCCTATAGTTCAGCTGAGATAAGCTGAGATTTGCTTAACTGTTTAGTTAAGCAAAATTTTACCCCAAATGAGGAATAACAAAAGGAAACGAACACTAGAGCAACATGAATCCAGATAATGTATGCAGCCTTTTTTTCCTAACTCCAATTGTCCCTGCATAACCTCCTTCCCAAAATCCCATTTCAAAGATTTTCTTTATTCTCCTCTACTTGGGAGGATCTTTATTAGCTACATTGATTTATCAAAATGTAGGACAAGAAAAGGACAAGAGAGCTGGCTTGAATGTTCCTTCCTCGCTGCTTAAGGCCTTTTCCTGTGGTCCCTAAGTCCTCCTAAAGCTCTGTCTTCTTTCCTGCACGAAGTCAGGAGTTCAGGCGGCCTTTCAGAGGGAGATGGGTGTGAACTAGCTGTTAAAGAATTCGACAGGATGACCAAAGTAATGCAAAAACCACCACAGTCAAATAGCAAAATCTACACATTCCATAGCAAATTTTCTTTACAACATGCTGTCAGTATTATGTGCAGTCCATTACCAAGGCAAATTATATAACATGCTGTCAGTATTATGTGCAGTTCATTACCAGGGCAAATTATATAACATGCTGTTGGTATTATGTGCAGTTCATTACCAGGGCAAATTGTATACTGCTTTCCCTCCTTCCTCAGGACAGATGACATCCTCCCTCATTTGTGATCTCTTTCTGCCCTTGATATTTGTTTTAGCCTAGCTTTATGGGTGTAAAATTTTTGGTGGTTGGAAAGAACATGATGTGATTTCCCAGGTTCTATGCCCCCTCCATTGACAGAAGCTTTGGTAGGAGAGATATTTGGGGTGGAGAAAATTTGTAGTTCTCCTATTGACATGCTATGTAGACAATGCCTACTCCTCCTGTACCATTGGTAGGCCTTAGTCTGCTTTCATGCTTTATATTCCACCCCCCGCCACCACCGTATTCTTACCGCCACCCCTGCTAGCTCAGTTATATTTAGTGCTTGCGCAAGGTAAGATCTTAACAACACGCAGAATTCAGGCAGACATCGTCGCAGAGCTGGATGAGACCATAGAGTAAATATAGCCCAACCCAGCCATTCTACAGATGAGAAACATGACTCAGGGAAGTTAAGTCATGTCAAGCAGTTAGTTGTGGAATAGTAGTGGCAAAGGGGGTGTATAATGGGCATTAGTCAGCGAACCTATGGTGTCTGCCACAAAGAACACACTTGTTTCTATAAACCATTGATTATATACTCAGTGTACAACATTGTCGCTGGCACAGTGTAGGCGCTCAAAAATATTTATTGAATGAATGAATAAATGAGTGAGTATGTGAAATGTATTGAAAGGTAACTTGTCTAAAGTCACAGTAGATAGTAGATAACTGAGACAGCATATAGATCGAGGCCTAATGTCTTAGCCACCACTATTGCCAAAAACTTACAGGTTTGTTTGACTTTGCAGAAGTGCAAGCCTGCCCTGCGGAGACAGCAACACAGGGTCTGCTAGCAGGAGTCTGGGGTGTGAAGGGTGAAGGGCTGGCCTTTACTGGGATGGCTGTGCTGCTTCTCCTGAACTGATTCTATTGAACTCCCTGACAGGGGTTTCACAAATTTGCTGCCATTTAATAGTAGGATCTTCCCTCAAAATTTATTACTCTAGACCTGTGATTCTAAGTGATTTTGACAGGATGCAAAATTTTAAAATAAGTTGACATCCATCACACACTATAAATGAACAGCTGCATTATTAAAGCAAATATTTTCTCTATGTCATAGATTTTGAATAAATATTGTTATGAATTCAAATTTATTTCATTCAAACTTGGAAACATAAATTGTTGATTTTTGTTTGCTATACACTTTCAAAACAAATTTTTAAAGTCCTGAATCACTTCCAAATAACAGTTATAGTGTTTCCAGAATCACTGAGCACAAAGGAAATCATTTCTTGGAAGCCCTTCTGTTTTAAGCCCCACCTCCCCGCTTTACAGGTGTCCTTAAGCTAGGGCCAAGCACTTTTGCATTTACTCTTTAGCTGACTCTGATTTTCACTCTCCATTTTAAAAAAATTTCCAGTGGAGAGAGAGTCTACATTATTCTAGCATGCTTTTAAAAAATTCACACAAGAAAGGAAAAAAACAACTTCTGAGAAATTATTCTGTGGCTTTGATGCAATTTAAATAAAATGAAATTATTTTAAAAGCTTTGCTAACATTTTTGCTAGCTTCTGTAGTGAGTAAAAAAGAAAAGAAGATATTAGTCCTTTAGAGGAATAATTTGGTCCAATCTGTAGATATAGATTTGTGGACGGCTGTCTAGATGGGCAAATTTAGGGAAGATCTAAGAGGGAAAACAAAAAGCAAGGGTATAATTATGGTCTTTGGAAAAAAATATATCAAGGAGAAGACTGGAGCTTGTTAAAAATAATGATAACAGGCCTGGCTGTGGTGGCTTATGCCTGTAATCCCAGCACTTTGGGAGGCTGAGGCAGGAGGATCTCTTGAGGTCAGGAGTTTGAGACCAGCCTGACCAACATAGTGAAACCCCATCTCCACTAAAAAATACAAAAATTAGCTGGGTGTGGTGGTGCGCACTTGTAATCCCAGCTGCTCAGGAGGCTGAGACATGAGAATTGCTTGAAACTGGGAGATGGAGGTTGCAGTGAGCCGAGATCAGCCACTGCACTCCAACTTGGGTGACAGAGTGAGACTCTTTCTCAAAAATAATAACAATGATAATAAAAGTCATGATAGCTAATAGTAATGATCAAGCTCTTTCTGATGTGCCAGGCTCTGTGCTAAGAAGTTACTGTTAGTATCTTTACTTTACAGATGAGGAAACTAAGGTCTGATACTGAACAAATGACTACCTAGCCATTTTCTGTCTCAGAAGAGAATTAGTACTAGATGCAGAAAGGCAGGCAGAACCACGAGTGAGCAGCAAAAAGAGCCTTGATACATTTGAGTCTTTGTGGTGTCAGCTAATATTAGGATATAACAATGCTGAAATTAATGCTCTAAAAATTAACAGAGTAGCATCTGGCATAAGCTTTGACAGTACTTGCTTGTGAATATTATTTCCCACTTCAGAATCTCATTTAGATTTAAATTTCTGCCTACAGAAAAGGCAGAGCAAATCATTCTAATTGTGATGAAAGTAAGTGTTACAGAGCTGGGGAAAAATGGAGAAAATAAGAAAATAAATGTTAAGTTCACTTCCTTCTAAAATTATGTCATTCTGAGCCAGGCACAGTGACCTGGCTCCCGTAGTCTTAGCTACTGGGAGGCTGAGACAGCAGGACTGCTTGAGCCCAGGAGTTTCAGGCTGTAGTATGCTCTGATCCTACCTGTGAATAGCCACTGTACTCTATTCTGGGCAACATAGAGAGACCCCATCGCTAAAAAAATAAAATAAAATAAAATAAAATAAAATAAAAAAGCCATTCTGAGTACTGGGCATAAACAAAAGAAATAACAAACCAACATTTAAAAATACTTTATTTGTTTTTTTTTTTTTTTTTTTTTTTTGAGACGGAGTCTCGCTCTGTCGCCCAGGCTGGAGTGCAGTGGCACGATCTCGGCTCACTGCAAGCTCCGCCTCCCGGGTTCACGCCATTCTCCTGCCTCAGCCTCCCGAGCAGCTGGGACTACAGGCGCCCGCCACCACGCCCGGCTAATTTTTTGCATTTTTAGTAGAGACGGGGTTTCACCGTGTTAGCCAGGATGGTCTCGATCTCCTGACCTCGTGATCCGCCCGCCTCGGCCTCCCAAAGTGCTGGGATTACAGGCGTGAGCCACCGCGCCCGGCCTAAAAATACTTTAAAAACGTAGACCATTTCCTCTTTCCCCAGGCTATAGAAACACTTTGTTTATTTTAAAGCTGTATTAGTCTGTTTTCACACTGCTGATAAAGACCTACCCAAGACTGGGTAATTTACAAAGAAAAAGAGGTTTAATGAACTCACATTTCCACATGTCTGTGGAGGCCTCACAATCTTGGCGGAAGGTGAAAGGCACATCTTACGTGGTGGCAGACAAGAGAGAAATGAGAGCCAAGCAAAAGGGTAAACCCCTTATAAAACCATCAGATCTCATGAGACTTATTCACAACCACGAAAACAGTATTGGGGAAAAAGCCTCCATGATTCAATTACTTCCCACTGGGTCCCTCCTGCAATATGTGGGAATTATGAGAGCTACAATTCAAGATGAGATTTGGGTGGGGACACAGCCAAACCATATCAAAAGCCAAAATCAATTTATTGAAAAAGATTAATAAAACCAAGAGAAGGTGCCAATAACAAAACACAAATTAAAAATGAGAGATAATGAATATTTTAAAATTTATAGTAAAAATAGAAAGAGAAATATACATTGTTGATTAAATGAATAAATTTATAAAAATATAAAATTCCAGAATTGATGTCAGAAAGAAGAAGTTTTACAGAAATTGAAATAATAGTCAAAGCCCTTTCTTTCCTAAAAATCATCATCACCTCAGCAGGTTTACAACTAAATTCTATTAAACTTATCTTTTTTTTTTTTTTTTTTTTTTTTAAAGACAGGTTCTCACTATATTGCCCAGGCTGATCTTGAACTCCTGGCCTCAAGTGATCCTCTCACCTCATTTCCCAAGTGGCTGGGATTCCAGGAATGTGCCACCATGCCCAGCTTGAGTTCTATTCAACTTTTAAGGAACAGTTGTTTAGTATGTTATACGAGGTCTTTAAAAAAGTAGAAAAGGGATATGAAATCTGCCCAGTTCATTTAGTCAGGTTAATGTAATCTAAACTAAAATTAGGTAAGAATATTTAGAAAAAAAGATAATTCTAGTTCCAGTTCACCTATCCAGGCATATTTATAAAAACATTTTTATTTTTGTGTGTTTTAAATTTTTATATTTTAAATTAATGTTAGTTTTTAATTGATAAATCAATTGTATACTTTAATGGATTAATGGCATACGAGGAGATGTTCTCAGATATATATATACACACACATATATGAGATATAAATGTATACATATATGCACATATATGAGATATATGTATACATATATATCACATATAGGAGATGTATATACATATATGAGATATATACGTATATATATGCACATATATGAGATATATGTATACATATATACACATATATGAGATATATAGATATATACATATATGAGATAGTGTATATATATATCTCAGAACATCTCCTTGTATGCCATTAATCCATTAATGTATACAATTATTTATCAATTAAAAACTAATATTAATTTAAAATATAAAAATTTAAAACACACAAAAATAAAAATATTTTTAAAAATATGCCTAGATAGTTGAAAAGGACCTAGAATTGTCTTTTTTTCTAAATATTCTAACCTGGTTTTAAATCAAGATTATATTATATCTCAGATATATATATACATATACACCAATATATATGTGTGTGTGTGTGTGTATGCTTGTGTGTATATATATATGTGCATATATATGTATACCAAAGGAGATGTTCTGAGATATATATATATTGATAAACAAAGGAGGTTTAATTGAGTCACAGTTCCACATGGCTGGGAAGGCCTCAGGAAACTTACAGTGATGACAGAAGGCAAAGAGGAAGCAAAGACCTTCTTCACATTGTGACAGGAGAGAAAAAGAAGGAGCAAGAGCAGGGAAAACTGCCTTATAAAACCATCAGATCTCATGAGAACTCACTCACTATCATGAGAACAGCATGGAGGAAACCACCTCCGTGATCCAGTCACCACTTCCCACCAGGTTTCCCCCTCAACATGTAGTGATTATGGGAACTACAATTCAAGATGAGATTTGGGTGGGGACACAGAGCCAAACCATATCATTCTGCCCCTGGTGCCACCCAAATCTCATGTCCTTTATACATTTCAAAACCAATCATGCCTTCCCAACAGTCCCCCAAAGTCTTAACTCATCCCAGCATTAATCCAAAAGTACAAGTCCAAAGTCTCCTCTGAGACAAGGCAGAGCACTTCTGCCTATGAGCTTGTTAAATCAAATCAAGTTAGTTACTTCCAAGATACAATGGGGATATAGGCATTGGATAAATGCTCCCATTCCAAGTGGGAGAAATTGGTCAAACCAAAGGGGCTACAGACTCCATGCAAGTCTGAAATCCAGCAAAGTAGTCAGTAAATCTTAAAGCTCCTAAATAATCTCCTTTGACTCCATGTCTCACATCCACGTCATGCTGATGTAAGAAGTGGGCTCCCACAGCCTTGGGCAGCTGTGACCCTGTGGCTTTGCAGGATACAGTCCTCTCCTGGCTGCTTTCACTGGCTGGTGTTGAGTGTCTGTGGCTTTTCCAGATGCATGGTGCAAGCTGTCAGTGAATATACCATTCTGGGGTCTGGAGGATGGTGGCCCTCTTCTCACAGCTCTATTAGGCAGTGCCCCAGTGGGCACTCTGTGTGGGGGCTCCAAACCCACATTTCCTTTCTGCATTGCCCTGGCAAAGGTTCTCCATGAGGGCTTCACCTCTCAGCAAACTTCTGCTTGGACATCCAGACATTTCTATACATCCTCTGAAATCTAGGCAGAAGTTTCCAAATCTCAATTCTTGACTTCTGTGTACATGCAGGCCCAACACCACATGAAAGCTGCCAAGGTTTGGGGCTTGCACCCTCTGAAGCAATGGCCTGAGCTGTATCTTGGCTCCCTTTTGCCACTGCTGATGCAGCTGGGATGCAGGGCACCAAGTCCCAAGGCTGTGCACAGCAGGAGGGCCCTGGACCAGGTCCAGGAAACCATTTTTCCCTCCTAGGTCTCCAGGGCTGTGATGGGAGGAGCTGCTGCAAAGATTTCTGACATGCCCTGGAGATATTACCCCAATGTCTTGGTGATTAACATTTGGCTCCTTGTTACTTATGCAAATTTCTGTAGCTGGCTTGAATTTCTCCCCTGAAAATGGGTTTTTCTTTTCTACTGCATCATTAGGCTGCAAATTTTCCAAACTTTTATGCTCTGCTTCCTTTTTAAATGTAAGTTCCAATTTCAGATCATCTCTCTCAAGTTCAAATTTCCACAGATCTCTAGGGCAGGGGCAAAATGCCACCAGTCTCTTTGCTAAAGAATAACAAGAGTGACCTTTGCTTCAGTTCCAAAGAAGTTCCTCATCTCCACCTGAGACCACTTCAGCCTGGACTTCACTGTCCATATCACTATCAACATTTTGGTCAAAGCTATTCAATAAGTCTCTATGAGGTTCCAAACTTTCCCACATCTTTCTGTCTTCTTCTGAGCTCTCCAAACTGTTCCAATCTCTGCCCATGACCAGTTCCAAAGTCGCGTCCACATTTTCACGTATCTTTATAGCAGTACCCCACTCTCTGAGGTATCAATTTACTGTATTAATCTGTTTTCACACTGCTATAAAGATACTGCCCAAGACTGAGTAATTTATAAACAAAGGAGGTTTAATTGACTCACAGTTCCACATGGCTAGGGAGGCCTCAGGAAACTTACAATCATGGTGAAAGGTGAAGGTGAAGAAAGGACCTTTTCAGCAGGAGAGAGAGAAGGAGCAAGAACAGGGAAAAGTGCCTTATAAAACTACCAGATCTCATAGAACTCACTCACTATCACAAGAACAGCATAGGAGAAACTGTCCCCATGATCCAATCACCTCCTACCATGTTCCTCCCTCAACATGTGGTGATTATGGGTGTTACAATTCAAGATGAGATTTGGGTGGGAACACAGAGCCAAACCATATCATCTATACAGAAATAATTTTGTTTATTTTTATTTATTTATTTTTTTTCTCACATCAATCCTTGCCTATATAGAGATAATTCTAAAAAGTGTTGTATTACTTTGAGAAATCAGATAGTATCTGACTAGAAAGAACTTTCAGGAACAGGACTAATAATAATAATAATTGTTATTATATAGAATAACCTAAATAAAGTACTTAAAGTATGTTAAGCATTGTGCTAAGACCTTTCCATGAGTTATCTCAGTTATTCTTCACAGCAAGATCTTACAGATGTGGAGTTATGACTTAGAGAAGTTAAGAAAGTAGTGCCCAAGAACAATAAAACTAGTAACTTAGTGGGGCTGGAATTAAACGCAGGCAGCCTGAGGCTGAAATAGAATCACATTCAAATAATTCAACAAGTATTTAATTAATGCCTATTGTCTGCAAAACAGGGACTGGGGCTTTTCTTCTTCCTTTCACTTTAGTTTAGTCACCATCTGGGGTATTTAATAATAGAATTTTACTTGTTTTGTTTTGGTCATTCAGGCTAATTTCCCCTTAAGCCAAAAGCTGGCAGTTTAAGTCTGTCACATTGATTCTCTGATGGTATGACCCAGGATGGTCTCCATGAACTGCCAAACTTTATGAGAAAATGAAATGCTAGAGATAGCCCAATCTCTAGGTGCTTTCCTATTTGAATCTCTAGGCTATATGAAATGAGCACAAATGAATTTACCAGGTATATCCCCAGGTACAAAACACTGCACTGAGTAAGTGGCAGATTATCTCCTTGACCAAACCTTAGACTCTTCTGGGCTCTTTTTCAAGTAGGCTCCTTTTCAACTAGGCTCCATCCTTGGGCACGTCCTTAAGAGCCCAGTTTTGGCAAGAATCCTTCTAAATCTGTTTAGCCAGAATCCCTCACCCTCGATATCCAGATCACCCTTGATGGTGATCGAATTTTTCATTCTCTACCAGCCTCCAGGTGATGCCTGATCACCCTGGCCTGCCTGCTGCAGGAATACTTCATGGATGGATTTAGGCAGAATCCCCCTTACGCCTGACGTTTCCACTTACCAATTTTCTATCCAGTGACTCCCTCCCTGCTCCTTGGCTATAAATTCCCACTTGCCCATGCTTTATTTGGAATTGAGCCAAATTTCTCCCCAGGTTACCCACGCTTCTGTCTGATGTGGCTACAAAGCTGGGATTTCCCACAACCTCCCTTTCAGGCTTGAAAATTTGCTAGAATGGCTCACAAAACTCAGGGAAACACTTGGTTTATATTTACCAGTTTATTAGAAAGGATGCAAACGAACAGCTAGATGAAGAGGTGCATAGGCCAAAGTCTGGAACGGTCCCAAGCACAGGAGCTTCTGTCCCTATAAAGTTGGAGGTGTGCCACTTTCTCAAAACATGGATGTGTTCCCCAACCTGGAAGGTCTCTGAATCCTGTTGTTTAGGGATTTTTATGGAAATCTCATTCCATGGGCATGATTGATTAAATCATTGATCACTGGTGATTAGCTTAATCTCAAGCCATCCCCCTACCTCCCCAGGTCACAAGAGGCAGGAGTGGGGAGTGGGAGTTGGGGAGTCAGGGTGAAGCTGAGAGTTCCAACCCTCTAATCACGCCTTGGGCTATCTGGTTCCCTGCCGCTTTCCTGAAGCTACCTAGGGTCCCCCAGCCACCAGTCATCTCATTAGCATACAAAAGACATCACTCTGGAGATTTCAAGGGTTATAGGAGCTGTGTGCCAGGAACTGGTGACAAAGGCCAAACATTTAATTTTTCATTCTATCTGAATATATAGTTGCTAAATTGGATACAATTCTACCCCACAGAAGCAATTTCCAAAATGTCCTTTTATAATTATAGTTGTTAACCTTGAGAAGATAAACTTCTTCTGTTTCAGAATCTAGTTGAGCAGCTTCTGTAGCAGAAATAGTTGGGAATAGGGAGTACTTATTAGTGGCAGTAGGGATACTTGGAAACTGTTATATTTGAGATTTCTAATAAAAATTCCAGGAAGTCTACAGACTTGGGTGGGACATAAATTAACTTGAGGAAATAATGTATTCCATCTTCAAAAAAATTTCAAATGCCAAAACATGACTTTCTTTGTATTTTATATATTCTCTGTGTTCTCTGGAGCTGACACTCATTAGGTTAGAGGAAAAAATCAGCCTTTTTCCCTTAGGATTCTTCTGTGGCATTCTCAGTATAGCAGATTTCCTACCATGTATGCATAGTTTTCCATTTCCTTTCTCCGCCCAACCAGTTAGAGCAGCGGCTTCCCAAAACAAAATTTCACAAGATACACTCATCTCTTCTAGTCATTTAAAATGATGCTGGCCAAGACCCACTCAATTGCTTGAATGAATTGATTTTACATCCCACCCATGGTTCTCAGCCCTATTTTAAAACAGTGAATTGGTATTGTACACTGGGTTAGAGAATGTCAACATGAAATGGAAGTAGAACCATTTGAAATTTTTCCCCTTGTTTTTTATCACACACTGGGATTAACTCTTTTCCAGTTCCAATAATTGGTTTTGTGTGAAGATATCTGGTATGATATTTCTTTTAGTCCCCAAATTGTTACTAAGATCAAGAACTAATGATGAAAGGTGTCCAGTATCCTACATTCTACATACACAATTAGGAACAACAGCCTCCTTACCGCGAGCTTTTATAAAGGGTCCGGGACTGGCCCTTCTATCACACCCAGATGCGTCAGTAGGAGAGGCTGGGGAGGTAGAAAAACACTCAGTCTCTCAGGGAAGTGGGGCGTTGGCTGGTTCATCACCGTCACACTCTGGATGGAGACATGAGGAGGGTTAGAGTTAGATGACACGAATGTCCTCCTCTGCCTCTTTTATTTCCCAGAGAAAATTACACTTCTAGGGGAGGAGGGAAAAAATCATAAATACTTTCTCTGATTTTAGGGACATTGGAGATATGCAGCTAGGAGCTTTATTTTTCCCGTTTGCAAGATGTTTTTATTTTTCTAAAGCCAGAAAGGGTCAGCATAGGGTCCAGAGGAACAAGAGATAGATGGGCCCTGGGCTTTAGGGCTGGAGGAGGTGGAGGTGTCCTCCTGCCACAGAGCCCTACTTGGCTTCTCACAAGCTGGCAGAGACCCAAGGTAGAAGCCTCCCAGTATCAAAGTTGGGAGGTGACTGGACAGGGTACTCAATCTGCAGTAGCAGGAAGGAACCCCTACACTTCGAGATGGGATCAAGATTTACATATATGTGAACTTTTCTTTTTATCTCCACTTGTTTAGGTTTTTTGTTATTGTTGTTTTGTTTTGTTTTATCCAAGAACAATTCTGTTTTGTTTTGTTTACAGAATCAGGAGAAATGGATTAGAGGAAAACATTTGCTTAGCTAGGCTGGAAGAAAATGGACAGGATGTAGACACAGAAGTTAATTCAACCAATATGGTAAAGAGATTTGCTATAGCAGAGAGAATAAAGATGGTGGAAGTGAAACTTGGTAGCCTGGAGAAGTTTATTGGAGGGTGTTGGTGAATAAGAAGCTTAGGAATAGGTGTGGCAAGTGAGAAGATTGGAGAGAGGAAAGGATGTGGGAAATGTTGCTTTGTATTATGAATCTCAACCCTTCCTAATGCTTTTCAAGAGCACAAATGAAGAATGGAGTCCTCTTTAATTTATCTTGGCGATTGGACTGTAAATCTCTACATGCAACATCCAGCAGAGAGGAGCCACATGCGACCCCAATAATTATTTGGGTTATAGTTATGCACTGACAGTGTACAATACCAACTCCAAGTATCCTAATCAAAGGCATGAGAAGTCTTTTGGGTTAATAAAATTACCTACGTTCCAAGTACTGTGCTATACCTGTGGGAAAATGTAATCAAAACTGGATTAGCTCCTGTGAATTAAAAATATAGAAATTGCAAAAATGTTGAAAAACTGATATTAGAAGATAGTAAAATGTCCAAGCATATAGGAAGAACAGAAGCCACATGGTATAGGATGGGGCCATATGGTGCAGGAAGTTGGCAAAGAAGTGATAGCACCCTGGCGAGTTAAGTGGAAAAGCATGTCCCTGAGATCAAGGAGGTTAACAGAATGCTCTGTCTGGCTTCCCACCCTGATATCTGTTCTCCCTCAAGCATGGGGCCATGTAGCTCCTCCTGAGGTTTGGCTCAGACTAGGGCTAGTAATTTGCCATCAGAAAAATGAAAGCATTCCTGAAATGGTGCCTCATGATCTGGAATAATGTAACTGTAGCTAATACATATTGAGCAAAAAAATACGTGCTGCACAACAAGCTTTTGGTCAGTGATGGATGGCATATATGACAGTGGTCCCATAAAATTGTAATGGAGTTGAAAAATTCCTATTGCTTAATGATATCATAGCCATCCTAATGTCATAGAGCAAAAAATTACTCACATGTTTGTGGTGATGCTGGTGTAAACAACCTACTGCACTGCCAGTTATATAAAAGTATAAAACATACAATTATGTACAGTACATAATACTTGATAATAATAATAAATGACTATGTTATGGGTTTATGTATTACTACACTATACTTTCTTTTTTTTTTTTTGAGATGGATTCTCGCTCTGTCGCCCAGGCTGTAGTGCAGTGGCACAATCTCGGCTAACTGCAAGCTCCGCCTCCTGGGTTCACACCATTCTCCTGCCTCAGCCTCCTGAGTAGCTGGGACTACAGGTGCCCGCCACCATGCCTGGCTAATTTTTTGTATTTTTAGTAGAGATGGGGTTTTACCATGTTAGCCAGGATGGCCTCAATCTCGTGACCTCGTGATCCGCCCGCCTTGGCCTCCCCAAGTGCTGGGATTATAGGCTTGAGCCACTGCGCCCAGCTACAGTATACTTTCAGTAGTTATTTTAGAGCGTACCTTTTCTACTTTTTTTTTTTTTTGGACACTGCATCTTGCTCTATCGCCCAGGCTGGAGTGCAGTGGTGCAATCTTGGCTCACTGCAACCTCCACCTCCTGGGTTCAAGTGATTCTCGTGCCTCAGCCTGCAGAGTAGCTGGGATTACAGGTGCCCACCATGACGCCTGGCTAATTTTTGTATTTTTAGTAGAGATGGGGTTTCACCATGTTGGCCAGGCTGGTCTGGAACTCCTGACTTCAAGTGACCCACCTGCCTTGGCCTCCCAAAGTGCTGTGAGGCCTGAGCCACTGTGCCTAGCCTCTTTACTACTTATTTTTTAAAAAGTTACTTGTAAAACAGCCTCAGAAAGGTCCTTCAGAAAGTATCCAGAAGAAGGCGTTGTTATCATAGGAGATGATCACTCCATGCATGTTATTCCCCCTAAAGACCTTCCAGCGGGACAAGATGTGGAGGTGGAAGACAGTGATATTGATGATTCTGATCCTGTGTAGGCTAAGGCTAATGTGTGTCTTTGTGTCTTAGTTTTCAACAAAAAAGTTTAAAAAGTAAGAAAATATTTTTTAAAATTCTAAAATAGAAAAAAGCCTATAGATTAGGATATAAAGAAAGGAAATATTTTTGTACATCTGGACAACATGTTTGTGTTTTAAGCTGTTATTACAAAAGAATAAAAAGGTTAAAAAGGTTAAAAAGTTCCCATAACATCTCTCTGAATCAGATATTACTACTCTTGTTTTATGTGAGAAACCAAGACTTAGGAAGTTATGTGGAAATGTCACATTGGTGGTCAGTACAGAAAACAGAAACAACTTTGGTGGTTTCAAGCAGAAAAGGATTTGATTTTCTGCATTTTGAATATGAGATACTTAGGTGTAGGTCTTTTGGTATTTATTCTGCTCAGCATTTTCTTAAGTTCCTGAATTTTTGGTTTGGTGTCTTGTCATTAGTTTAAAAAAGTTCTCAGCCATTATTATCTCTTTTGTTCCTTTTTCTTTTTCTTGTCCTTCTGGCATTTCCATTATGTGTATGTTAATCTTTTGTAATTGTGCCACAGTTCTTGGCTATTTTGTTTTGTCTTTTTCATTCTTTTTTCTCTATGGATTCGGTTTTAGAAGTTTCTATAGACATTTCTTCAAGCTTGCTGATTTTTTTCCTTAGCTGTGTCTAGTCTGTTCATGAGCCCATTAAAGGCAATCTACATTTCTGTTACAGTGTTTTTTATTTCTAGCATGTCCTTTAAGGTCTTTCTTAGAGTTTCTATCTCTTTGATCTTATTACCATCTGTTCTTGCATGTTGTTTGCTTTTTCCATTAGATGCCTTAGCATATTAATCATAGTTTATTTAAATTCTGGTCTCATAATTCCAAAATGTCTGCCATATCTGAGTCTAGTTCTGATGCTTGTTTTGGCTCTATAGACTGTATTTTTTGCCGTTTAGCATGCCTTGTAATTTTTCCTGAACATTGGACATGATGTAACAGGTAAAATGAATGGAGGTAAATATGCCTTTAGTGTGAGGTATTATGTTGATTTGCCCAGAAATTGGGCTGGATTTACTGTTTGCTGTAGCTACAGGTGTTAGAGGGTAATATTTTCATTAGTGTTCTTGTTTTTGTTTCTCTTCTCATATTTACATTTTCCTAGAGACTCCTGAAATAAGGTGTGAGGCTTGCAGTTCTCTCAGTTGTAATCCTCTGCTGTTATAGAGGTGCCTTATTGATATTGGTGAGGTATAGAGAGAGGGAAAACATTCTATCGTCCTATCATTAGGTCTGCTTCTTAGTGTGCTGTGTCCCTGGGCCATGACCTTCTCACTTACTTCTCAGTTTCTGCTCCCCTGCCTTAGATGAGACAGGAAAGGCACAGGAGGCTAGAGTTGGGTATTTCCTTTCCCCAAGATCAATTTGGCTTTGGTAAAACTCTAGTCCATTGCAGGTTGAAAATATCATAAGTTGAACATGCAATTAATATACCTAACCTAATAAACAGCATAGCTTAGCCTTGTCTATCTTAAATGTGCTTAAAATGCTTACATTCGCCTATAGTTGGGCAAAAGCATCTAACACAAGGTCTATTTTATATTAAAGTATTGAATATTTCATATAATTTATTGAATACTATATGTTGTGTAGAAATTGCAATAGTTTTACACCATCACAAAGTTAAAAAATTGTAAGTCACACCATCATAAGTTGGGGACCATCTATAGTTTAACTTAAAGGCAGGCTTTGTTAAGGAAAATTTAAATCTCCAGGTGTATTTCAAAATGATTACTTTTCCTTCCTCCTGCAGGAAGCACAAAGGGATTGTTCTGCGATCTTCACAGTGAGAGCCTGCTGGGACTTCTAAAGGTAAAACTTATAAAAGTGGGAGCCCCTCTAAGACTGCACACCCTGGAAGTTTGTAACTTTTAAAGCTAGTGTATGCTGAGCCTCTAGTAATTCCTCCATTACAGTGTTAACTGTTCCTACCAACACTGGCTTCAGCTTCTAGTAAGCTGTGAATTTCTGATTCTACTGTGTGTCTCTGAAGGTTTAGGGACAGCAGTTTGTCCTATGACGTCAATTCTCTGATGGATCTAAGCAGGGTCATTGATTTTAAGTTTGTTCAGGTTTTTCCCTGTTGTAAGGACAGGAGTGACAAGGTCCAAGTTATTTACTTGTCAGACTGGAAACTAGAAGTTTCCCAGAAAGCAAATTAATACAAGGGATTAGGTACTTACAGGTTCTTGGGAGAGGCTGGAAGAGTGAAAGTTGGGGCTACCACTAAACTCTTGAGGTCAAGTTCTCACCACCATAACTTTAAGCTAGAGGTTAAAAAGATGCTGCTGCTGCTGCCATAACTGCTTCCACTCCAAAGGCAATTCAATGCTGAAGTGTGGAATCCAACCCCAAATCCTCACATCTGTAAGTCTGACCTTGCTTGCTCACCACCACAGGAGCATCTGTTACTCTAAACATCAGGACAATCTTGTTACTAGTCTCAAGTCTAATTAATAACTGCACTCTTTTTTTTTTGTTTGTGTATTTGTTCTTTGTTTTGATTTGCCAAGTCTTGACTTTGTGTTCCATTTTCAGTTATCGGGTCCCTGTCTTATTTCCCAATGTCTGATTCTCGCTCTATCTTGCAATCTTGTCTTCTATCTCTGCTCATCCTGCCCAAGGTCCTGCCTTCCTCTGACCATTCCTGCCAGTCCCTTGAGAGAGTCCCCACAACCTACGACTTCTTTGACATGATCACCTCTTATTACTTCTCTGAAGATTTGTCTGTTTATGACACCCACTCTGAGTGGGAAAAGACTCATGATAGATTAAGTAAAGAGAGTATATTATCAAATAGTATGCCATGTATAATCTCAATTTTGTTTGTGTGTGTGTGCATGCATGTGTATGTATGTATATATACATGGCAGGTATGAAGACTGGAATTTTACACATCAAAATATTAACAGTGAACCTTTCTGTGTGGTTTGGCTTAAGACAATTATATTTTACATTGATATGGGAAATATTTTTAAAATTTCTATACTGAATACACGTTACTTATGTGAAAAACATAAATGATTGTCTTGGTAGCATATTACAGGTTTTAAGTTGATCAGCTATCTCCTGTGGTTGGTAGAATAAAAACTTTCATTTTTTCACCAAAATAAACCAAATAGAGAACGAAAGACAGAAATCTGTTATGCCATTGGCACTCTTTGTGTGCAAATTTCAAGGCTAATAAGGTCCATCACTACTCCAACTTTGCTTAAAATAAGTAGAACAGAACTGTAGAAATCCCTTTGTGAGATAATTGATGGGTAGCTCTTACAACACCTCCAGTCATTCTTCAAAGATTTAAATTTCAAAATGGAATCATCAAACTGATAAATGCATCATTTTATTTTGGAAAATTGCATTATCTTTTTGTGTAACATGGTTTGGCTGTGTCTCTACCCAAATCTCATCCTGAATTGTAATCTCTATAATCCCCACCTGTTGAGGGAGGGACCCGGTGCGAGGTGATTGGATCATGGGTGAGGTTTCCCCCATGCTGTTCTTGTGATAGTGAGTGAGTTCTCAGGAGATCTGATGGTTTTATAAGGCTGTTTTCCCTGTGATATTGTTTGGCTCTGTGTCCCCACCCAAATCTCATCTTGAATTGTACTCCCATAATTCTCATGTGTTGTGGGAGGGACCTGGTGAGAGATAATTCAGCCACAAGGGTGGCTTCCTCCATACTGTTCTTGTGGTAGTGAGTAAGACTCAGGAGATCTGGTGGTTTTATCAGGGGTTTCTGCTTTTGCATCTTCCTCATTCTCTCTTTGCCTGCTGCCATCCACATAAGACAGGACTTGCTCCTCCTTGCCTTCTGCCATGATTATGAGGCTTCCCCAGCCTATAAGTCCAAATTAACCTCTTTATTTTGTAAATTGTCCAGTCTCGGGTATGTCTTTATCAGCAGCGTGAAAAGGAACTAATGCATCCTGCTCTTGCTAGCTCTCACTTTCCTGTGCATGGGAAGAAGGTCTTTGCTTCCCCTTTGCCTTCTGCCATGATTGTAAGTTTCTTGAGGCCTCCCCAGCCATGAGGAACTGTGAGTCAATTAAACCTCTTTCTTTTATAAATTACCCAGGCTCCAGCAGTTCTTTACAGCGGTGTAAAAACAGATTAATACAATAATTGGTACCACACAGAGTGGGGTACTGCTATAAAGATACCCAAAATGTGGAAGCAACTTTGAAACTGAGTAACAGGCAGAGGTTGGAACAGTTTGAAGGTCTCAGAGGTCTCAGAAGAAGACAGGAAGATGTAGGAAAGTTTGGAACTTCCTAGAGACTTGTTGAATGGCTTTGACCAAAATGTTGATAGTGATATGGACAATGAAGTCCAGGCTGGGGTGATCTCAGATGGAGATGAGGGACTCATTTGGAACTGGAGCAAAGGTCACTCATTGTATGCCTTAGCAGAGAGATTGGTGGCATTTTGCCCCTGCTCTAGAGATCTGTGGAACTTTGAACTTAAGAGAGATGATCTGAAATTGAAACCTATGTTTAAAAGGGAAGCAGAGAATAAAAGTTTGGAAAATTTGCAGCTTGACAATGTGGTAGAAAAGAAAAACTCTATTTCAGGGGAGAAATTCAAGCCAGCTGCAGAAATTTGCATAAGTAATGAGGAGCCAAATGTTAATCTCCAAGACAATGGGGAAAATATCTCCAGGGCATGTCAGAGGCCTTCATGGTTGCCTCTCCCATGGTTGCCCCTCAGAGGCCTGGAGGCCTATGAGGAAAAAATGGTTTTTGTGGGCTTGGCCCAGGGACTTGCTGCTTTGTGCAGTCTTGAGACTTGGTGCCTGGCATCTCAGCCATGGCTAAAAGGGGCCAACGTACAGCTCAGGCCATTACTTCAGAGGGTGCAAGCCCCAAGTCTTGTTAGCTTCCATGTGGTGTTGTGCCTGTGGGTGTGCAGAAGAGAAGACCTGAGATTTGGGAACCTCCACCTAGATTTCAGAGGATGTATGGAAATGCCCGGATGTCCCGGCAGAGGTCTGCTGCAGGGGCAGGACCCTCATGGAGAACCCCTGCTAGGGCAGGGCCAAAGGGAAATGTGGGGTGGAGCTCCCACACAGAGTCTCTACTGGGACACTGCCTCATGGAGCTGTGAGAAGAGGGTCACTGTCTTCCAGACCCCAGAATGGTAGATCCACTGACAGCTTGCACTGTGTGCCTGGAAAGGCCGCAGACACTTGCCAGCTGTGAAAGTGGCCAGGGAAGGGGTGTGGGGTTGTTACCTTCAAAGCCACAGGGGTGGAGCTGCCCAAGGCTGTGGAAGCCAGCCCTTTGCATCAGTGTGCCCTTGATGTGAGACATGGAGTCAAAGGAGAGTAAGAGCTCTTTGGAGCTCTAAGATTTAATGACTGCCCAGCTGGATTTTGGACTTACATGGGGGCTGTAGCCCCTTTGTTTTGGCCAATTCCTCCCATTTGGAATGAGCACATTTATCCAATGCCCGCAAACCCCATTGTGTCTTAGAAGTAACTAACTTGCTTTTGATATTACAGGCTCCTAGGTGGGAGGGACTTGCTTTGTCTCAGATGCAACTTTGGACTCGAACTTTTGGGTTAATGCTGGAATGAGTTAAGACTTTGGGGGATGGTTGGGAAGGCATGATTGTGTTTTGAAATGTATAAAGGACATGAGATTTGGGAGGGGCCAGGGATGGAATGATATGGTTTGGCTGTGTCCCCAACCCAAATCTCATCCTGAATTGTAATCCCCAGGTGTTGAGGGAGAGACCTGGTGGGAGGTGACTGGATCATGGGAACAGTTTCTGCCATGCTGTTCTCGTGATAGTGAGTGAGTTCTCAAGAGATCTGACGGTTTTATGAGACAGTTTTCCCCGTTCTTGCTAGCTCTCTCTTTCCAGCCACAATACGAAGAAGGTCTTTGCTTCCCGTTCGCCTTCCGCCATGATTGTAAGTTTCCTGAGGCCTCCCAGCCATGGGGAACTATGAGTCAATTAAACCTCTTTTCTTTATAAATTACCCAGTCTCAGGCAGTTCTTTGTAGCAGTGTGAACACAGGCTAATACTTCATGTATTTCGGTTTTGAGGATATCTTTAATGACATGAAGTTGTCAGCATGTTTTCCGAGAATGAGAAACTTAAAAGCAGTTTCTCTCAAGAATTAGAGGGACTTCACTTGAAAGTCGGAAAAAAAATGTTTTAAAAAGTGATACATTTATTATGTGCCAGGAACTCTTCCAAGCACTTTGCAGGGATCAGTTAATTTATTTCTCACACTAGCTCTAAGTTGTAGTGCTATTATTACCCCTGTTTTTATAGTTAAAGAAACTGAGGTATAGAAAAGTTAAGTATCATGTACAAGATAATATCCCCAACATCTGGACATATGTTTTCAATTCACTTTCACAAGCCTGGGGGTGCTATATCAACTATGCTTGTACCAAAGTCACATGAACTGAGACTGTAATTGAATAAGGCACTTAAGTAGTACCTCTGCATAGAGGCTACTCTCAATGAAATTCTGATTATTTTTTCTCTCTTAAGGTGGAAGCCCTTGCAAAACTTAACCTTAATAGCTTATCAACAGTTTCCCCTCAACATTGACACTGAAGTTAACAAGTTGTTTATTAAGGAGCTTTTGGAGTCAAGTATCAGAAATTTCCATAGTGCCTGGAATATCCTATTTGTTAAAAAATCAGATTACAGTTTCTAGAATTCCAAGAATTATATCTAATGTTGTTTGTGATATTAACATGGTAATAGCAGAAAGTGAACTTACAGAAAGTTTTTATTTCAATATAGTGATAGAGGAAAAATATATTTCTTAGGCAACTATAAAAATGACCCTGGTCATCATCCTACTGAAGATAGAACATGGAAAACCCATGATGTTCTTTGTAAAAAAAGAAACGCTTCCAAGCTTCTAGGATTATTTGGTTTCTAACATTTTTTTCTTCTTCTTCAAAATGTGTCATTTTTGTCACACGTTCTAGAAAGACCCTCTGTGGTGTTGGGCTTCCAGTAGAAGAGCATTGTTCATAGTCTCAAGTTAGTATTCATTTCTGAGTCAGAAATGGTACATTATGATGAGCATGAACCTGTTTCTTATTACTGCTGCTCTCCCAGCAGAGATAGAGAAGTACTAAGGCACAAAATGTGAGAGGCATTGAGTTCTCAATTGCTTCCTAATCAAAACCAGTGTCATCCATAGAACATAAGGCCAACAAAGAAATCCTTGCTGTTATCAGCAGGGCCAAGAAGTTCTACAATCACTTCTGTATTCACGCTTTTAATTTTGTATTTATCACATGCCTCTTTGGTGATCCTTTTATAAGGATAATCCCATGCCCTACATTAGGTCACTGCGTAAGGAGCTCTGGAGTCTTTTGTTAAGTGCATACATCCTTGAGCTTATTTATGAGCTGGAGAGAATTACTTTAAATGCTGATGTCCTAATCCTTTTGCCATAAGTGAACTTGGATTGTGCTTTACTATACTGGCTGGGAATTCTGACATTTTATAACTCCCCTGACTCACTTTGTCCAGATGACTAAATAGATGATGGTAGGTTTTTCAGATCACCTCTATCTTACACTGAATGTGGATGGCGTGCCTGAGAAATCTAAATAACCAAATGTATAAGTTATATGCTCCAAATAGATGCCTTGTGTGGGAAAATTACATTGTTTCTCAGTGCCTATGAGGGTTCAATAACTGTTGACTAAGTGTATCTAAGAGGGAATCTTCACATTACCCTAGTAATATGATAAGATGTATATCAAGACATTATTTCCTTGAGCATTGGCTAGAATCTACATCTGGTAGCCTGGCTTTGAGTCAGATTTTAAAATGGATGGTAAACCAATGTAGCTCATCTATGTAATAAATATTTATCAAGTACCCAATATATGCCAGGCTACTTAATATAAGTCATCAATGTATTAATTTTAAGTAGTAAGAGACCAGAGTCTTTTGATTATTGCAGGAAAAGGGCTTTACTGAATTTTGGTATATACCTAATTAAAAATACACAAAATACTGCGAGTTTCATCTCAAACCTATGGAATAAAACCGAATAGCTTTGAGGTAGGCATGTCAGACACTTTTATTATTCTTTATATTTTATCCCAGTTTAATCATCCTCAAGTAAATAGTCATACAAAGTATAGCACGGTTTCTTAAGGTAGGTCTTAAATTGAACTTATTAGGTCTTTTTTGTTTTGTTCAGCATTTCCCCATAAGTTCACTAATAGGATCTAGTATGACCATCCTGGGTTTAAATTCTGGCTCTGTCACCTAACCTGGGGTAACCACTTAAACTTCCTGAGCCTCAGTTTCTTTATCTATGAAATGGTTAAAAATAAGTTTATTACTCTTAGGCCGCAAGTAATGTACAGAAGTTGTTGGGAATTTATTAAAATAATAGGCAACTTTTAACTGGGTCTTAAAAGATGATTAAATTTTTAAAAATGTACTAATCAACACACATGCAAACACACACATACACACACACAAAGGTAATAGACTTTCTCTAGGTAAAGAAGAAGGAGAAGAACATTCAGGTGGTGGAAATGTCACATGTTATGTAAGAGAAGAGTATAATATTTAAAACTATAGGCTTGACATGCTGGCTCACGCCTGTAATCCCAGCACTTTGGGAGGTGGAGGCGGGTGGATTACCTGAGGTCAGGAGTTCAAGACCAGCCTGGCAAACATGGCGAAACCCCATCTCTACTAAAAATACAAAAATTAGCCAGGCACAGTGGTGCACACCTGTAATCCCAGCTACTCGGGAGGCTGAGGCAGAATTGCTTGAACCCGGGAGGCGGAGGTTGCAGTGAGCCGAGATGGTGCCACTGCACTCTAGCCTGGGTGACAAAGTGAGACTCCATCTCAAAACAAAAACAAAAACAAAAAACCTATACTTTAGGGGTCAACTGGTGACCCCTAATTTGGATTATGCACACCTAAGGGGCATGTACACTGCCATTTAGTCACAAGCCTATACTCTAAGGGTATAGAGAAAAAGCTTTAGCTATTTTTAATCTCTCTTCATTACTATAGGCTTAAAATACATGTATATTATTAGTTTCATGCTAGTTATATCGACTTTCATTGGTGAAATTAGTGGCTAGCTAATTAGTCACTAATTAGCCATTCAAGATATTAGAAATGGGCTTTCAGTAGTTATATTAGTGGTGTTCAAGGTATGTAGTTTGGTGAATATATTTTTGAGACACTCCTATCTTGCATGA
This sequence comes from Homo sapiens, assembly GCF_000001405.40. Taxonomy (NCBI): domain Eukaryota; kingdom Metazoa; phylum Chordata; class Mammalia; order Primates; family Hominidae; genus Homo; species Homo sapiens. The sequence continues at coordinate 150,011,298 of NC_000004.12, read as the reverse complement.
TTAGGTATAGAAATTTAGCAAGGTCTCTGTCTCTTACTCTTAAGAATGGCATATCAGATGTAACCCTCAATCAGTTCTGGGTGTAAGGGCTTATTCTCTGATTCTTGGTTGCCAGAATTGGAGTAAATACAGTATATTCAGTATACACAATATATTCAGTTAGCTGAATCCTGCTACCAGAATGTTGTTTCACATGCCTCTGGTGAGGTATTATGGACAAAATCTCAAACTGCACTGAAGTTCAAGTTAAATATGCTGTTTCACTCTTATGTCTGCTTGCTAATTAATGTCTGTTGTGGAAGAATTTGGTATGAGTCTTACTTTAATTATAACCAAGAAGCCAGGTTGTGGGGTAGTAGGTAACTCTCACCTACTTCAAATGTTTTCTGGGGCTATCATTAGCTACCAAAAAGCACCAGACTAGGTTAGCTTGGGTCTAATGTGAATGAGCTTGGAGCCAACTAAAAAGGCACAGAGCATGAGCGCTCAGGGAACAGCCAGCAGTTTAGAATGCTTGGAGTCTGGGAACATTGTATGCAGGGAGAAAGGTAGTACGGAATGAATTTAGAAAATAAGTTTGGGGCCACCTGGTGGAAGAGATGTGTGTTTCGGTCTCATAAGTGTATTCACAAAGGAAGGAGTCAGGTTTTTTAGAAGGTGAGTTCCATACTTCAGACTTGCTCTCTGGCTGCCATGTGGAGGGAGAGAGCGCCGTTAGACTAGGGTTTAGTAAACGATGACCTGAAGGACAAACCTTGCCTGCTGTCTGTTGTGGTACAGCCTGTGAACTAAGAACGGTGCTTGCATTTTTAAGTGGGGGGATTAAAAAAGAAGAAAACTATTTCATGCCATGTAAAAATTATATGAAATTCAATCTCTATGTCTATATATTAAGTCTTGTTGTTGGATTACAGCCATGCCCATTCCCTGTCCATTACTGCTTTAGCTCTGCAACCGGGGAGTTGAATAATCACAGGAACAGGATGGCTCTCAAAGCCTAAAATGTTTGCTGTCTGACCCTTTACAGAAAAAGGTCACCAGTCCTTCTGTTAGACCAGGATTGCCATAGCCCATGCAAGAAGTGAGAGAACAGGTGGTGAAGGAGTGGGGCAGGGACTTCCCTGGGTAGAATTATTTAATATAAGAATTAGATTGAATTTTGGTGGTGAGGGAGTGCCTGATGACTCCTCATCCTCCTCGTTTGTCTTGTGACGCTATAAAATGAGGAAGCATATTCGGGAGAAGAAATAATTTGGTGAGAGAGGAGAGGTAGACATTAATTTGGGCTGGGCTTATTGAATCTGAGCTACCTGTGGAAAATCTAAGTAGAGGAATCTCATATGTATGTCTTGAGGGATGTTGGGACTGGAGAATTGAGGTTTATTCATTTCAGGTCCTATTTGAAAGTCAGATCTTTTAAGGTTAGGCAGAGGAAGACAAGCCAGAGAAGGAAGAGAACTGGAGGAGAACACTGTTTTAAATAGAAATCAAAGATTAAGAGCTCTTGCTTCAAGAAAGGAATGACTAATAGTGTCAAATGCTGCAGAGTTCAAATGAGCTGAATATTACACTCAGCAAATGGCCGGTTATTGGCAGGATTAAGCAGTTTTGCTAAAGTTGAGGATTGCCTGCTTAGCAATTCCACTTGATCTCATGGCTACCTCAAGTCAACATATTCTAATTGGAACTCATCGCTTTTCTGATTCTGACACCCTACCACTGAAATCAGTGTTTCCTGTCTTGGGGATGACACTGTCATTTATCCAACTGTCAAGCCAGAAACCTGGGGGTCAGGCTGGACATGTGGTTATCCTTCACCCCAGATAGCTAACCAATTACTAAGTCACATTGATTCTATCTTCTTAATATGTCTTCAACATGCCCAGGACTCTATTTCCACTGTCATCCCTAGAATGCAGTTATAGAGTCTCTCTGCTGGACTCCTATAACAGTGTCTTAACTGTTCTTTCCCATCTGTCCTCCTCTCTCCTAATTTATTCTCTACTTAACGGCCAGAGAGATCTTTTTTTTTTTTTTTTTCCACACAGAGTTTCATTCTTGTCGCCCAGCCCAGAATACAATGGTACAATCCTGGCTCACTGCAACCTTCGCCTCCTGAATTCAAGTGATCCTCCTGCCGCAGCCTCCCAAGTAGCTGAGATTCCAGGCACATGCCACCACGCCTGGCTAATTTTGTATTTTTAGTAGAGACAGGGTTTCACCATGTTGGTCAGCCTGGTCTTAAACTCCTGACCTCAAGTGATCCACTCACCTCGGCCTCCTCAAGTGTTGGGATTACAGGCATGAGCCACTGCGCCCAGCCAGGAGATCCTTTTAAAAGCAGTGTGATCAGGTCCCATCCCTGCTTAAAGTCATTTTCCTACCACCCTAAAAGTAAAGAACAAATCCTCAGTGTGGCTCACTGGGTGTCCCACAAACATCATTTTGTACCATTTCCCCCTGAGTCTCTACAGTAAAGTCACACCAGCCCTCTTCCAGTTCCTTGAAAACACATTTCCTTCTACTTCAGGGACTTCCCATCCATTAATCATTTAGCTTGGAACATTTTCCCCACTTCCCCTTTGTGTAGTTAATACTTAGGAACTCTTTGCCTATTAGTTTATGTCACATCGTCTGCAGGGAATCCTCCAATTTCCCAGTCTAGTCTTGTCTTCTTATGCACTCTCACAGCTCTGGAGCTTCTTTTCTACTGAGAAGCGAAGGTATTGTCTAATATCTGTTTTCTCTTCTTGAAATCAGGAGCTGTGTCACCCGCCTCACCTCTGTGGCTCCAGTGTCAGGGTCAAGCAGTGCCTTTTCACTCAATGATTCCTTGTGGAATGGACGTGTAGCAAGAATGCAGAAATGGAGAGTTCTGTATGTTTTGGTCCCATAAGTTTTCTATAAGTTTGGATTCCAAAGGGAAGGAGAACAACTTAATAATAGCAAAAGTAGATTCAAAATAGCAAATAAATTCAAAATAAAGGTTTTTTTTTTTTTAAATAGATGGGGAAGACTTGAATCTATTCTAGAGTAAAGGAATTCAAAAGGAAGAGAAGTGAAGTTCTGAGAGAGATGGAGTGAGGGGTAACTGGAGAAGCAGGGAGGGGGGGGAACGTAGAGGTCAGCTGGAAGGTGCAGCCCTGGGAAAGAGGAGAGAGCTGCCTCCTGATGCTCAGGGAAGTGCATAAGAATTAGGGTCACAATGGATAATTGTGAACATATTATGAAGACATTTGGAAGCAATTAATACTTGGGCTCAGTTTTCTCCTAGAAGTGGGAAGCTGTTATGGATTGAATTGTGTTCCCCAAAAAGATTTGATAAAAGTCTAAACTTCTGGTAACTATGAATGTGACCTAATTTAGACATAGGGTCTAGGTGTAACTTCATAAGGTCATTTCGGTGGGACCTAATCCAATACAACCTTATAAAAAGAGGAAAATGCCATGTGATGATAGAGGCAGGGACTGGAGTCATGCAGCTGGAAGCCAAGGAATGCCAAGGATTGACGGCCACCACCAGGAACTAGGAAGAGGTGAGACAGGATTCCACACAGTCTCTCAGGGAGCATGCCTGTGGCTATCTTGTTCTCAGACTTCCAGCCTCTAGAACCATGAGACAATAAAATTCTGTTGTTTTAAGCCATCCAGTTTAAGCTACCTTGTTATAGCAGCCCTAAGAATCGAGTACAGATTTATGGCCATTTTTTTGAGTGGTGTAGAGCATAGTGTTGTCTTGGGGACAGTGATGAAGATATAGAAAAGCCACTGTGGGAAAAGACAGAGGGAGCTGATTTAAATCTAGCTGAATATTTCCTGAACCTTTAAAGCCATGATAGGGTGATGAAATAAGAAATAGAAATTTAAAAGACCATGTGGAACAATGGAAAACAACAAGGTAAATATCATTGTTAAAGTATTAACTTTAGCTATACCGGTTGGGCACGGTGGCTCACGCCTGTAATCTCAGCACTTTGGGAGGCTGAGGTGGGTGGATTACCTGAGGTCAGGAGATCGAGACCAGCCTGGCCAACAGGATGGAACCCATCTCTACTAAAAATACAAAAATTAGCTGAGTATGGTGGCACATGCCTGTAATCCCAGCTGCTGGAGAGGCTGAGGCAGGAGAATTGCTTGACCCTGGGAGGCAGAGGTTGCAGTGAGCCAAGATCATGCCACTGCACTCCAGCCTGGGAGAAGAAGTGAGATTCCTTCTAAAAAAAAAAAAAAAAATTTAGCTATACCCTGTCAGCCAAGTCTAAAAATACATAATGTGGACACTTCTCTTTATTTTTAAGAAAGAAGTGTAATGATTCTTAAAAAAAACAAAACAAATATTTTCTTGGTGTTGGTTTCTTATTTGAAGAACTGAGAATAACATAGTAGCAACAGATTTCATACAAAATGTAGATTCAACTCTTTTAAGCATCTACTTTGTGTCAGAACTCTATGTTACCTCATTTACTTTAATCATTACTTAATGTAGGTACTTTGTTCTCTTATTAATCTGAGAGCTGAATTTTAAAGATATTACCCAGGCAGCTTGAGGATATTGCTGATCCTGAAATAAAGGTCTCTGAACTCCCTTTAATTTCTAATACTTTCAATTCCTCATTCCACAATATAAGGTTGCAGGAATGTTTCTCAGGTAGATATTTCTTAAAGGAATTGCTAAATGCATAACAATAAAATGTAAATTCAGTGAAGATAGGTCTTCAGTGGTTTAAGTCTATGTAGTCCAAGTAAATAGCTTTCTGGAGATCTATTTTGATAAAGAAGACAGTTTAGAATACCTAAAGAGAGGAATGGATAAACCATCGTGCTCAAAAATCGCTTCTCCCTGTTGTATTTTGACAGAATCCATGGAGCAGTCTGTTCAAATTAAATTCTGGCAAAAATCCTAGAGTGCAAATATCTGGCATTACTGCTTGAAAGGAGACTCACATGGTTCAGATATCAGAATGCACTAGGCCAGTTTAACCTTCTATTGAAAGTTGAAAGCCTGACTTGTGTTCTTGCTTGGATGGAGGGTCATCTCACCTCTATGTCCTAATTAAAAATTTATTGAGTGAATAAGTTAATTTAAAAATTCTATATTAGCAATATTAGCTCAGAAATCATACGATAGATGCTATGTTGTGGCTATTTAGAGCAGCATAAATGTTCCTAGCCTTGCTGCTATTGAACATTTCTGATTTCATTGCCTGATCTGAAGGTCAAGGGCATGAACTTGATGGAAAAAAAATCCTCCTTTGGGGAATCATTAGAGGAAGTTTGCCCCAGTTCACCACCAGTGATCACAGAGGAGGGGGTACAAATGGTGCACAAAGCATACTTGCCCTTCAGTGACCCTCAAAGCACCCTGTGGCTCCATGTGTCTTTGACCAAGTTTATAGCCTTCCATTGCCCTTTGTGGCTATTGTGAAGCACCCGGGGGAGAAAGATGATCTCAGGTAGCCAGGACCCAAACTGTGCAAAATTGTCAAGATCACAATCAACAGTGCTGATTATTTACATGCAGCACCAACCACATAATCTTTATCTGTGGGATCAGGAACCACATTGACATATATCATCCAGTGCTGCTTTTTGAATCGCAGCTCCTGGGCATTAAGATGGAAAGTAATAGGAACCCCATAGGGCTGTGGATTGTGTAGCAACGTATTTTTTTTTCCAGAGCTCTGTAAAGTACTGTTGGGTAAGCTTAACATCTGATTAAATCAGAATATCTAATGAATTATTAAAATATAAAACACCACATGCAGGCTTCTTGATGACTCTGAAAACTTCTCAGCTACAATATAAATATCTCCTCCATACTTACAATGCTTTAATAGCCAAAAACATGCTACCAACTACTCTTTCACTATCACTCTTTTATAATAGTAATAAATTATATCTGAATTTTAAAAGAAAGAGCTTTGACATTTATTTTACAAATTCATGTAACTTTTTTGGTTTCTCTCTCTTTTGTTTTTGGTGCTTATAGGGGAGCATGGATTAATGGGACAGAGGTAGGAGTCTGGGATATTCCACTGATACATTATCCTAAAATGCCAAATATATTTATTTACTCAAATGAAATTCTTGAGATGGGATAAAGAGTAGGCAGGAGAGAATGAAAAAAAGTGATAATGTGATAAGTTTCTATCTGAATCAAATAAAAGGACATGCCCATTTTACAATGGGTATTATGTAAATGAAACAACACACTAATTGTTAATTAACAGTTTTTGCAAACAGCCGTGAAAAGATTGAATTCGTTAAACAAGATTGTTGTTATTGAAATCAGTAGAAACTATCATAAAGAAAGCTGAATAACAATTTGGTGAAAACTAGTTAGCTTTTCTGTTAACAATAAGAAAAATTTGTAAAAGTGATGTATTTTGTAACCATTTAAGGTAAATTTGTTACGTTTTCCACAATGAGAAGTAAGGAAAATCATTAAAGAAAAATATCAAAGGTAGACAAATTTTTTGGTGTAACCTATTGTGAAAAAAATTTAATTCAGAGTACATAGCCTTTTGACCTGTATTCCCCTGACTGGGTTAAAAAAATATGAGCAGGCTAGACTGTCCAGCTGATGACTTGGGGAAGGAATGCTGTTATTTTTAACTAGGCAAATACTTACAGAGTCATCTGTTTTGAACAAAGAAGACTGATAGTCCTGTTCTGCATTTTCCCTGCGTCTGGAGTCTGAACTTGGCTGACTCCAAATTAGGAAGAAACACCCCTGACTTCAATACAACTTTACAATCAGTTAAGAACCTCTGTTGGCTATAATGTTTAAGTTTTCACTTAAATTCTATTATTAAGACATTGACACATTTTTAAGAACAAATGAAGGAGTAAGACCACAAAGAGGTGTCTGATGAAACTCATACTCCAAGTAAATATTTTCAGTAAACCATTAAATGATGTCGGAAATGCCACTTCCAGAAGTCTGAAAATGAGCAAACACCTAGCTCTGCAGAAAGAACTAACTGCCCTGCATTAAGTTTTGGCATTTGGAAGAATGCTGTAAAAAAATCAGCTGTTATGAAAGTTTATTGCTCATTTCTGATTGTTTATGTTTCATTTTGAGGATCTATAACTTGAAGCAGTAGGTTCAGCAAAGAGAAAAAAATACTATTTTTTTTAGATAGTTCATACTTTGAGTCTAAATTTATACAAATATGGGCTACAATTTTTAGCTTAAAATTGTTAGGAAGTCCTATTTAGTTTACTTCTCCAAATTTAGGTCTGCGGAGGCTGGGTTACATTCTAATGAGACTCAGTCTGCTTCTGATTGTCCCTTTTCCTAGGACATGGCCCACCTGGGCTTTAATTCAAAGCATGGTAAGTTTTTGTTTCCTCTACTCCGAGAGAGACAATAAGAATGTCAGCTCTGCTGATCAGAGACTTTAGACTTCGGTTTTTAAGTTCTTGCTTCATGCAACTTCAGGATTAGTGAAGTCTTGGATGGTAAACTGGCCACGTGTTTGAGGCCCCTAAAGTTTCTGGTCTTATTGTTCCAACCCTGGAGCAACTGCCAATTGTTTGCCATTTTCTCTGCCCCACAGCATAGTTTAATTCCATTTCCGTCTCCAGCCCTATCCATCTGGGATTGGTAAAAAGCCTGGAAAAAGAGGCTCAGACCTTCAGCTTACCTCTGAGAGGCTCTCTTCTCTCTAGAATTTTAATCCTTTAATTAATTCCCCTTTACTTCTGCAAATCTTGGATGCTTTAAAAAAATGTGAGTGTTGTATTTTATCTAGCTTTCTGGTTGTAGGTACATTGGCCTGCCTGAAAATAGTCTATCCATGCAATTGTTTTTCAGTTTCATCTCATTAGGGTTCAAAAAGTCTACAGCTCATCCATGGTCACTCGTCATGGACCAGTGCTAGAGGAAGCAGAGTCTAGAAGGAAGAGCTTGGAAGTCTGCAGTCAGGCTGGGGTTCTCATTCTGACTCTCCTACTCAATCTGCCAGGACTATAAAGAGTTGTCATGCAGTGGTTGGGGGTCCCAACTCTTGTTGACAGATGGCTGGGGCTCTATGTTGGTTCCAGAGCTAGTTGTGTGAAATTGCAACATTCACTTAGCCTCCCTCACCCTCTGTTTCCACATTATAGAATATGAGCAATAATAATACCATCTAGGATTTTTATGAAGACTAAAAAAAATGTAATGCACAGTATTTGTATCAATAAAAGCTAGCTGTTGTTATTCCTAGTTTGAAAAACTTACATAATCTTACTAAGTTGATTTCCTCATGAACAAAAAAATGAATATAATGCCTATCTTACAGGCTGGGTATAAGGATGAAAGGAAAATGAATGTTGGTTTATATGACAGTGTAGTGTACTGTAGTACTCTAGACATGGTGGGTATTCAATAATTAATTTACATCTCATCTTACAAACTTTCCTTGAGATGTAATAAGAGAGTTTACATTTCAAATTCTGCTGGTTTATTTAATATAGATTCAGATTTTTGAGGTACTGCCCATATCTTATTCCTCTGTACCACAAGCACCTGGCCCAGAGCCTATCATGACAATGCATATTTGTTGAAGTTCATTATTCACTCCAGCTCCCAACACATCTCTTTGTTCAAAGTATGAGCCAAATAAATATTTGTTGAATAGATGAATTATTCAGAATCATAAAATGCTTAATAGTTTATTCAGAGATAATATAAATCTTTTTCTCAACCCAATTTAGGAAACTATTTCATTTGGATAACAACCTACCTGGTTCTGATCGATGTGGTCTGGTGGTTACAGAGGAAGTGGGGCTAAGAATATTTACCCATCCAAGGCAAGGTCTTCACTTTCACTTATCAGTTCAGGTCACTAAATACATTTTCTTATTCTCTCTGATTGTAGGTTGATGCAGCAAGAATGTAAATTTAGATGATGGAGCAGGATATAGCTGGATTCAGAGAGTAGAAGCAAGATGGCTTTTATACTGAAGGATAAAACACTAAAACAACAGCAATCAAAAACTGTTTTTTAAAGTGCACATACCATACATACTCTCAATCATATTATGTGAATTTAACATTCAAAAGATAGATACTGCAAAGTAGACTTCACCTAACTAGGAAAATCATCGCTAAACCATGATCAGTTGCCACTTTAACTGAAAAAATAATAAAATTACATTTAATGAGTTTTTATGATGTTCTTGGTATTGTGCCTCACATTTCCTGAATATTATCTCAGTTAATCATTGCAGAAATGACAGTGGTTCTGTTGCTGGAAAAGGAGTCCTGATTCAGACCTGAAGAGAAGTTCTTAGATCTCGCGCAGAAAGGAATTTAAGGTGAGTCACAGAGTGCAGTGAGAAGGGATGGTTTATTGAAAGCTACTCAGATACAGCATAGGGCATTCTTCAAAAAGCGAGAGGAGGAATGCCTCATCTTTAAGGTTTTCTTATATAGGGGTATTATCTATATAAAAGCTCTGCTATGTATACGTGTGGGTGGGCTGACTGCATGATGAAATTTATTGTTTTGCTGATTTAAAGAAAACTATCTGATGTGGTTTGGCTCTGTGTCCCCACCCAAATCTCACCTTGAATTGTAATAATTCTCACATGTCAAGGGTGGGACCAGGTGGAGATAATTGAATCATGGGGGCAGTGTCCCATGCTGTTCTCTTGCTAGTGAGTGAGTTCTCCTGAGATCTGATGGTTTTATAAGGGACTCGGCACTCATTCTCTCTCCTGCTGCCCTGTGAAGAGGTGCTTTCTGCCATGATTGTAAGTTTCCTGAGGCCTCCCCAGCCATGAGAAACTGTGAATCAATTAAACCTCTTTTCTTTATAAATAACCCAGTCTTGGGTGTTTCTTCATAGCAGCATGAGAATGGACTAATACAATATCCTTGGCATTTTAGTGTGTAAGCACATCAAAGCATAACTATAATTATCTTGAAAGCATGTATTGTTATAGGTATCAGGACACCCTGACTATCCATTATTGTGGGAGTATGTACTTGCAGGTATCTTTATGCCATTTCCTCAACTCTAAACATGTTATGACCATGGGTTGTGACTGGCAAGGATGAAGTTATTTTAAAATGGTGTCACCCTAGCTCTCATATCCTCCTGTTTCCTTAACGTTTCCTTGAGATAGGTCCTAATGGTGTCTCATTATATAAATGAAGACAGTGGAATGAGTTTAAGAACTTGCCCATGGTCACACAGACAACATGTGGGGGCAGGTTTTTAAGCCAGAAGTGGCTTTTTGCAGGCTTCCTTGACTAGTAGGCACTACTACTGTGATTCTCCCCATCAGAACCAATGTCTTTTTTAAGAAAAGTATCACATAATATCTTCTTTACTACTCTGACATGAAATTCACAGAAAACATAATACCCCCCAATTAAAAAAAAAATCCCTGACTTTAATATAAAGGAGAAACTCAAGGCAGGTATTTTTTATGAAGTAATATGGTTTTCAATAAGTAAATACTTTGACTTGATGATACTAGAAGTCATCATGAAGTGGTCAGATGCTTATGCTCATCTGCAGAATCTTCATAAATGTGTCAGCTGGAAAAGCAGAATGGGGTAGGCGTGTAGTATCAGGACTCAAATACAGGTGAAAGAACTTTCTAAAATGGTTAACAATTTTTGGGAAAGTTTCAAACTAAATAAAGTATAGTTTTACTTCAATTTATGCTATTGTTTAATTTCTGTAAAATTCAGTTTGCATGAAAATCATGCAAAAGGCTTTGTGTTTACATGTAAAACATGAGATAAGTATAAGGAGGCTGTTCATGTAGATGAATGACCAATGGGACATTGGAAAGACATGAGGGATGGAGAGAGTCAGTTTCCCAGGGCAGGATGGTTCCACACCTGGTCAGATGCCCGGGATTCTTGGCCCTCACCCATTAATGCCAGGAACACCTTCCAAATCATTGTGAAATCCATAAAATGACCTCCACAAATTTCTAAATTGCCACTAGGGTGGTCTTGCTCCAGGTGAGAACTACTGCTCTATTGAATACTCGGAAGAAACTAGTACTGCAAAGCCAAGGGAAATTACATAGTGCTAGATGAGTTAATGGAATATGGAACAGAAGTGTAATATTGCAATTAATTATGGAGTGGTATTTAAGCATGGAAACAGAAATAGGGCCTAGAAAGTATGACATATGAGAAATGAAGAATAAGCACTTTCAGGAAGAAGGACTCAAGGAAGACTTCTCTCCCTGCTGCCACAACTGCGTCAAGTTCTCTTTTAATACCCTGTCATAGCAACCTGTGTCTCTGCTTTGATACTCAGGACAATTGTCAGTAAATAGATAATTGCCTATGGCCCGTTTATATCTGTCTCTTTCACTAACAGATAACTTTCAATATCTGTATTGTTTACTGGGTATTACTAATACATAGAGAGGGTATTTTATGCAGTATTAGGGACTCAATAAATATCTGTAGAATGATTATTTAGTGACACTTGTTTGAAGGATTTGGAGGAGGATTCTGAGAAGTTTGGTTAATATGGCCTTGATTCTGATTCAAAGACTACTAACAGTATATATGCTGATTTCCATGCTAGCCCGCTGTTTGAAGTCTGGCCAATTAAGTACTGCCTCTGCAGACATTTCGCACTGGTTTTGCAAGCATAACTCTAGTGCCACCTTCTGCCAGGCAGAGAAACATGCTCAGATAATTTCCATTATGAGAATCTGGATTTGATGCTCAAACAGTTCTTTATGCTATAGAATTTATTAGATAATTTTTTAAATGCTAAAATAATGGGAGGTCTATAAATTCCCATTCAAAAATGCAAATTTTGGGCAATCTATAAATAATGCTGGCTGGAGTAAACAAAATCCCTATTTTCAGCATTTGAAATACGGGGAGTTTTCTTAGAGAAGAGAGAAGATTTAGGACTTTGTCTTACTGATTCAATGTCATTGTGTATAAGTTTAAAAATTATTACAAAAATGCTCCGATTATTATGAAAACATATGCACAGGTACTTGCTACAGAAAAGCAGCTTTGTGTATAGAATTCTCATTGACGTTATCAAGAATAGCTATTGTGGAGGAAACAGTTGGAACCCAGGTTCTGAAAGTATTTGATCAGAAGTTCTGCAAATCAACAAAACCTTTTTCCTATCATAAAAATAAAACCGATTTTTAAAATACATATTCATGGGTAATCACAAAACCTGCAATGCTCCTTTTCTCTGGTAAGACAATATCTTCTTTTTGCACAGCACTTTTTAATAATCTGTATGCTGTTGTACATTATGTGAATAAACAATAATATCTGAAGACACAAACAGTGTTGGATAGTGGTAACACTGTTACGCAGCAGGTGATTTTGTGTTGCAAGCACGAAGGAACAATTTTCTTATTTCTTATTTCTTTTTTTTTTTCGAGACAGAGTCTTGCTGTGTTGCCCAGGCTGGAGTGCAGTGGCATGATCTCAGCTCACCGCAACCTCTGCCTCCCAGGCTCAAGGGATTCTTGTGGCTCAGCCTCCCAAGTAGCTGGGAATACAGGTGTGCGCCACCAAGCCCGGTTACTTTTTGTATTTTTTGTAGAGATGGGGTTTCACCATATTGGCCAGGCTGGTCTTGAACTCCTGGCCTCAAGTTATCTGCCTGCCTCGGCCTCCCACAGTGCTGGGATTACAGATGTGAACCACCAGGCCAGCCAGAACAACTTTCAATTTTTACTCTAAACAGAAAGGAAGTGTCTCTTCCAATGGAATAAAGGTCAAAACCCTCTTTTGATAGCCATAAAATCATAGAGCAAAAGCCACCAATGTTTTTCTTAATATTTCACATAGTAAATATTTCAGATTTTGCAGGCCATAAGACCTCTATCACAACTACTCAGCTCTGAAGTTGTGGTTTGAAAGCAGCCATAGACAACTTGTAAACAAGAGAGGATGGCTGTGTTCCAATAAAACTTTACAAAAACAGGTAGTGGGCTGGATTTGGCCTTGGGCTGTAACTGCCAACTCCTGGCACAGATCACTGAGTATGCAGCTTCAGAACGGAGAACTGCTCTTACAGGGACAACCAGAAAACTTGCTCCAGAAAGACATGCAGAGCTACAGAACCTGGCATGGAAGTAGAGGGAAGCAGGACTTTCAGGGACAATGATTCAGTAGCTATGAGACTGCAGTGTGAGAGAGTAAATGAGCAAAGACTAAGATACTACTGGATTCAAAACTGCAAATGACACAGATGAGCAAACATGGAAGGCAGTGCCTGATGAGTCAGCAACAACAAAGTGTTAACAGAGAGCTAGTGTTCAAATAAGATGAAACGCTCACACCTCTGTAGGAGTGAGGAATACAAGGCTTCCTTATTGTTGGTCTCTAGGGTCAGCCTCATGTTCCTGGAGACACTGCCACTGTGCTGTCTCCTGTGTGGAGTGTGGGCGTAGACAGTGAACACGTGAGCAAGTGAATGTGTAATATAGCCACTTTGAATCATTTTATCTGGATGAACCCTTCAAATAATTTTCATGTCTCAGGGAAACTGCACAAAAATTTTCATATCTGCAGCTCGTGGTGCTTTAGCAGGGTCAGTAATTTGTAGGTATGATAATCCAAGAATGATTGTCAATGGTCTTTTGAATAGAGAATGCAGTTTTCCTGGGGATCCATTTATTTTGGCCAACCTATTAACCTACTCATTTTGTTTGTTCCCCCTCTCCACCAAGCATATAAACCCCACAAAGCAAATCAGTAGTTGTAGGTAGATGACACTCAGTTTTTCTTTCCTGTTAAAAAAAATTACCTGTTTGATTGTGTGTGTGTACATGTGTGTATGTGTGTGCTTTCACCTTATCCAATTAGGCCTATGTATTTGTTTCCAATTGCTGCTGTAACAAATTACCACAAACTTAGTAACTTAAAACAACCCTAATTTATTATTGTGCTATTCCGGAGACTAGAAAATCAAAATGGGTTAGTAGGGCTGCATTCTTCTGGAGGCTGCAGAGAAGAATCAATTTCCTTGCCTTTCCCAGCTTCTAGAGGCTGCCTGCATTCCTTGGCAGTGGACTCTTCCTCCATCTTCAAATCTTGCATCTTAACATCTTCAAATCATTCTCTCTCCCTCTCTTCCAACCCCAGCTTTTCTGCTCTTTCCTATAACAACCCTTGTGATTACATTAGGCTCACCTGGACAATCTGAGCTACTCTTTATATTTTAAGACCCTAAATTCAAATCAATCTGTTAACTCTCTTTTGCCTTGTAAGATAACATATTAATAGATTCCAGGCATTAAGATGTGGACAACTTTGGGGGCCATTATTCAGCCTACCACAGCCTAAAAGTTTTATCACAAATTTTTATGGGACAAAAAACTGATATGGTGTGTACAAGAGTAGTTTCTTCTTATTTAGAGAAAAAATGACTTTTCAGCAAAACTTTTTCTTTCATTCTTTTTTTTTTTTTGAGACAGGGTCTCACTCTGTCACCCAGACTGGAGTGCAGAGGCGCGATCAAGGCTCACTACAATCTCTGCCTCCCAGACTCAAGGGATTCTCCTGCCTCAGCTTCTGGAGTAGTGGGGATTAAAGTCATGTGCCACTACCGCCTGGCTAATTTTTGTATTTTTAGTAGAGATGGGGTTTTACCATGTTGGCCAGGCTGGTCTTGAACTCCTGACCTCAAATGACCCACCCACCTAGGCCTCCCAAAGTGCTGGGACTACAGGTGAGCCACCGTGCCTGGCTGAAACTTTCTTGAAAAATATAGGCAGTTAAGTTTAGATTACTTTACTTAAAATTAATTTCTTTCCATTCATAAATTTTTAAAGCTCATGAGACAAACGTAATAAATTTCTGCTAAATATCTGTCTTAAGCCAAAATGGGATTTAATTTCCTAAAGGTAGACTGTGTAGACTTAATTTAAATACAAGCTGTAAATTAATTTTAATTAATGTTTTCAACTTGAACATTGATGATGTTGAATAGTAAAGCGCCTAAAGCCATAACCCAAACAATATGAATAAAATATAGTCTAAGACAGTTTTAGTCAGGATTTTGAAGAAATAATTTGCTACTGATTGACATGATCAGGCTTAAATATAGTTACAAAATTATTACAAACGTATAGAGTTACAAAATTATTATACACATGTTGGTTTTGTGGTTTCTTTTATAGGTCTGTATATGTACAAAGCATTATTTTTGAAAACAAAAGCAAAGAATGATATGTACCTCTTTAATATGATACTTGTAAAAATGTGATACTTACGTTTGAGTATTTGCTGCATAATCAATTCACTGTTGAGATAAGCATACAAATTTTGTTTTTGAATGAAATGAGATTATTTTTATCCTTGCTCTTGACATTTGTTTTCTTTTTGTATTAGCCTGCCCTTGCATTACTGTAAAGAAATACCTGAGGTTGGGTAATTTATAAAGAAAAGAGGTTTAATTGTCTCACAGTTGTGCAGGCTGTACAAGCATGACTCTAGCATCTACTTCTGGTGAGGGCCCCAGGAAGCTTCCAATCATGAAATAAGGCAAAGGGGAGGCAGACATCTCACAAGGCTAGAGCAGGAGCAAAAGAGAGGGGGGAGGAGCCACACACTTTTAAACAACCAGATTTCAGGAGAACTCATTCACTGTGGTAAAGACAACACTGAGCCATTCATGAGGATCCACCCCCATGACACCACTCACCAGGCCTCACCTCCAACATTGGGGATTACATTTCCACATGAGATGTGGGTAGAACAGACATCCAAACCATGTCACCTTTCTTTCATTCTCTCCCTTCTTCCCTTCCTTCCTTTCCTTCCTCCCACCCTCCTTCCCTCTCTCTCACCTGCCTGCCTGCCTGCCATCCTCCCTCCCTTCCTCCCTTCCCCCTCCTCCCTTCCTTCCTCCCTCCCTTCCTTCCGTCCCTCCTTCCTCCCCCTCTCTCCTCCCTCCCTCTTTTCTTTCCTTCTTTCCCTTCCTTCCTTCCTTTTCTTTTCTTCTTTTCTTTTCTTTTTTCTTCTCTTTCTTTCTTTCCTTTTTTCTTTTTTGCTCTTTTTCTTTCTTTTCCTCTTTCTTTCTTTTCCCCTTCCTTCCTCCCTCCCCCTCCCTCCTTCCCTTTCTTTCTTTTCCTTTTCTTTCTTTCCTTTCTTTCTCTTTCTCTTTCTTTGTTTCTTTTCCTTTCTTTCTCTCTCTCTCTCTCTTTCTTTCTTTTCCTTCCTTCCTTCCTTCCTCCCTCCCTTCCCTTCCTTTTTTCCTATTGTGTCACTTATTTCAACCAGAAAGTGAAATGACTCAGAAGACTATAATTCTTTGTTGTTAACCTTATGCAAACTCTCCCTATAGGTCTAGAATCGACATCTTCTATCTCTCGTTTTCAAACATCACCACATTGGATTATCAGTCATGTTTACCAAAAAACGGCTAATAAAATAGAAAACATAAGATCATAATAAACAAATAAACAAATAAATAAATAAGAAAGGAGCCAAGACTACAGAAACATCCAATTCAATCTACCTACACAATCCATGAAACATTTACAATAACCGCAAATTAACAAGCTGAGTTATGGTGCATAGAAAGTTCTTCTTCAGAATACAAACTTCCCTCTGATTTTCTTTTGCACTAGTGGAGTTATTTTTTTCTTCCCTTGGTCACTTGGTATGTGTAAGGGGTTGTTGAATGTAGTTCTGAAGAACTCCTGCTATGTGCAACTCTGTGCTCAATAATTATTAATGGCCACCTGTAATTCAAATAGAAAATTAAAAGAGAATCCAATCAAATGAAATGGTCTTACTCTATAATGCCAGATGGGCTGAAAGACTGCTAAAAAAAACTTCTAACAGGGCTGCTTGGTCATCATCCATTACTATGAGTGTTAGAATTCCAAGGCATGAAAAATTTAAAAATCAGTGTTTACTTTTCTCATTTATGTCTCTTGTAGAATCCCTAGCAACATGTTATAGACTCCTGGGATTCTGTAGAGCCCCAGTGAAGAAACTCTGATAAGTGATGAAGAATACACCAAGATAAGGTGGGTAGATTGTGCTGGCAGGTAATGAGAGTTGCTATGGACAACTACGTCAAAAATAAATCATGAAGAAAAAAGTGGCAAGTGATGGAGAGTGAGCACATCGTATCTCTTTTTATACAAATGGCATTGCATTTGGAGGCAGAAATACATCTTGCTTTTGCAGTTGAGGATTGTATTGAACACATGGTTATAGTGATACATTTGAGTGCCATGCTTATGTCCACTCTTTCCTGAAATCCCATTAAATGACAGTAAAGGAATAAAGAACATTAAAAAGAATGAAAGAGGTTATAACACCAAATGAGAGTTGGCAACAAGGCTGGGTGCAGTGGCTCACGCCTATAATCCCAGCACTTTGGGAGGCCAAGGCAGATCACGAGGTCAGGAGATCGAGACCATCCTGGCCAACATGGTGAAACTCCATCTCTACTAAAAATAGAAAAATTAGCTGGGCGTGGTCATGCGTGCCTGTAGTCCCAGCTAACTCAGGAGGCTGAGGCAGTTGAATCGCTTGAACCTGGGAGGCAGAGGCTGCAGTGAACCGAGATCATGCCACTGCACTCTAGCCTGGGCGTCAGAGCAAGACTCTGTCAAAAAAAAAGAAGGAAAGAAAGAAAGAAAGGAAATTGGCAATGAAAATTTGAAAGACAGAATTCTGGCTGGCTCTGGAACTCTTCCTATGCTCTTCTGGCTTAGCAGGACATAGGAAGATGAAACCTGATGACATGCAAAGAGAGAAGTCAACAAGAAAAACAGTAACTAACACTGCACATTCCCAGAAACTGGAGGCAGCAGCAGGTATCTCCGAAGAAAGGTGAGAGTGAGGCTGAAACGAAAGGATAGGCTAAAAATATGTATAAAGAGCGTGTGTTATTTGGCTATTACTATATAACAAACCACCTCAAAATGTAGTATCTTAAAATAACAAGCACTTTTCTAGCTCACAAATATTCTGGTCACCAGTGGGCTGGATGTGAGGTCATCTGCCAGGTTGGGTGAGTGGCCTTGTTGATTGTGGCTTGGCTTTCTCACATCTCTGGGGCTTTGGCAGGTGCATTTAGGCTGACTCAGCTCTGGTCTGTGTGGTCTCTGTCTGGTCCTCCAACAGGCTTATTCATTAGGCAGAGGCAAGGTACCAAGAGAATGGGTAGAAGCTTAAACTACTTCTTGATGACTAGGCTCTAACTGGTATCTAACTCAGTCATTTTCCCCCTACATTCTAGTGGTGAAAGCAAGTCACAAGACCAGCTCAGATTCAAGGGTTGGGGAAATAACTCTATATCTTCACGAAAGGAGTTAAAAAATCATATTGCAAAGGGTATGGATACAGGGAGGAGAGAAGTATTAATATTTTTGTTATCAATTGTAAGGAAGCCCTCAGATTATTTTTTCTTCCCTTCCTTCATAATTAGACCTGGACACAATTGACATTTGAAAAAGTATTCAAAGAACAAGCATAATAATCAGAAATTAATATAATACAAAAATTTTAAAACTTTAATAACAAATTTGCTAATGAAGTTGAAAAAATCCATTGTATTGTTTTTTTCTGTTGCTGGATAACAAATTGCTGCAAGTCTACTGGCCTAAACAACACACATTTTTATCTTTTTATCTTTTATCTTTTTTTTTTTTTTTTTTTGAAACAGGGTCTCACTCTGTCACCCAGGCTAGAGTGCAGTGGTACAATCGTGGCTCACTGCAGCCTTGACCTCCCTGGGCTCAGGTGATCCTCCAGCCTCAGACTCCTGAGTAGCTGGGACAACAGGCATGTGCATGACATTTTATCTTAGTTTCTGTGTGATGAACCTTCAGGCATAGCTCAGCAAGGCTCTCTGCTTGCAGGTCACCCAAGGCTACAATTTAGTTTCCAAATGGGGCTGCAGTCTCATCAGAGACTGAACTTGGGAAAGAGCTGATTCCAAGCATATTTAAGTTGTTGGCAAAATGATTTCCTTATCGTTGTGTGGCTGTGGGCCCCATCTTTTTAGCTGGCTGTCAGCTGCAGGCTGCCTTCAGATCCTAGAGGCTGCCTACCCTACCTAGAGACCACTTACTGTTGCTTGCTAAATGAGCCTCTTCAGTGTGGCTGCTCACTTTATCAAGCCACCAAGGATAATCTCCCTTTCAAGTTAGCTAAGACAGAGTCTTATAGAACACAATGTGGTGATACTCCATCAACATTGCAATGTAATATAACTTAATTAGGGATGAGAGCTAGATTCTTATCTTCTGTTGAAGGAAGATAATATCAAGAAATAAGTTGAACATATTATTTGGAGATATGGGGGTATTTTAAGGTTCTCCAGAGAAAGAGCCAATAGGGTGTGTGTGTGTGTGTATGTGTATGTATGTGTGTGTGTATAAAGAGACTGATTATAAGGAATTGGCTCACACAGTTATGGAGGCTGAAAAGTCCCCAAATCTGCAATTAGTAAGCTGGAGACTCAGGAGAGTCGATGATATAGTTCCAGTCTGAGTCCAAAGTCCTAAGAACCTGGAGAGCTTATGGTATAAGTTCCAGTCCTAGTGATGGCAGGCTGGAGACTCAAGAAGATCCAAGGTCAGTTTGGGTCTGAAGGCAAGAAAAGACCAAAGTCCCAGCTCAGGCAGTTAAGCAGGAGGACTCTTCTTTTATTCAGCTTTTTTGTTCTATTCATTGAGATATAATCCACAAACCACATTATTTACCAATTTAAAGTGTATAATACAATGGCTTTTAGTATAGTCATAGAGTTGTGCAAATATCACCTCAGTCTAATTTTAGGACATTTTCAGTGTCTTACAAGTAAACTTTATAGCCATTAGCAGTCACTATTTGACTTTTCTTTATTTTTTCCATTTTAATTCTTTTTAAACCTGCCCCCAACCCCACTATTTGACTTTTAGAAAATTATTTTTAAATTAAAAACATTTTAATTGTCATGAAGTACACGAAACATAAAATTTACCTTATGGTTTGGTTTGAATATTTGTGTCTCCTCTAAAATTCATACTGAAATGTAATCGCCAATATGATAGTATTACAAGGTGGGGGGCTTTTAGTAGGTGATTAAGTCATGAAGGTAGAGCCCCTGTGGATGGGATTAGAGCTCTCATAAAATGGCTTGAGGGAGTGAGTTTGCTCTCTTTTGTTCTTTCACCATGTGAGGATACAGCCTTTGTCCCTTCTGGAGGAAGCAGCATTCAAGGTGCCATCTTGGAAGTAGAGACCAGGTCTTCACCAGACACAAAACCTGCTGGTGCCTTGAGCTTGGCCTTCTCAGCTTCTAGAACTGTGAGAAATAAATTTCTGTCCTTATAGGTTACCCACTCTCAGTTATTTTGTTATACCAGCACAAGCAGACTAAAACAGACACCATCTTGACTATTTTTAAGTGTCCAGTAGTGCTAAGTATTTTCACACTGTTATCTAATCAATCTCTAGAACTTTTTCATTTTGCAAAACTGAAACTCTAGATCTATCAAACAGCTCTTCATTTCCCCCTCCAGCCCTGACAACCATCATTCTAATTCCTGTTTCTATGAATTTGACTACTCTAGATGCTTCATGTAAGTGGAGTTATACAGTATTTTTTTTTTTTTTTGAGATGGAGTTTCACTCTTGTTATCCAGGCTGGAGTGCAATGGCACGATCTCGGCTCACTGCAACCTCCACCTCCTGAGTTCAAGCGATTCTCCTGCCTCAGCCTCCTGTGTAGCTGGGATTACAGGTGTCTGCCACCATGCCTGCCTAATTTTTTTAGTTTTTTTTTTTTTTTTTTTTTCAGTATAGATGGGGTTTCGCCATGTTGGCCAGGCTGGTCTCGATCTCCTGACCTCAGGCGATCCGCCTGCCTCGGCCTCCCAAAGTGCTGGGATTACAGGCATAAGTCACTGTGCCCGGCCCAATACAGTATTTTTTTGTGACTGGCTTATTTCACTTAATATAATGTCCTCAAGATTCATCCATGTTGTAATATGTGTCAGAATTTACTTCTTAAAGGCTGAATAATATTTCACTGTACATACATACCACATTCTGTTTATGTATCCATCTGTTCATGAACATTTGCATTGCTTCCATCACTTAGCTTTTGTGAATAATGCTATGAGCATGGGTATACAAATATCTCTTTGAGCCCTTGCTTTCATTTCTTTTAAATATATGGCCAAAGTGGAATCATTAGATCATATGGTAATCCTAGTTTTAATTTTTTGAAAAACTGCCACACTGTTTGCCAATGTGCTGTACTATTTTACATTTCCATCAATAGTACACAAAGTTTCCAGTTTCTCCAGATTTTCCCTAACACTTGTTATTTTCTTTTATAAAAATAGTAGATATCTTAATGAATGTGAGATGATATCTCATCATGGTTTTTATTTATATTGTTTTAATGATTAGTGATGTTGAACATCTTTTCATATACTTGTTGGTATATTTTATTTGAAGAAATGTCGATTCAAATTCTTTGCCCATTTTCAGATTGAATTATTTATTTCTTATTGTTGTTGAGTTGTAGAAGTTCTTCACATATTCTGGATATTAATGTCTTATCAGATATATGATTTGCAAATATTTTCTCCCATTTTGGAGATTGCCATTTTACTCTGTTTATTGTGTTCTTTGATGCACAGAAGTTTTTCATTTCGATGTGTTCAACTTATCTATTTTTCTTTTGTCTTTGTTTTTGGTGTCATATCCAAGAAACCATTGCCAAATCCAATGTCATGAAGACCACCTTATGTTTTCTTCTAAGAGTTTTGTATTTTAGGTCTTATGTTTAGGTCTTAGATAAATTTTAAGTTAATTTTTGTATGTGGTGTAAGGCAAGAGTCCAACTTCATTCCTTTACAGGTACTATTTGATTTTTAAAAATATCTGTATATATTACTTTGATAGAAATGAAAAATCACACACTTTAAAAGGGAAAGAAATATAAGCAATGTATTTTTTGTGTGTACACAAATGTGCTAGGATTTGAAACTCCAGTTCATTTTATGTGACTTCTTCTTTCATAGTCCTTAGATTATTGTGGAGCTGGTGGTAGTAAAGCTTTAAGTAAAGTATTCAATGTCTGATGACCTTATCTTAAATATTTTATTCAATATTTAAAAAATGAGGATCTAAAACTTTTCCGTTTTGGGTATAAAGGCTTTTAAAAAGAATCCCAAACTGCTCCCTACACCTTACTCTCATAATGTTTCTCAATTTTTTAGGCCCTTGATATTATAATTTCATCACTGCTAAAATAAACAAATGAACAAAAATAGATTATAAAATTTGCTTTAGCTGGGCATGGTGGTTCACAGCCATAATCTCAGTACGTTGGGAGGCTGAAGTGGGAGGATGGCTTGAGACCAGGAGTTCAAGACCAGCCTGAGTAACATAAGGAGACCCTGTCTCCACACACGCACACACAATTTAAAAAATTAGCCAGTACGAGGGTGCACACACATAGTCTTAGCTACTCAGGAGGCTGAGGTGGTAGGATTGCTTGAGCTCAGGAGTTCGAGGCTGCAGTGAGCTATGATTATGCCACTGCACTCCAGTCTGGGCAATCGAGTGAGACTCTGACTCTTAAAAAAAATACTTTAAATTATATGAAATGGGAATAAAATATTATTTGCTAATTAATAAAACCTAACAAGTTATTTTACAAATTATTAATAGCTTTTTCTCTATATAATTATAATTCTCAAATAAGTGGGTGGGAGGAAGAACTGGGAAAAAGGAGGAGGAAGAAAGTGGGAGGGAATTAAATGTCTTGCATACAGAAATCACTATTCCCTATCCTTTCAAGAAGGATTGAGTTATTTTTCCTAAATGATTTTCCAGAAAGGATATCTTAAATATTTTAAAAAATTTGTTGCAAAAAGAGCTCTGATTTTTCTGAATGTAATTTCTCTTTAAAAAGCCAGTGAAATGTGTTTTAGGCCAAAGGAAAAGAAAATTGTTGTTGTTTCTACTATGTTGGTGGCAGAACTCAGGAGACTGCATATAAATCTTTTCTTTAATGCAAAATTTTATTGCAAAGCTTTATGCCTAAAATCTAGACAATTACACTCCAGGATTTCTACTAATGAATACCACATGTTAGACTCAATAACTTCAGCTTCGGGGTGGAGAATACTGTGTTAAAGCTATTCAGATAATAAATAGCTATCTAGGTCCATTTCAGCTGGAGCAAGTCAACTGTATTGAATGTGAGTGAAACATTAATTCTTTATAAGAACATACCCAATTGGCAGACACTTTGACATGTAATATACATTAGTTCACCATTCTGCCCCCGTGGAATCATTTTATCCTTTGCTCGAGTCTGCACTTATATGCATGCCTATCTCCAATCTCCTGAATCTGTCTTTGGGGTATCACTTACATGTACTTAAAAAACATACATTTTTAAGCAGACACATGAATGAGAATGGTTCTAGTTTTTTTGAAAGTGTTAGTTTGTCATTATTTCTGTTTGTTCTGCAAATATCACATGGCTTCTTCCTCCCTCTGGGACCATGCCTGGGTTCACCTTCTCTGTCCTTGTGACTTTGATAACAATCCCCACCTTCTTCTTTTCTAAAGTCTTATAAAAACAAAGGAAAGAGAATATTACATGTTTGTATTGGACACAGAGGGCAGCTGGAGCTTGTTCTGGGGCTGTGGAATTTAAAAAAAAATCAAGAAATGAAAATGGAGAGGCTGATCTTTCTCAGAGAGGGCTGCCACGCTATAGTGGTTATTCTCATGGGACAAAGTCTTGCTTTTGAAAGCCAACCTTGGGAAGCAGCAACAGGAAATGCAGAAAGGAATAAATCTGTCAGACTCATTTTCCTTTCTGTTTTACAGAGGAGTTGTTTTTGTTTTCTTCCCCCTCCTCTTGGATGGAAGCCAAATTTCCTTGTGACTGGTATGAATCCCTTAACCAGAAACAGTGAGTGGCTGAGGTGGGGGACAGAATGCAATGCTTTCCAGGTCCTGGCGGAGACACTTAACTTTCTCTAGCTGCAATGATGAGGGAACTTTCAGACTTTCATAATGTAGTTATCTCTTTATATAGCATTTCTATCATTTTTAAAAATCATGTTATTGTAAATGAATTTCATTTTGTTCCAATTTTGAAAT
This sequence comes from Homo sapiens, assembly GCF_000001405.40. Lineage (NCBI taxonomy): Eukaryota > Metazoa > Chordata > Mammalia > Primates > Hominidae > Homo > Homo sapiens. Next base: position 149,987,204 of record NC_000004.12, on the reverse strand, counting down.
ACATACAAACATATATATGTGCACACACATACAAACACACACACAGAACAGTCTTTGTGCCTCCAAGGATCTCTTGAGGCTGCCTGCTCCGGAGGGACAGGAGAGGTCAAGTGAAGGTCCAGCCCACCCATTCTTATTCCCTCCCCTTCAGAACAACGCCAGAGGTTACTTGTTTTGTTTGTTTATGCTTCTGCGTGACATTTTAAAGGACAGTAGATTCCAAGTCATGTCTCCTTCCCTGTTTGAAAACATTTATGCTACACCAAGCTTAGCAATAATTCAGGTAGCAGATCCTTGCCTTTCACAGAATGAGTCTTTGCTTTGATGCTTCTCTCCTTTGTTAGGAGGCCTGTGGTCATTTGAAATTTTGCTGAAACACAAATTTGAATTTCAAGTACTGGGAGCCTTGTTGGGATCTAGTGAGAGAACCTACTTTAAAATATAGATTCTGTATCTCATCTTAGCTTTGTTTTTTATGATAACCTAGGTGGGTCTTGCCTTCAGGTCAGGGGTTGGTAAATTTTTTTCTATAAAGGGCCAGATAGTATTAATAAATATTTTAGACTTTGCAGGCCTCATAGGAACTCTATTGAATATTCTTTTTCTTCTTCGTCTTCTTTTTTTTTTTTTGCAACTCTTAAAAAATGTAAAAATTATTCTTCTCTGGAGGGAGGGTTTTAAAGAACAGTCCGGAGGGGCCGTATTTGGCTCATGGTCATAGTTTGTCAGCTCTGTTTTAGGTAATACTATCCTTACTTTAAGATTAATCATCATTGCTCAGAGAAGGGAAGTAATTAATCCAGGTAACACAGCTTACAGTGAGGCAAACCTTGGCTTGTTTGATACCAAGTTTATTTGTTTTCCACTATAACATATATTATAATCAATTTCTTAAAGGATTTCCTTCCATATTTCTCAGAAAAGTAGAGACATCAGATTTTTTTTTCATTATCATTTTCCTTGAACCTGTTACTACAAGAAACACATTCAAAGGAATGGCCTCATTTCTCAGAAACATGATTAAAAACGAATGTGAAACAGAATATAGAACCTACGTTAGGTACCAAAATTTTTGTCTTGAATTGTCAGCCAACGAAGATGATTCTAACAAATGTGGCTCGGAATAAAGTCACTTTTAAGTAAATTGCATTCAATCAACATTTAAAAAAAATTTTTAAAAAGCACATTCAACAATATTAAATAAAAATTCCCAAGAAGCAGGTTAAGGAAGAAGCATGACATGGTATCTGGGGTGCCTCCCTGAAACACTAGACTCCAGTCTAAGCTTAGGAGTTCTTATAGTCCACTTGTTTCCAGGGCATAAGATGAGGAAACTGAGGCTGTTTCCTGAACCTACTTATTTGTTCTGTTCTCTGTAAGTGGGAGACAGTATTGCTCAGTGGTTCAAAGCCTGCCTGACCTGGGCTTGCTTCCTGGCTCTATATTATGTAACAGTTGTGTGTCATTGGGCAAATTACTTAAACATCTATGCATTCTCCTATGTAAACTGGGACAAGAGTAGTGTATGCCTTATATTCTATGTAGATGAAATGAGATGATGTATGAAAAGCACTTGGCAGTAATTGCAAAGGTGTCAGCCATTATTGCTATGGTGGTTAACATCTCTTTTTCCCAACGAGTACACAGGAAGGCCTTGTAGGCTAGGGTGCTTCAGATAGGCTGTTTAGCTCCATTGTCTGCTTGACTTCCAAATATAGTTTCACTTTTTATTATTACTTTTTGTTATTGTTTTTGGATTATCCTAACCTCCGTGTTCTGTGGTCTCAAGACCATAACGATCTCCTCTATGCCCAGTCCCAGTTCCTGCCCTTCCAGAGGGGAGGGGAATTCAAACAAGAATAGTACACAAATGACACAACTGAGAACATGTAGCCAGGCTGTGCTAGCCAGCAGAGTGTGGCATAATGGATATAGGAAGTGGGAAGAGTGTTCTAGAAATAATGTATGTGATGAATTGAAGCTGGGTGAAATGGTAAGACTGGAACTGAGAGGCCGTTTTAACAATTTAGATTCTAGAGCAGAGTTTCTCCAACTTGCCAAGTCATAAGCACTACCTGAGGTGCTTATTGAATGTACAGCTTCCTAGGCTGTAGTATAGAGACCTATTGAATAGAACTAGGAAGGAAAAGCCTGGAATCTCTAGTTTGAGCAAGTTTCTCAGGTGACTTATGATTATGAGCTTTGGAAATACTGTACCAAAGCAAATGGTAATGTAATCAGACTGAGACACAAGGATGAAAACTGCTCCCATTAACTTTTAGTCATAACAGCTGCTACTTCAGTGGCCTTCAGGTGAAGCAGTTGCTAGGAGACCATTGTGGTATCTCGAAGCTTTGGGATCCTGTACGAGGTATTTCTGCGCTTCTGCTCTTTGGACAGATAGACTCTTTCTCTGTGTATTTGTAATACTGTGGTTTTAATCAGTTGCTTTTGTACATTAGAATCACATGGGAAACTTAAAGAACACTGATTCTTCAACTCCATTCCGCACCAATTAAAGTGGAACCTTTTCAGTTAGATTCTTGACTTTTTTTAAGTTCCCCAGTCATTCCAATGTGTGGCCAGGACTGCGCATAACTGCACCCAGCACCTTGTGCATATTTCTTGTATTTCAGTTATTATTTTTAAAATGAACTATATTAAGATATTTTACATGCAATTTGTTCTAGTTGTTTTTACGCTCTAACAATTGGTCAGGAGTTCAAAACATGTGCTCCTGGTTAACATTAGCTCGGAGGTGGGAGTAACTGTGAGAATAAATGGTGCTTGTTCTTCCCTCCCTCTATCGTGATTATACAACCCAGGATTAGGATAGTGGCTTTAGAAGTGTTTTCAAAACAGAAAAGCCCTCTCTTGAGAATCACTGGAAGTGAGATTCTGGATATTCCTCCATCCTCTGGGTCCTCACAAGGCTGCTGAGGCACTGTAGGAGAACCTCAGGCATTGCAGGAGGGAACTTTCAGACATGGCCAGAATCTTCCTCCGTGAAAAGTAGAAGGCTCTAGGACATAGCACCCCCTCCCTGTATTTTGCCTACCAAGGGGATCCGGCCAGGCCTCTGGGACAGTCCTTGAGTAATCAAGTACCGGTCACTTCTGTTCTGTGTTCTGTTATCCACTTTCTGGCACCAAGAAGCCCTCTGAGGGATTCAGGTTTGTTAAGCAATGACTAAAGATGTCACAACAGTTAAACCATTAGGGTTTTTATGAAAAAATGGGCCCTCAAATGGTGATGTCACTTAAAAATAATATAACATTTGAAATATCTAGATGGCTGGAGACTATACTTTTTCCTCCTGATATATTGATTTTTTAAAAATCTTTAACTTTATCCATTGGGACTGACTTATTGATTTTCTAGGACACTGGGTACTTTGTAGCAAAGAGTATAATCATACTCAAAGGTTGGGTGGCACTTATAATCATGTCCTTCGGAAGGCTGGAAATATTAACACCAAATCCACTTTAACTGAAGAAACAGGAGACACTGAGTTAGGAAAACTAATGTCAAAGAGGTTAATACTGCCTCACCCAGCAGATTCACACACAGGTCTGCCTGCTTAATGGACCAGGGTTAGCAACTGTCACATTGAGAGAAAGCAGAAACAACATGTACATTTTAACTTGGATGTTTTGGTCATAAAACTTATAGCTGAGGCAACTTTCTGTTAACTGTGATTAATATTATAGCTTCTCTTTGTCCTTTCTACCAAAATGGTCTCCATCATGAGTCAATGATTTTCTGTCAATAATTTTCTTTTACAATGATCTTGTTTTAGCTGCGAGTTGTAGTTACTTTAACATCCTTTATGCCCCATGTTGTTGCATACTTTCTGGGGTGATGAGGCAGCTGATTTTGTTTACGTTGAATTTTGGGAAAAGCTAGAACATGTCAAAATTGAGATATGAAAAACAGGTTTTAGGTTTCAGATGTTGAATCGGTCAGCCGACCTTCTCTGGTAAACCCAATGCAAAGTGTATTCTGATTTCATTTTTCACTCTTTCTCACACTTTCTATATCCCCAAGATTTTTGCAAATGGAAATTCAAAAGGTAGTATTTATTTCATAATAGAAGGTTTTCAGCATAATCAGTCCCAACATGGCAATGTACTCTCTCCCTCCTTATCTCTGGCATACAGGCCTGCCTTTGCTTTACGTTCAGTAAAAATATTGATAATGATTACAGCTGTGCTTATGTGCCCAGTCCTATTTTAAACTCTTTGCATATGGAGTTCTTAGTTTCTATAATGAATAATACTTTAAATACCTGAAAATGATTGTATCCATTTGTCCCTTAAATCTTATTCCTTTTTAACCTTTAACTTCTAGTCGAGGCTAAACTATGAGGCTTACTGTTCCAGGTAAGAAAAATGTCATACTATACAGAACAAAGAGGTAACAGTATATTTCCTCACTGTTTTAGGTGGAGTGGGGGAGGGTCTTGAAAGTTGGGCTTTTTGGAGAGAGATGGGATTTAGAAAGCCCCAAGACCCAACTTTTGGTATCAAGAGTCAGCTCTAGTTGAATAAAGTAGTCCTAAAGTCATGATTGGCTCTAATAGCTGAGCAGTGAGTGTAATGCCCCTGGAAGAAGTGAAGATGATACTAGGAAGTGCAAGGTAGGGAGGAAGAGGAAGTAGAAAGCCTGTGCCTTTATATATGGTGGTCAGACTAGGAGGAGAGGGAAGGAAGGAAGGAGGCAGGGAAATGGTCAGATCCAAGCATATCATGGCTTCCCTGCAAACATCCCAGGGTGGTTTTGTGTGTGTGTGTGTGTGTATGTGTGCAAGTGTGTGTAGACACTACAGAGATCGAAGGCAAAGGCCAAACACAAAGAGGTTTTTGTCTCCTTTTGCATTTGGCACTCCAAGAGCAGAGCAGCCACCCCACGGTGAAATTCAGGGTGTAACTTGGTTAAGCAGAGGAAGAGCCTGAGTTTGGCCCCTCCTTGGAGACTCCTTGACCTCCTTGACATGGGGCAAAAGGCATCTCGATGTCTCTGCTTGTCTCGGGGAGGGTGAGGAAGGCTGGGAATCTTACCAAGGTCGTAGATGCAATGGGGGTAAAATGATGTTGAAACCAAAGGGTGCTGGGAGGACCATTTGTACTGGGAATCAAAGCCTGATCTCAGGGGTAATGTTCAGCTGAGGAAAAATCTGGGGCTGGTGTTGTGAAACCAGTAGGAAGGCCCTCAGGACTCCGAGGAGATGAAGAGAGAATGGATGTCAGCTGTGGATGTCAGCAGGGTAAGTCTGACCAGGTTCATAATATACACACTTCCCTTGAGGCCAGCAAGGACCTGGAGAATGCCCCAAGGTCTCCAGGAAGGGCCAAGTTTTCTTCCCCCCATCTCAAGAGGCCACTTTAGGGAGGAGAAGGGGCAGGGGAGGAAATTCTGAAAGACTGAGCTTTTACCTGAAAAGAGCTTTAGCAAACTGGAAACAGACTGCTTAATGAGAAGTGACTGGCTGGTATTTCTCAGCAGGTTTAAAGTTTTCCTGTATCCACAAGGAAAATCCCTAGATAAGAGAAAAATAAAGACACTATATGTTCTGTGCCTATCTTAGTGTAGTGTGACTAAGTCACGGCCCACTACAATTTTATAATACAATAGAACAAACAGAAGAAACAACCTTAGAAATTTGTTTCAAGGACAGATACAGGTCGATATTACTCAATATTGATGATTTAGACAGTCAAGAAAGGTTGGAACTTCTTCAGATGCTATATTTGTGTCTTTCAATTTATACATTCATTTTAGAGGTTGTTATAGATGTTAAGACATGGAATATATTACCCAGCTCCTTCCTTTTGTGCCTCCTAATACTTCTGCAAGTGTTCTACATCTTTGTCCCTTCCCCAGAGAGGGGTATGTCATTAAGCATGGGAAACAGGCTTTCCACTGCAGTGACCACATTGCGGGGCCTCACAGGAAAAAGTTCCTTTTGAACACACTTAATAAATGACTCTGTGAGACAGGACATCAGGAAAGATCCCACATATGTAACAGCAGATGATAAATTCTGGTAATTTACATCCATAGGTCACTCTGAGGACATTTCTGATTTATGACTTCGAACTGAGAAAAATCTAACTCAATTCAGAATCTCAGTAAGGCAGAAGCGAAGTAGCGCTCATGTCTGCCATCTGGCGAAAGTGAGCGGTAAATACAACTGTGTCTTCAGGACTGAATGCAATTACCTTGTCACTTTGTAAATATTCTTCCTGATGCCTTCTGTTAATATTCTCAGATTCACAGAAAAACAATTATTTGAATTCTAAGTTCTGTGATGTAAGAAGTTCCCATGTGCATTTTATTTTGCAGTCAGACTGTTTTTTAAATTCATGTTTACTAATAGGCCCTTGGAAACAGGAGGGGCTGAAGGAGCAGAAAAAAATAAGAATGATTTTCTCATGCTGATATTTTCCTCTTGACAATTAACTTCTCTTTTGAATGAAACATTGTGGGAGTGAAGGAAGAAGCAAAATGAAAGAAGCAGAAATATTTCTGGGAGGTGAGAATCAGGTTTGGGTGTATAGCACAACAGAATTCAGGCTCACGTCTGGAAACCCCTGTTCCGGTTCTCCAGAGACTGAGGGGCTTCCCAGGATGTGGGATTTTTGGTGCTAAAACGGGGAAAGTCCTGGGCAAACGAAGATGAGCTGGCCATCCTAGGTCAGAGTCTCAAATAAGGTACGCTTATGGAACCATTTGGTTTCAAACTGAGAAGGCACACGAGCAGAGGATATATGCAGATATTTTCTACTTTCTGTTGTCACTTTTTCTGTGCTTACTTTCAGCAGATCTTTTCATAAGAGTATGAGAAAACCACTTTCCGAGACACTGGGAAGCTGGAGGCTGATTTACTATTTGGTGACATCTGGTGCTGACTTCACATTCTTCTGCTGGATAAAGATAGGACCTTACTGAATTTGGTTCAAGAACTAGTAGATCCTAATATTTGTTAAACTTTTAAAAAATAGAAATACATGATTATTTGTATAAGTTGTTTAAGAATAGTGATGTAAGTGTGAGTATAACACAACTTAGGAAGAATTTAACCACAACTGACACTTAGGAAGAATTTAACCATTTCTCAGGCCTACCAGAACTCTGCCAGGGAAATGAGTTACCAGCCTGTGATTCCTGTTAGGGAAGCAAGGGGCCAGGAAAAGATTGAAGATATGCTGCATCTGCCCTGTTCTTAGAAACCATTCTTGCTGCTTAGTTTAAGTTTAGTGTCTTTGGTTAAATAAAGCAAAAACATGCAGTTCATATATTTGCAAATGTGTGTGTATGTCTGTCTCTGTGTGGTCTCTCTTTTCTCAACTTCTAACCCACTTGAATAAGCAATGTGATAAAAATTACAATCATTCGTCTATTTTTGCTACCTAGATTTTTTTTGTTTCCATCTTCTAATTTTTTCCCAAATAGAAAGATGTAAAATGAGAAGGAAAAGCCCCTTTCATATCCAGTCTAGCTCAGTTGAGATAACCTCTGTAACAATTTCTTGCATAACCTTGACTTTTAAAAAAATTTTAAGTTCTAGGATACATGTGCAGAACATGCAGTTTTGTTACATAGGTATACATGTGCCATGGTGGTTTACTGCACCTATCAAATCATCATCTAGGTTTTAAGCTCCACATACATTAGGTATTTGTCCTAATGCTCTTCCTTCCCTTGTCCCCTACCCCCTGACAGGCCCCGGTGTGTGATGTTCCCCTCCCTGTGTCCAGGTGTTCTCATTGTTCACCTCCCACTTATGAGTGAAAACATGTGGTGGTTGGTTTTCTGTTCCTGTGTTAGTTTCTTGAGAATGATGACTTCCAGCTTCATCCATGTCCTGGCAAAGGACGTGAGCTCATTCCTTTATATGGCTGCATAGTATTCCATGGTGTATATGTGCCACATTTTCTTTATCCAGTCTATCATTGATGAGCATATGGGTTGGTTCCAAGTCTTTGCTATTGTAAATAGTGTTGCAGTAAACACATGTGTGCATGTGTCTTTATAGAATAATGATTTATAATCCTTTGGGTATATACCAGTAATGGGATTGCTGGGTCAAATGGTATTTCTGGTTCTAGATTCTTGAGGAATTGCCATACTGTCATCCACAATGGTTGAACTACACTCTCACCAACATTGTAAAAGTGTTCCTATTTCTCCACATCCTCTCCAGCATCTGTTGTTTCCTGACTTTTTAATGATCGCCATTCTAACTGGCATGAGGTGGTATCTCACTGTGGTTTTGATTTGCATTTCTCTAATGACCAGAGATGATGAGCTTTTTTTCATATGTTTGTTGGTTGCATAAATGTCTTCTTTTGAGAAGTGTCTGTTCATATCCTTTGCCCACTTTTTGATGGGGTTGTTTTTTTCTTGTAAATTTGTTTAAGTTCCTTATAGATTCTGGATATTAGCCCTTTGTCAGATGGATAGATTGCAAAAATTTTCTCCCATTCTGTAGGTTGCCTGTTCACTCTGATGATAGTTTCTTTTGCTGTGCAAAAGCTCTTTAGTTTAATTAGATACCATTAGTCAATTTTCACTTTTGTTGCAATTGCTTTCGGTGTTCTAGTCATGAAGTCCTTGCCCATGCCTGTGTCCTGAATGGTGTTGCTTAGGTTTTCTTTTAGGGTTTTTATGGTTTTAGGTTTTAGATTAAAGCCTTTAATCCATCTTGACTTAATTTTTGTATAAAGTGTAAGGAAGGGGTCCAGTTTCTGTTTTTTGCATATGGCTAGCCAGTTTTCTCAAAATCATTTATTAAATAGGGAATCCTTTCCCCATTGCTTGTTTTTGTCAGGTTTGTTGAAGATCGGATGGTTGTAGATGTGTGGTTTACCCTTGACATTTTGATGCATATAAAAGCAGGTCTTTTAAAAACTCACTATGCAAACTATTTTACAACATTTTAAGTGCATCCTGAGTATCTTTATAAATATATTTTTATTCTTTTTTAAAGGCTACATTGTATTCCACTGTGTGAGTGCTGACTACTTTTTTTAAATCAGTCTCCTATTGATACACTATAAGATTGTTTCCAACATTTTTTACTTACAAATAAAACTTCAACAAGTAGCAGTGTATGGAGGTCATTCAACATATGTATAAAAATACTTGTAAGATAAATACCTGGAATTGAAATTGCCAGGTCAAAACACACATGCATTTGTAATTTTGAAAGATATCGGCAAATACTTTCCACAGAGATTGTATAAATTTATACTGTTATTGACAATGTCTGATAAGGACTGTTTCCTATACCTACACCTACACAGTTGCATTTCTTTGCAAATCTTATAGGTGAAAAATAGTATTCTAGTGTAATTTTTAAAAATCAACTTTGTTGAGGCAGGTTTACATATAAAATGAGGGGTCTTCAAAAAGTTCATGGAAAATACATACTATGAAAAAACTATGCATGGATTTCAGAAATTTTTTTTTGCACCAAAACAACCTTGTATTCACTTGTTAAAACATGCCTGAACAGGATCTCGTTTGAGGTACTATGAAGGATGAGATATTTTTTGAAAAGAGCCCCTATCACAGCAACATGAATTCTGCTAAAATTGAAGCAAGACAAACTTCAAATTTATGGTGAAGCTTGGGTAAAAGAATGGCAAAGTCATTAATGCTTTACAAAAAATTTATGAGAACAATGCCCCCAAATAATTCAAGTTTATAAATAAATAGCTCATTTTAAGAAAGGATGGGACAGTACTGAAGATGAAGCCCACAGTGGCAGACCATCCCCATCAAATTGTGAGGAAAAAATTCAACCTATTTGTGCCCGAATTGAAGAGGACTGACAACAGCAGAAACAGTAGGCAACACGATAGACATCTCAACTGGTCCATCTTACACAACTCTGACCAAGAAGTAAAAGTTGAGCAAATTTTCTACTTGAAGGGTGTCAAAACTGTTGTGCTCAGATCAGCTGCAGACAAGAACAGAGCTTTCAATGGAAATTTTCAACAAGTGGGATCAAGATCCTCAAAGATTTCTTCAAAGAATTGTAACAGGAGATGAACCATGGTTTTACCAGTACAATCCTGAAAACAAAGCACAATCAAAACAATGGCTACAAGAGGTGGAACTGTCCAGTCAAAGCAAAAGCAGACCAGCCAAGAGCAAGGGTCATGGCAACTGTTTTTTTTTTTTTTTTTTTTTTTTTTTTTTTTTTTTAATGCTTAAGGTGTTTTGCTCGTTGAATTTCTGGAGGACCAAATAACAATAATATATTTTTATTATGAAAGTGTTTTCAGAAAGTTAGGCAAAGATTTAGCAGAAAAACACCCAGGAAAGCTTCACCAGAGAGTCTTTCTCCACCACAACAATGCTTCTGCTCATTCTTCTCATCAGACAAGGGCAATTTTGCAAGCGTTTTGATGGGACATCATTAGGCATCTGCTTTCCCATCCTGATTTGGCTCCTTCATATTTCTTTTTGTTTTCTAATTTTAAAAAATCTTTAAAGGGCACCAATTTTTCTCTAGTTAATAATAGAAAAAACACTGTATTTATATGATTAAATTCCCAGAACCCTCAATTCCTTAGGGATGGACTAAAGGGCTGCTATCATCACTTACAAAGGTATCTTGAACTTGATAGAATTTATTGAGAAATAAAGTTTATATTTTTATCTTTTAATTTCATTTTACATGAACCTTTTGAAGTCCCCTCATACAATATACCCATTTTACTTGTACATTTTGAAGAGTTCTGAAAAATTTATATCCCTGTGTAACCATCATCATGACCAAAATATGGAATCTTTATAACACCCAAAAGGCTCCTTTCTGATTTATTGTGGTCAACCCTTCCCACTCCATCCTAGGCAACAATTAATCTGCTTTCAGACACTATAAATAGGTTTATGTTTTTCAGAGTTTCATGTAAATGGAATTATACTTTATGCACTCCTTTTTGTCTGGCTTCCTCCATGTGGCGTAGTGTTTATAAGACTCATGCATATTGTTGTATCAGTACTTTATTACTTTTTATTGCAGAATAGTATTCCATTGTAAGGATATGCTTATCCATTCACCTGCCACCAAACATTTGGATAAAGAAAGCTTCTATGAACATTCATGTAAAAGTCTTTGCAGATACATGTTTTCATTTGTCTTGGAGCAGAATTGCCAAGTTACATATGTTTTGCTGTATAAGAAACTGAAAACTCTTTTCCTACTTGGTGTACTACTTCTACTAGCAGTGTAGGAGAGTTCTAGTTGCTCTATAACCTTGTAAAAACTTGTAATTGTTAGTATTTTTAGTTTTAGTAATCCTAGGGATGTGCAGTGGTATTTCATTGCATGTCACTGGTGACTAATGATGTTGAGTACCTTGTCATGTTTTTATTGGTTATTCATCTATCTACTAGTATACAGTATCCGTCTGAATCTTGCCCTGGGTTGGTTGTTTTATTATTGTGTTATAGGAGTTATCTATATATCCTGGATACAAGCCCTTTGTCAGATACATGTTGGTAAAATTTTTCATGACCTTATGATAGGCAGACTTCTCAGAACACAAAAAATATGAACCATAAAAGAAAAAAAAGGAAAATTATGCTTCCTCAAAATTTAAAAAATTCCTTTGTCAAAAGATATTCTTTAAAAAATGAAGAGACAAGCCACAGATTGGGAGAGGATATACATAAAATGTGTATCTGAAAAATAACCCAGTAATTCTGCTCGAGGTTAAGGAAAAACATGTGTCCACAAAACATTTTCTATAAGTGTTCATAGAAATTTCTTCTTTATTGACATTTGACAATTTTGGAAGACTCAGGAAAATGCTGAGTCTTCTAATCTATGAACAGGGCATCTCTCCATTTATTTAGGTCTTCTTTCAATTCTTTCAGCAGTGGTTTTATAGTTTTCATTGTACAAGTCTTGCACATATGTGTTTAATTTAACCTTATGTCATATTTTTATGCTATTGTATATGGTATTTTTTGGTAATTGTCATTTGATAGTATATAGGAATACAATTTATTTTTATTTACTTTGTAACGTATGACATTGCTAAAATCACTTATAAGCCCTAGAAGTATTAGGATTTTCTACATACATAATCATGTTGTCTGCAAATAAAGACAGTTTTACTTCTTCCGTTCCAAACCTGTATGCCTTTTATTTTTCTATTTTTCTTGACTTATTTCAATAAATAGTACTTTCACTACAATGTTGAATACAAGTGGTGAGAGTGGACATCCTTACCATGTTCCTGATCTTAGGGAAAAACTGTTGTCTTTCACGGTAAGTATGTTGTTAGCCATGGATTTTCACAGATCTTTTTTTTTTTTTACACTGAGTTGTGAAATTTCCCATTTATCGATAGTTTGATACGTTTGTTTTTTAAAACATGAAGAATGGGTGTTATATTTGTGCAAATGCTTTTTCTCCATCCAATAAAGTGGAGATTCTTATGATAATTCCTATGATGATTCTTATTTATTCTATTAATAGTTAATTACACTGATAGATTTTTTGAAGGTTAAATTGATCCTATAACCCTGGGATAAACTCTATTTTATTAAAATATGTTATGTTTTTTATATATCCCTGGATCTTTGCTAATATTTTGCTAAGAATTGCATCTATGTTCGTGAGGGATATTAGTTATTTATTTGCAAAGTGTTAGTCTGATTTTGGTGTCGGGGTAGTTTAGATTTTCCCTTTACTGTTGTATGAGCTTTGGCAGTTTGTATCTTTTAGGGATTTGCCTGTCTCATCTAAGTTGTTGAATTGTTGGCATAAATTGCTTGCAGTATTCCCTAATTATTTGTTTAATATTTATAGAATATTTCTGATACTGAATACTTGTGTTTTCTCTTTTTCTTGACAAGTCTAGCTAGAAATTTATCAATTTTCATTGATTTGTTTCAAAGAACTGTCATCTTTTTGGTTTCATTACTTTTTAAAGTTGCTTTTGGCTCTTCTATTTCAATGATTTCTACTGTTACTTTCATTATTCTGCTTACTTCGAACTTAATTTGTTTCTCTTTTTCTAGTGTCTTAAGATGGAATGAGAGATTTAATTTTAGGCTTTCCTACTACTTTCTTTATTTTCTAATTCTGTATAAGCATCTAAAGCTGTAACTTTCCCTTCAAGTATTACTTTAGTTACATATCACAAATCTTGATATATTGTGTTTTCAGTTTTATTCAGTTAAAAATGTTTTCTAATTTCCCTTGTAATTTCTTCTTTGGTACATTAGTGATTTACAACTATGTTCTTTAATTTTCAAATATTTGGGGATTTTTAAAAATATCATTTTGTTTTTGATTTCAAATTTGATTCCCTCGTATTCAGAAAATTTACTCGGCATAATTTCCTTTGAAATCTATTGAGACTTGTTTTATGGCCTAATGTAGTCTATTTTGTGAGTATTCTATGTGCACTTTAAAGGAGTGTCTATTCTGTGGGTTTTAGATATAGTGGTCTACAAATACCAATTAGGTCAAGCTGGTTGAAAATGTCATTCAAGTCTATATCTTTACCAATCTTCTGTCTACTGTTTTACCAATTGCTGGGTGAAGTGCGTGTTGATGTCTTCAATGATAAGTTGTGGATTTGCCTATTTCTTCTTTTAGGTCTGTCAGTTTTTGCTTCATGTATTTTGAAGCTCTCCAGTGTAATTTTAATTTTTAATATCATAGTGTATGAGGTTTCACATTTAAGAACTATTTATGTTTCCTTTTCTTTGCACTGTTTATTTTTCCCATTTTTTTCTAGTAGTTGATATTTGCATAAGAAAATTCGCCCTTTGACTGTGATGTTTGTTGTACATATTTTACATACTTTGTCATGTTTACGGTGGCTTTTACCAAGCAGCAGTTTTTGATTATTTGTAATAGAATTTATTTTTAGAGCAGATTTAGATTCACAGCAAAATTGAGTGGAAATTACAGAGATTTCTCATATACTCCCTGCCCCTACACATGTACAGCCTCCCTCACTATCAATATCCCACACCAGAGTGATACATTTTTTACAATTGATGTACCTATATTGTCACATCAGTATCACCCAAATTCCATAATTCACATTAGGATTTACTCTTGGCATTGTTATACGTTCTGTAGATTTTGACAAATGTACAATGACATGTATCCAACATTACAATGTCCTTCAGAATAGCTTCACTGCCCTGGAAATCCTCTGTGTTTTGCCTATTCACCCACCCTCCTGCTCTCTCAGCCCCTCACAACAACTGATCTTTTTACTGTCTCCATAATTTTGCCTTTTCCAGAACATCATATAGTTGGAATCACATAGCTGTAGCCCTTCCAGATTGGCTTCTTTCACTTAATAATATTCATACTAAGTTTGCTCTGTGTTTTGTATTGCTTGATAGCAATATAATTCAATGCTTATTTCGTTTTAGCATTGAATAATATTCCAATATTCTGTTGTCTGATGTGCCATAGTCTACTTATTTATTCACTCACTGAAGGACATCTTAATTGCTTCCAAGTTTTTGGCAATAATGAATAAAGCTGCTATAAACATCCGTGCAAATGCTTTTGTCTGGACATAAGTTTTCAATTCATTTGGGTAAATACCAAGGAGCATGGTTGCTGGATCATATTACAAGAATATGTTTGGTTTTGTATGAGACTGTCAGCCTGTCTTCCAAAGTGGCTGTACCATTTTCCATTCCCACTAGCAGTGGCTGAGAATCCATGTTGTTCCACAACCTTTCCAACACTTGGCATTTTCAATGTTTCAGATTTTGGCCATCCTAATAGCTGTATAGTAGTATATCATTGTTTTAACTTGCAATTCTCTAATGACATATAATGTTGAGTATTTTTTCATATTTGCCATCTGTATGTCTTCTTTGGTGAGATGTCTGTGAAGGTTCTTGGTCTATTTTTTAAATCATGTTGTTTATTTTCTTATTTTTGAGTTTTAAGGATTCTCTGTGTATTTTGGATGACAGTCCCTATCAGATATGATCAGGACATATCAGATATGATCAGGACATATCAGATATGTCCTTTGTAAATATTGTCTCCCAGTCTGTGTCTTGTCTTCTCATTCTTTTGACAGTGTTTTTCACAGAGCAGAAGTTTTAAATTTTAATGAAGTCTAGCTTATCAATTTTTTTTTCATAGACTGTGCCTTTTTTTATTGTATCTAAGAATTCATTGCCATATCTAAGATTACCTAGATTTTTTTCCTATGTTATATTCCAGGAGTTTTATAGTTTCGCATTTTGCATTTAGGTCTACAATCCATTTTGAGTGAATTTTTGTGAAAGGTGTAAGGTCTGTGTCTAGATTCACTTTTTAAAATGTGGATGTCTAGTTGTTCCAACACCATTTTTTGAAAGGAATATCTTTGCTCCATTGAATTGTCTTTGCAACTTTTTGAAGATCAGTTGACCACTTTTATATGGGTCTATTTATTTTTCTTTTTATTTTCTTTTTGAGACAGGGAGTTGCTCTGTTGATCAGGTTGGAGTGCAGTGGTACAATCATGCTCACTGTACAGAGGTACAATCATCCTCGACCTCCTGGGCTCAATCAACCCTCCCATCTTAGCCACCTGAGTAGCTGGTACTACAGGTGCATGCCACTGTTCCTGGCTAATTTTTATTTTTAGTTTTTGTAAAGAAGAGGTCTTGCCATGTTGCCTAGGCTGATATTGAACTCCCAGGCTCAAGCAATCCTGCTGCATCAGCCTCCTGAAGTGCTGGGATTACCGAAAGCACTTGACCCATGTAAGCCACCATGCCCGGTCTATATGGGTCCATTTCTGAGCTGTATTCTGTTCCATTGAGCTATTTGTCTATTCTTTCACCAATACCGCACTGTCTTGATTGTTGTAACTTTAGAGTAAGTCAAATCTGGGTGGTGTCAGTCCTTCAACTTTTTTATTTTTCTTCAATATTGTTTTTACTATTCTTGGTCTTTTGCCTCTCCATATAAACTTTAATCAGTTTGTTGATATTCATAAAATAAATTGCTGAGCATTTAAGATTTTTTAATATTTCATTTAAATACTTTTTTTTGTTTCAGTTTTTTGCATTAGAATTTTGATCCACATAGAATTTATGATGCAGGATATAGTTACAAAATCATATTTTTCTGCATGGTACCCAGTTTTTTCAATGCCAATTTGAAATAATGCCTTTATTATATGACAGATCCTTGCATGAGTTTGGAATTTTTTCTGGCATTTGTTTTTCTCTTCAGTTGCCATGTCTGTTTAATCATGCTTCAATATCTCACTTTTAATTGTTACATTATTATATGTGTACATTTTAATATCTTTAGGGCTAGTCTTCTCCTTTTCTTCTTCTTTTTAAGAATTATCCTGCTTATTTTTGTGGATTATTTTTCCCATTTGAACTTTAGAATCAACTTGTCTGGTTAAAAAAAGTTGTTTTGGCATTTTAATGGTATTATGTTAAATTGACATTTTCATCATCTTCATAATATAGAGTCTTTCAAAGAATAGCATATGACTTTCTAGTTGTTCAAATATTTTTTAGGTCTTACATGATTTAAAACACTTAATCATGTGGATTTTGCACATGTGAATGTGTATTTCTATTGTAATGTATTTCTATTGTAAAAATAGCCAGACTTTCTAACTGGTTGTTGTTCTTCTAAACAGGAGCTATTGATTTCTGGATATTTTATTTGTTCACTCTACTGAATTTTGTTGTTGTTTATAATAACTTTTTAGTTGATTCTTTTGGTTTTTCAGGTATATGATACAACCATATGCAAATACTTCAGCACTTTTCTTCCTAATTTATATACTTTATGTCTTTCTTTTCTCTAGTTGTCTCGGATAATATATGCAGGAAAATGTTGAATAGTGGTGGTGGTAATGGACATCCTTATATATTTTTTTCTAGACATCTCTCTCACATTCACCTTGTATTGTTTTTGGCTTTAATGAGATACTCCTTGTGCTTCCTCACTAAGTATGATGCTAGCTTTGGAACTGGGATGTATGTATTATATTATGATAAGAAATATATATTCTTTTTTTTTGCTGGTAAAACATTTATTTCAAAAATTCATTTGGCGTTCAGATAACAGGAATTAAGAGCCAGTATCTTTCTTAAGCTCTAAAAAACAGAAATAAGATACAATTTCATACATGCATACTTCTGAAGTATGAAGTAACGTTTAAAAAATAGCCAGAATAATAACCGAATGTTACTCTTTATTCCATTAGGTATGATTTACCCAGCACTTGCTTATGTGCTTTGATTTAGTATTATAGAGTATCTCCTGTATGCACGGCACTCAGAGCCATGAGTCCTCGCTTCTAACATCGGATTGCTGGGCCTCCCCGTGGAGATGCCAATAAGGGCTCTGTGTACAGTCCTGTGCTTACAGCCTGTGTGTCTACTGCTCTTGCCCTTGGGCTAATGGCACTCCTTGTCTGGAGCTTGGCTTTTCCCCTCTGAGAAGTGATTTGCTATGATATAGAAGCCATGCCAAAGCACAGCCATTCATTCTGTGCTCACCAATGGGTTGGCAGCAAATCTGAGCTGAATCTTTCATCAAGGGCTTTAAGTTTTGAGGGAAAGGACATCTTATTGTCCTTAAAGAATGATAATGCCATGATGGATTTCCTTTAGGAGAGAAAGGAATATTTCTGATTCATTTTCAACTGTCACTGCAGTATGTGGGATTTACTGGCTCCTAAGGTCTCAGGATTGAGTCAATTTAGGGAAGGCAGCAATATTGTCAGCCCACTCCAGGCCAGGGAACATGTGTCTTCTCTGCCAGACCTCAATGTGTGCAAAGAAGGTAAATTCATATAACTTAATGGCTGGCTTTGGTTCGTGGGCAAAATATATAATTTCTTTCCAACAAATGAAGTTAATGCAGAAATGGAGAACTAATGTATGGTAATGTTCTTCTCAGATTTAAAAGCTGCTTTCAAAAATAATGAATACACTAGAAGATTTTCAGAAGAAAAGAATCGTTAAAGAAGGAGCAACTGCGTATTGGCACATACAAGCCTGATTTGGGGCAGGGCAGTGCCTCTTCATCCTGGCTCTTGAGAAAGGAGCCTGCTCATAACCTGCTCATAACCTGGTAAGCTCATAACGTGGTAAGCTAAGGCTCGGCATAGAACTTGCTGGCTGTCCTGTGGCAGGAGGCGTAGTTGGGGTCCTTCAACAACTCTTTATCTGGTTAGTTGACCAGAGTAATGTCTGGTGACTTTATTATCTGTCTAGTGCAGGTAGATTAGACATCACACTGATGATCTTGGCTAAGACCTGTGCAAAGTTAGTCTGGGCTGATCTTCATCTTCTGTCCTAAAGGAGACCCAGGTTCACTTCTTGCTCCTGGAACATGAGTGTATCCTTGTCATAATTTCATACACTCTACATATCTAGCTATACTCTTAACATTCACTGATCTTTTTTACATTTCTAGTGGGTATTTCATAATTTACTCCAGGGAAGTCTATTCTATAATATAACTCAATTAAACTCAACTAAACATAGATTTTCTTTTATCTGCAAGGATGCTGCCTACCAAAATAAACCATATGGTGCCACTGGGCATCTCATACAAACATGTTTTTATTTTATTAAAAGCTGTTTTAATAAGAGGAGATCTTAAAATTCATGAACACTTTTAAAAAGAAATTTTTGAGAGTGATGCTTAGATCAAACAAGAAGAAACAACATGTGAAATATTGATATATTTGACTAGATGAAAATTTAAGACTGCTTGTTTTTCAGAATAAATCATAAGGAGAATTAAAAGACAGACTACAAACTAGGAGAAGATATTTGCCACAGAGGAATTATATATAGACTATACATAAAGGACTCTTACAAATTAATATTTTTTTCCATATGAACTTTACAAATTAATAAAAAATGACCAATAACCCAATAGAAAAATAGACGAAAGATATGAACAGAAATAAATGTTGGCTTTTATCAAATACCTTTGCAGCATATTTGGAGAAGTTTGTCTTAGTCCATTTTGTGCTGCTATAACAGAATACCAAAAACAGGATCACTTATAATGAATAGAAATTTATGTGGCTTACAGTTTTTCTGGAGGATCAAGGGGCCACATCTAGCAAGGGCCTTCTTGCTGTGTCATCCTATGACAGAAGGTGGCAGGGCAAGAGAATGAGGTGGGGGATGGGGAATTGAGAGGAGAAGGAAAGGGGCTAAATTGATGCTTTTATAAGAAACACATTTCCTTGATAATTGTGTTAATATTAATACATTCATGAAGGCAGAGCTCTTGAGGACCTAATCACCTCTTAAAAGTCCCACCTCTCAACATGGTTGCACTGGAAATTAAGTTTTCAACATATGAACTTTGGGGGACACACTCAAACTATAGCAATGTTCCTTGATAATTTTCTAACACTTTTTTTTTTGAGACAGAGTCTCACTCTGTCACTAGGCCAGAGTGCAGTGGTGCGATCTCAGCTCACTGCAAGCTCCGCCTCCCAGGTTCACGCCATTCTCCTGCCTCAGCCTCCCAAGTAGCTGGGACTACAGGTGCCCGCCACCATGCCCGGCTAATTATTATTATTTTTTTTATTTTTAGTAGAGACGGGGTTTCACCGTGTTAGCCAGGATGGTCTCGATCTCCTGACCTCGTGATCCGCCCGCCTCGGCCTCCCAAAGTGCTGGGATTATAGGTGTGAGCCACTGTGCCCGGCCACGTGTTGATAGTTTTATTAGGCATTTTGCATTGACATTCTTGAGATGTTCACCTATGGTTTTGTATTTTTTGATGTGCTCTCTCAGGTTTAGGTGTTAATGTGGAGTTTCATTTATACATGCCTCTTTCTATACTATGAAATCACTCAAGTAACATTGGAATTACTTGTCTTTAAAAGTTTGGTAGATTTTTTCCCCTATAAAACTATCTGGACAAGGTCCTTTTATAGATGGTTGTGTGTGTGCATAGAGGGCGGGGTGGGTGATGAGGTAGTGAGTTCTTTGACAACTTTTTCTTTTTCTATTTTAATTTCTCTTTAGGTTTTCTCTCTCTTTTAGTCAGTTTTGTAAATTCTATTTCTTAAAAATTACCCAATTTCTACCTTTGCTTCCCTGTTGTATTGTTTTCACTGTGAAAATCGTCTTCTAAATTGTCCCTCTGCTTTCCATTTCCCTCTCCACACCAATTCTTCCACAGTGCTGCCAGAGTCCTATCTCTAAAATATGACTCGGGTACTATCATTCTTTCACCCCAACAAAAGCCACAAAAACCTTTCAATGGCTCCTAGTTTCTCATGGACAAATTAAGACCAACTTGACTCCTATGAGCTTTACTATTACCTGGAGTAATAGTAGGCAGTTTTGTCTCCTGGAGTCATGTGTTTTACTTCACCTGAAGTATCTTCCTTGTTTTCTTCTCTATTCCTCAACTGCTGAAATATTTTAAGATCTAGATTCATTGGGAGCTCCTGAAGTTACAGCTTGTGCCCTATCATTGTCATATCTCCAGTGCTGATATCTAGGACATGCATGCTCATAACATAAAAGTGGCCCATACATATTTGCAGAATCACATTGGCTGTATGTGATACATGTTTATTGGATGTGTGTGTGGTTGTTGGTGTGTTCCTTTATAAGATAAATACATCTGAAAGGTGTTTGTGTGGGGAGGTGAGTATAGACATGGTTTATAGGTATGGCCAAGGATCTGGCTTCCTAGCATGTCTGCTATTTGATCAAGGGTGACAAGATTTCTCCCCCACCTAAATATCAATACAGACACAGGTGCACACATGCACATACTAACATGAACACTTCAGGAGGCTAGGATAGTAATTCAGTCAATTTATTAGTCTGAGTCCACTTAAATGTCTGCCTGAAGTTGGTGATCCCAGAGAAAGGTAAAATGTTAGAGTTTTTTTTCTAAGAGCGCTACCAACCTTTTCCCAAGCAGCTTTCCTAAGCCAGAGAATATCTGCTAGTCTGTCCATCAGCACTAAATGAGCATCTGAATCAAGGCAGCTAGAGTCAGGCTAATAATTCCTGTTGGCAGCTTTTTTTCCTCTAAGGACGTAAATCTGTGGTCTTAAGTACAACGTAGAGAGTTCAAAACGAAATGCCGCATAGAAAACCAAATACTTCACTCTGCTTCTCGACAGTGTAAGACTCTGCCAGTATTGCCAGGTAGCTACTACAGTAAGTGAGGCTGGCTTTCTATTCTTTATTGTTTAGACTCTCCAGGACTCTCTGCTTGCCTGGACAGTGATGCTAACCTAGTGCCAATATTTGTACAATATTTGTTCACCTGGAGAAAAAAAATAAAGAAATTTTGTTTGAAATAACATTCATAATCAGGCCATTTTAAGCTAATGCTTTCTTTGGTTCCAGAGATGAGAAAAAAAAGTATATGAGCTTCATAGATTCTCAACATTTTATTTCCATCAAATGAAATCACCTCATCTTAAAAACTGTATTCACATGTTTTCATACTTATTCTACTTGATAGTTCCCATTGCAGCCTAGATAAATTGTGATTGTGTTTTTTACAACTGATTAAAATCTAAAGTTACTATAAATGTATACACTAGAATTTGGAAAATATTACTTTCTGGAGCTTATATGTCCTTTGTCTAGAATAGAAAAAAAAAACACTAACACAATCTTCTTCTCAACTGAAATTATATTTTGGCTTTTCAATCTTTATCTGTATACTTTAGGAAATTGTTCCTGTGTGAGTCCATACCAGATAACAGAAATAGTGTATCCACGGTAACTCCTGGCATCTTCCAGTGTTTTGTTCTCTCTTGTTCCCTTCACAGCCATCTCAATTCTTTTACTGCAGCTGCATAAATATGTTTTACAGGTCCGACATTCCCCCAAAGTCATATTAGAATCCAAATAAAATCATATGAATACAATAGCAATAAGATCTTGAAACAGAGTAATATATCAGTGGTAGAGCTAAAAATGTTTCCTTTAGGCTGTTGAGTCCAAAGATTCTGCCTGTAACACTGTAATAAAGGAAGTAGGGAAATAGTGGTTTTGAACTTTCTTAGCACGGTATGGCTGGCACTATACATTCTCAACATTAAACTTATAAGATAGATGTTCAGGTTCTTGGGGAGAACATCCTGCTTTGGTGATTGAGTATTGCAGAAGAAGTTTTGGTACATGTAAGAGGGAGAATCAGAGAGGGGCCGATATCGGGGGAGAGTTGGAGTAAATCTGCGGGGCAGACTAGGAGGGCAGAAGGAAAAGAAACAACAATGGGGGTGGAAGAGAAAGGGGGACTTGTGTCCTTGGGATGGAACACAGCTCCCAGGGAAGCAGCCCCAAGTGGAGATCTGCCCAGCTTGTTTCCATACAGACCCGGGGCTCAGCTCTGGACTTGGCCATTTACTTCCTCCCTTGAGAAAGTTACTTCACTTTTCTGTATTTTGTTCCCATATTTTAAAATGAGAAAAATAATGCCCATTTCCTGGGGTCCTGTGAAGATTAGAAAAGATAAACACAGATAGCATATGTAAAACTCTCAGTCTAGTGCCTGGCAGATAGTAAGCACTTGAAAAATGTTAATTTTCTTTCCTGTCTCTGGGTTACTTTCTTATCCTCCTCCAATGCCCAGGGGTTAATGGAAAAAGGTTTCCAAATGCAGAATTGGAAATCCAAATGCAGATTGTTTTCCCATTTACTTTGTAAATACGCCCCTTCGTGGCTTTCGTTCCAGTAGAGGCCAAACTGTGTTGATGTAGACCCAAGAAATTACAGAAGTGAATGTTCGGAAGGATCCTGGTATTGTTCCCAGAAGATAGTTGGGTTAGGTAAGTGGAGCCTATTGTGATTTTACAGGTGCTCAGTCTCACTGACTTGGTGAAATGCGCTTGAGCTGGCTGGAAGCCGTCATCTTCATATAGAACACTTCAGGTAGACGGGTACTTCCTTTAGTTTCCACCATCACCCTGGACATTCTTGATGGTGCAGCTTTACTGCCCCTCCCAGTGTATGAGGTCAAGCTGTTTCTTTTAGCTCTTGGCAAATGTGGTTTGCTTGATTTTTAATCTCATTTTCTTCCTCTTCATTAAGCCAAGTTTGACTCATTCTTGAAACCTCAGATCACCTGATAATTAATCAGGAAAACCTTCCCTGATCCTCGTGGACCAGGCTAGGCCTTCTGCTGTGCTATCTTAGCACTCTGTACATCTTTTTGATAATGCTTGCTACAATGACACTAAATATTTGCATACATAGTGAGCTCCATGTCTTATTCTGTAATCTATGTCTAGCACCTGGTACAGTTCTTGGATCATGAGAGGAGAAAATAAATGTGCATTAATCAAATGCACACATAAATAAACTGACCAGTCTCAGAAATGGTAGGCTAAGGTATTATGTGGCTCTTCATTTAAGTTTAATATTGGCTTTAAATGTACAACTTGGGTTTAGTTAAAACTCTGAAGCTTTTTGGAGTTTTATATGCATTGCTCCCTTATATGCATACGCATTGCTGCTTGAGATACACCTGTATCTATGGGAGGAGTTGTGGGGCAAATAATTAAAATAATAATTATTTTAGTTACATATGGGAACACAGGATGAGAACTTCCCTTGTCTTCCTACCTTCCTAACTCAGAATAATTTTTTGTACTGCCTAAAAACAGTATCAAGTTATAAAATAAACCATTCTAATTTACAGTTTATAAGAAAGTGAAGTTTTATCCAACTCAACAAACTTAATTGAATTATTCTACTCTAGGCCAGTGGCTCTCAAACTTTAGTGCACATTAGAATCACCTGGAGAGCTTGTTAAAACTCTTATTGTATTTGATTGGGACCAACAGCACCCCATTCTCAGGAACTGATAGAACTACTAGAAAGGATATTAGCAAGGATATGCAACCGAACAACACCATCAAACAAGAGGATCTAATGGCCGTTTATAGAACATTTCAACTGACATAAACAGAATGCACATTCTTTTCAAGCACCATAGAACATTCACAGAGATAGACTATGTCCTGGGTCATAAAACAAACATTAAGCAATTTAAAGAATTAAAATCACAAAGAATGTGCTTTCTGACTATAATGAAATGAAGCTAGAAATTACTGCATGAAAGACAACTGGAAAATCTCTAAGCACTTAGGAATTAAACAACTTACCTCTAAATAATCCGAGTCAAAGCTAAAATCTCAAAGGAAATTTAAAAATACATAAAACTGAATAAAAATTAAAACACTTATCAAAATTTGCAAAATGCAGATAAAGCTGGGATGAGAGGGCTCACTGCTTCCATTAGAGAAGAATGATCTCAAATCAATAATCTAAGTGTATTAGGGTTCTCCAGAGAAATGGAACCAATAGGAGATCTATCTATTGATCTCTCTCTGGATATATATAGTTATCTAGATATCTGTGTATCTAGAAAGAGATTTATTGTGAATAATTGTCTCTGATGTAATTATTGAGGCTGAGCAGTCCCATATTCTGCCATTTGCAAGCTGAGGACCCAGGAAAGCCAGTTCTAGTCTGAGTCTGAAGGCCTGAGAGCCCAGAGAAACCAGAGAATCGGTGTCAATTCTAGCTCAAGTCCGAAGGCCTGAGAACCAGGAGTACCAATGGTGTAAGCCTTAGTCCAAGGGCAGAAGACTGATGTTTCAGCTCAAGCAGTCATGCGGAGAGAATTCTCTCTTCTATCTTTTTGTGCTTTTCAGTCCTCAGTGGATTAGATGAGGCCCACCCACACTGGGAAGGGCAAACTTCTTTATTTTACTTCTGCTTTAGAGCCTGCAGATTTAAATGCTAACCTCCAGAGAAATCCTCACAGACACACCTAGAAATAATGTTTAACCAAACCTCTGGGCACCTTGTGACCCCATCAAGTTTACACACAAAATTAACCATCATCCTAAGTTTCTACCTCAAGAAATTAGAAAAATGAGTAAAAATAAACCCAAAGCAAGCAGAAAGGTGGGCAGCAGATATCAAGATAGCAGAAATCAGTGGAATTTAAAATAGGAAAACATTAGAAAAAATTAATGAAACAAATCCCTCTTTTTTTTAAATCAATGAAATGGATAAACCTCTAGTAAGACTGACAAAGATAAAAATAGAGAAGAAGGCCAGGCATGGTGACTCATGCCTGTAATTCTAGTACTTTGGACGTCAAGGCAGGAGGATTACTTCAGCCTAGGCGTTCAAGACCAGTCTGGGCAATATAGTGAGGCCCTGTCTCTACAAAAAATTTAAAAAAATAGCCAAGCATGGAGGCATGCACTTGTAGTCCTAGCTACTTGGGAGGCTGAGGTGGGGGATCGCTTAGGTCCGGGAGGTTGAGTCTGCAGTGAACTGAGATTGTACAACTTCATTATGGTGTGGGTGACAGAGCAAGACTGTGACTCAAAAAAAAAAAATTAAGAAGAAAAAAATCACCAATATCTGTGTTGACAAGAGATCCCATTATATATCCTGCAGCCATTAAAAGGACAGTCCAGGCTTACTAGGAACAACTTTAAACTAATAAATTCAAACAGCTTAGAAAAAATGGACTAATATCTCAAAAACCACAATCTACTAAAATTAAGCCACGATGAAGTAGATAACATGAAGAACACTTTAATAACTAAATAAATTGAATTTGTCATTTAGCAATTCTTTAAAGAGAAATATCCAGGCCCTTTTTTTGTAGGATTTTTACCAAATATTTAAAAAATTAATATAAATTTTACATAATCTCTTCTAGAAAATTAAGGGAGCATGTTTCAGTTCATTTTATGGGGCCAATATTACCCTGATGCTAAAACTAGACAAGTACCCCTAAAAGAAAACAACAAACCAATATCTTTTGTGAACTTCGATCTAAAATTCCCCAAGAAAATCTTAGCAAATCAAACCCAACAATGTATAAGAATAATAACACACCACATCCAAGTGGAATGTATTCCAGGTTACAAGATTGGTTTAATATCTGAAACTCAATCAATGTAATACACCATATCAACAGACTAAACAATAAAAATCACATAATCATATCAGAAAAGGTATTTGGCAAAATTCAGCTGTTATTTATGAGAAAACTCAGTACACTAGGAATGCAGTACTTCTTCAAACTCATAAAGAGCATGAACACAAAACTTCAGTTAACATCATACTTTTGCCACTAAGTTAAGGATGTCTGCTCTCACCACTGTTCTATTAAACGTCATGCCTGAAGTTCTAGTCAGTGAAATAAGCCAAGACAAAGAAAGAAAATGCATATAGATTAGAAATGGAGAAATAAAACTGTCTCTATTTTCAGATGACTTGATTGTCTACATAGAAAATCCCAAGTAATCTACAAAAATAAACAAAACTCCTAGAATTAATTGAATTCAATAAGGTCACAGAATACCAGAACAGCATAGAAAAAATAATTGTTTTTCTGAGTACTGACAATAAATAAGTGGAAACCAAAATTAAAAATGCCATTTATAGTTGCTCCAAAGAAAATGAAATACTTAGGTTAAATCTAACAAAACATGTACAGGATTGGTTTGATGATTATTATAAAATGCTTCTGAAAAACATCACAGAAGTCCTAAATATTTGGAGAGAAACGTGTTCACGGATTAGAAGACTCAGCATAGGAAAGGTGTGAATTCTTTCTAAGTTGATTGTTAGACTTAATGCAATTCCTATAAAATCTCAGCAAGGTTTTTTTTTGTAGACATAGAAAAGCTTATTCTATTTAGAAAGAGAAAGGTTGTAGAATAAACATAATTTTGAAAAAGGATAATAAAGTAGGAGGAATTACTCCTCCCTTGTTTTGTCTTGACATCAAAAGCACAATACATAAATATGGGAAAACTGGTAAACTGAACTTCATCAAAATTAAAAAACTTTTGTTCTGCTTAAGACCCTGTTAAAAGGATCAAACATAAATTACGGATGGGGAGGAAATATTTTCAAGGCACATAGTTAACAAAGGTCTTGTATGTAGAATATATAAATAAAGCTTTAAAGTTCAACAGTAAAAAAAGCAAACAATCCAACCAGAAAATGGGCTAATAACATACACAGACGTTTCACAGAAGAGGATATACAAATGGCAACTAAACAGATGAGAAGATGCTCAATATCATTAGGCATTAGAGAAATTCAAATTAAAACTGCAATGAGATATCATTCCACTCCTATCAGAACAGCTAAAAGCTAAAAGTAAAAAGTAGTGATAAATGCCACTGGCTGATGTGAATGTGGAGAAACTAGATCACTCATGTATTGCTGGTCAGAATGTAAAATGGTACAGCCACCCTGGAAAATAGTTTGGTAGTTTCTTTTACAGTTAAAAATGGACATACCCCTTTTTAATGATTCAGGAATTACATTCTCAGGAATATACCCCAGAGAAATAAAAACCTATTTGTACACAAACTTTTCTATGAATGTTTTTAGCAGCTTTGTTCTTAAGAGCTCCAAATTAGAAACAACCTAAACTATCCTTCAATAGATGAATGGTCAAATGACCTGCTGTATGTCCATATCATGTGTCTTAGTTTGATCTGCTGTAACAAAATACTGTAGACTGTGTAATTTGTAAACAACAGAAATGTGTTGCTCATAGCTCTGGAGGCTGGGAAACCCAAGATCAAGTTGCCGGCAGATTCAGTGTCTGGTCAGGGCTTGCTCTCTGCTTCATATGATACCTTCTACCTGCATCCTCAGATGGTAGGTAGGAAGGGTGAACTAACTCCCTCCAGAAGCCTTTATAAGGACACTAATCACATTCATGAGGTTGGAACTTCATGACCTAATTCATTATTCTCATAGGTCCTATCTCTTAATACTGTGGCATTGGGAATTAGGTTTCAAGATATGAAATTATGGGAGGACACAAACACTCAGACCATAGCACCACAGACTACTATTAAAAGTAGAAATGAATGGACTGTTGGTACACACAACTTGAATGAACCTCAAGGAATTTATGCTAAGTGAAAAAAAGCACATACACTACATGAAAAAGTATACATACTGCATGATTTCACTCATGAAATAATATAGGGAACATATTAGTAATTTCCAGGAGTTCAGGATGGGTATAGCTATAAAGGGGTGCCGCAGGGGATCTTGTGATGGTATGGTTAAATATACGTACGTATATATATATATACACACACACACACACAAACACACACACACACACACACACACACACACACACACATATATATATACACACATATTTGAGACAGAGTCTGGCTCTGTTGCCCAGGCTGGAGTACAGTGGTGTGATCACAGCTCACTTCAGCTTTGACCTCCCAGCTCAAGGAATCTTCTCACCTTGGCCTCCCGAGTAGCTGGGACCACAGGTGTGTGCCACCACACCTGGCTAATTTTTGTATTTTTTTGTTGAGACAAGGTTTTGCATGTTGCCCAGGCTGGTCTCAAACTCCTGGGCTCAAGTGATCCTCCCACCTTGGCCTCCCAAAATGCTGGGATTATAGGTGTGAGCCACTGTGTGTGGCCTAGTTAAATATGTTGGTTGTGGTGGTGGTTACATAAATCTACACTTGTGATAAATTTGCTCATGTGACACACACACACACACACAAATGGTGATATCTCTGAATAAGTTCTATGGATTGTACCAATATAAATTTCTTGGTTTTGAAATTGCTTTATATACTCATTCAGGATGTTAACATGGAGGGGAAGCTGGATGAAGGGCAAATGGAATCTCTCTGTCCATTTCTTTGCACTTTCCTGTGAATCCTTAATTATTTCAAAACAAAAAGTTTAAAAAAAAAACCAAAAAGCAAAAACAAACCACGACTGCTGAGCCCTGCCCTGCAGTTTTTGATTCAGTAGATCTGGAGTGTGGTGTGAGATTTTGCATTTCTAATAAGTTGCTAGGTGATGCTGCTCCACATGTTGAGAACCTCTTCTTTTGGCCCTGAGGGAAATATGAAGACAAAAAGTAAGAGTTTCTATGGTCAAGTGTTCATAATTTAGAGAGAATAAGATAAGTAAAGAAATAATTGTAATGCAAGTAGGTACAATACAGGTGCTAAAAACAAGATAGTTCTAGGAAAATTTCAAGGAGGGACAGATTGAAACCAAAGGATCAAGGAAGACGTATAGAAGGGGTAACATCTGAGATGGATATGAAAGGATGAGGAAAATGATAAGATGCACAAGACTTGGAAGGGCATTTTAGGCAGAGTAATTGCATGGACTAAGGCAATGGGAGAGAAAAATATCATTGAATTATCCAGGAAAGAAAGATTGATATAGTTTGAACAGAGTGTAAGAAAAGTGCAGGGGGTTATGTACAACCAGATGAAAAGGTTAGGTTGTAATTGAAATTATGTTCTAAGATTGGGAGTAGTTTTGTTAATAAACACTAAAATACAAAAATTTGAACTGGTTCAAATTTGCTTGCTTGTTATGTTCAAAATTTAGTGTGGTACACAAGAACATACGTTTTAGAGTCCCACAGTCATTGGTTCAAATTTACCACCCTGACCGTATTGGCTTCATCATATTAATTCCCTCATCAAAAGGAGAAAACAATGCCTGCATTAAGGATTGTCATGAAGCTGACATTAATAACCCCAAAGTGCTTACTACCATGCTTCCATAAGTGATAACTATTGTTATTATGGTTATTAGGAATGTAAGACAAGTTATTCAGTGTGGAGCACAATATATAGATATTTTGCCTTAGTTGGTATGATAAGGGACATCTTTCCTGAAATATTTGTGACATGTATACAGAGTTCATGCTTTGAAATTTCCATATATACTTCATTAAAATTGCTCAAGCTATTAACACAATGTACTCTATATTCAAATAGTTTAATTATAATAATTGTATCTTATGTGTTTCATCTAATCCAAAGGTTACAATTAGTTGTACTTATTAATAATACCCGATAATAGTAATGACCTAAAATTACATAATAATTTTCTCTTAGTTCTTCAAGCAAAGACATTTCTATTCATATGCTTACTTAAATGTTGCCATTTTAATATGACCAATAACACTGTGATAAATGACTTTAAAATAGCTAAGACAACTTTCTGGACTCATCTTTTCCCCATTGGCCTTCCTGTTCTTGTTTCATTTCTGCTTCTAAAGCACATTGGAATCACTTTAGGAGCTTTTAGAAATCCTGATGCCCAAGTCATGCCCTACCCAGTTATCAAAATATCTGGGGGTGGGTAACAGGCTCCAGGATTTCAGGAGATGCCAATGCAGCAAAGGCTGAAAACCTATGATTTAAAGCTTAGTAGTGCAGCTTTCAGATCAACAGTCAGGTGAGAACATAGAACAGATGGAGTGAAACTAGCAAAGCGCTACGAGTGAGCAGCTGATGATCCAGTTTCCAATGCCTGGGCATCAACTATGAATCCAACCATATGGGTATCTGCAAGCCACTATATTGAGAAGTATACACAAAAGAGTGTAAGACAAGCACTGACACACCGTTCAATTTATATAGATTCAACCATATAAAAAAAGAATAAACCATACTAAGTAGAGTTAAATGGCAAAGAAGTATACCAGAGATCAATGTGAAGGTTTTGAGGTTGACTGGTGGAGTGATTTAGTTTCTGCACACTTTTTTTCTTGAATATGTGTCTCCAAATACCTATGATTATTTCCAAATATGGGCATTCTGTTATGTTGCTGCCCTTATCAGGAATGTCCTCCCTCCCCTGTTCTATTTCCAAGACCCTCATGATCAACAATACCCCAGGTTTCCCTCTGCATTTGTTATCACATGGATCATCAGTTACATGTTCTTAAAGCCTTTCATGTGGTTCATGCTTGTCTTCAGTTCTCTGTGCACCCTAAACTTCAGTGTCTTCCATAGCCCTTCTGTCGGCTGGGCTGGAATTATCCCAGCATTGATCTTTCTTTTGAAGAGCATTATAGGCTTTAGAGCACAATTACCTCATCAACCACCTTCTGTTGAAGATATCAGTTACTTGGAGAATGCTCTTGGCCTTGAACAGAGTAAGAAAATAAAGAATATGTAAAACACACACACACACACACACCCCCCTCTGTGTTAATCACTAGAACTTATTTTTCCTCTGATCACTATGATAGTCTCAATCCAACTATAAGTGGAACAGAAACAATAAATTCTGTGTTAATATTACTAACGTTGTATGACTAGCATGCTACTCCTGAATCCCTGTTTTGTCTTTCAGAGTGGGCCTTTCAGAGTTGGCTTTTAGTGGAGACAAGATTTATTCCCTGTCACTTCAGAGACTTGTAGGGTGAAGACACATAATAGGGGCATGATAGATGCTGGTTGAATTGAATTCTTTAGTCTTAGAGAAACCCTGTCATTGAAAGAGAATATAGTTAACTTTAAGAAGACAAGAAGTATTGCTTGCAAGTTCTTATTGACATGTTTGAGCAGAGTGGATTAAAATACCTACCTGCTGATACAATTAATAATCTGCATTATTTTATTTTATTTTCTAATGCAGGGCTGATTCTAGGGAGAATAGAAATTCAGAAAACCATGTCTTTATTCTCTCCTCCTTGTGACTTGATACTTGTCCCTTGGCAAGAGGCCACAGGACCCCTTCCCTCATTTCTGTCTCAGGCTTGTTCTCCCTGTGTAACTGCTAAGCTCTAGACATTTCATGATTTTTCCTCACCTTCACAAAAAAATATAAGGGTACAGATCTGAAGCTCCATTCTCCCTATGCCACTCTTGCTACTTCCTTGAAATTGGTTAATGAGATAAATAGTAGACATATTATTTGTTTAATAAAACCAAATCCAGGCTAATGTGTTCTTGAAAAAAGGTTAAACCCTCGACCCCCTTTACATCCCCAATAATTCAAGGGCATTTAACTATTGTCTTCTTGAGACTATACCTTTGCTTAAACTCAAAAAAGTGATTTTTATAATGAAACTTTTAAGTCAGGAAGAATAGACAATGGTGGTCTTTTTATAGAAAAGGAAAAGTGAGGCCACACATGGTGGCTCACTCCTGTAATCTCAGCATTTTGGGAGCCCAAGGTGGGAGGATCACTTGAGGTCAGGAGTTTGAGACCAGCCTGGCCAGCATACAAAAAATACAAAAATCAGCTGGGTGTGGGGGCAGGTGCCTGTAGTCCCAGCTACTCAGGAAGCTGAGGTGGGAGAATTGCTTGAACCTGGGAAGCGGAGGTTGCAGTGAGCCAAGATGGCACCACTGCACTAAAAAAAAAAAAAAAAAAAAAAAAAAAAAAAAAGAAAAAGAAAAGTGAAGGTAGGTGACGAGTATTTGTTGAGTGCTTCCTCTGTGCTAGGCATTTTATTGCAAGCTATATGCATATAATATCATTAAATCCTCACACCAGCTCTGTGAGATAGGTCTTATTATTATGCTAATTTTATACATGAGGAAACTGAGACTTCAGGCAGTAACCTCCCAAGGTAAGAAAGAGCAAACAGTGATACTGAAGTCCACTTTTATCTCAATGTGTTCTAAAGCTGAACGACTTTTCAGGTTTCAAAGTGAGGTCCAGCTGTTGCTGTAAGGAGTATAGACAAGGCTTGGTCCTCTGTCATTCAATCATCAGGGTCTCCTAGTATATGTGGGGCTCCCATCTGTGAGTCTTTACCTGCCTTTATGTGAGACTGGACCCAGAGCTAACTTCCTCAGCCCCATATATAGGTGTGTGCTGCAGTTAAACATGACTGCCTGTGGGGAGGGTGTCAGGGGCACACACCACAGAGCACCCTGCTCCACATAGCTGTGGAAGGAACAAGAAAGTTTCCTGTGGTACTTATTTTAGAAACTTTGAAGGCCAATTAAAAGAAAGGCATTGGCTGCCTTTAGAAAGCCACTTTAGTTGAGCAAGAGGTTGTTTTCCATCCAAAAGGAGGTGACGCAGTTCCTGTTAGGAGTATAGGACAGGGTTCATGAACTCTTGAGCCAAGGCAAAGTGAGAACTTCATCAAGGACACCCTGGAGGTAGAAAGTCACATCTTAGAACGTCTATTTAGAAAGAAAAACTTGTCACTTCTGTCCCAACTAGTGCATAGGCATTCAGAGACGTGGACTTTCCCCTCCACCACCCTCAAGCCTTAAATGGGTCATCGGGAGTAAAGACACCTAGGATGGGGAGAAAGGACAGGTGACCCCTCTCTTTCAACCCCATGTCCTTCTCAGCTGGAATTCTGTCCAGGCTCAGAGAAGGACTGACAAATTCAAGTGATCAAAAGCCATGAAAAGGGTCAGTGGTCCTCTTACTGAATAAATAAGTTTTCTTCTCAGAATTCTCCCTTCCTTGTCTCCCCCAACAGATGAAAGAAGTGTGGGCCTGGAAAGCAACTCAGATAGCACAGTTAGAAACAAAGCTAGAGATAATCATATGGAAAAAATCAAAGTGAGCTTCTAGTATGAGTGTCAACAAAAGATGAGCAAAGTGTCAAAGAACGAGGTGGAGCCATCTAGGTTCCAGTCATTGTTTGGGATTTGTGTCTCCTTCTTTCCCCCTCAGGGCTTTCGCTTGCTCTGCTCCCACCATAAGTGGACTTTCTGCTTGCCTCTGCTGCCCAAATGCATCAAGGACAACCATCCTCTCTGGCTCCCTGCCTGAATCTCCAGTACTTATTTCTCCTCTCCCTTAACTGGTCCCCCAACCTCAGCTCACGTTGTCACAGCTCCTCTGTACCTGCTAAGTACTCCCGTCCCTGTGTCTCTGTCCTGTCCTAGTTTGCTTTTCTCATTTATACTGCAGTTGTTTCAGGATTTGTTTTGAATGTGGGTGAATCTCCAAACTCTAATGGCCCCCAAATTCAAGTGGAGGTTGCAAATCACACTGCCCACTCATTTGGGGCTTCCCAAATTCTCTTTCTCTTTCTTTTATTTATTTTTGTTTTTATTTTGAGACGGGGTCTCACTCTGTTGCCCAAGTTGGAGGGCAGTGATGATCTCGGCTTATTGCAACCTCTGCCTCCCAGGTTCAAGCAATTCTTTTGCCTCAGTCTCCCAAATAGCTGGGACCACGACTGGCTAATTTTTGTATTTTTTGGTAGAGATGGGGTTTTAGCATGTTGGCCGGGCTGGTCTTGAACTCCTGACCTCAAGTGATTCACCCGCCTTGGCCTCCCAAATTGCTGGGATTATAGGCGTGAGCCACCATGCCCGGCCTCTCTCCTTCTTTTAAAAATGAAACCTAGTAGGGCTCCTGTGCTTTCTGTCACAGTCCTTTTGCTCTTCTATCCTGGAGCACCACCTGAAACAGGCAGGAACAATCAGCCATTACCAAAGACAGATTCGTTTTCACTTGTGAAACTGCTGTTGGTTGTACAATATTTACAGTCGTTTGGAGCATGTGTCAGCCTAAGCAAGTATGACAGAATCAGTGTGACAGGAAAATAAAGATTTGTATTTATTCTCTCTGTGCGATTCCATTCCCCTGACTCCTCCCCACACAGCAGGTAACCAGCCTTTTTCCAGCAGCAAAAATTGCTTGGAGCTTCTATTAGTTTCTGAAGTTGAGTTTTGTTGTGAAGTCTAAGCTCACTGAAGACATTTTGCTGGGTGTTCTGAGAGGGAGGGGAAGCTTTCAGTGGTCCTAAGAGAGGAAAATGGAGGAGATGCTTGCAAAG
Source organism: Homo sapiens (assembly GCF_000001405.40). Taxonomy (NCBI): domain Eukaryota; kingdom Metazoa; phylum Chordata; class Mammalia; order Primates; family Hominidae; genus Homo; species Homo sapiens. The sequence continues at coordinate 149,952,601 of NC_000004.12, read as the reverse complement.
AGATTCTTGGGAAATAGTTGGAATATTGATGGGGGCCTGTGGGTCATTCCAAGTTGTTGTCCTGGAGTGGGGACAACACCTCAGAGGCTTAGGAGCTTCCAGGCAGAAGCAGCAGGACCTTGAAATATGAGAAAATCCTTTGGGTTGGGAGACTGGGCCTCTTTGATAACCAGAGTGAACCAGCAGCTGGAGAAATATCTTAGATAATTTCACATCATGTGAAAATGATGACAATGATGATGATAGATATATGCTGCACAGCTAAGTGCCAGACATCATTCTAAGACACTTATATATATTAACTCATCTATTGTCTAAAAACTCTATGAAGTAGTTACTATCATATCTCCACTAGTCATCAAAGAGGTTAATTAAGTTACCCAACATCTCACGCTAGTAAGTGGCAGGACCAGGATGCAAATCTAGGTGGTCTGGTTCTAGAGCCTTCAGATAATGTCATTTTTACCTCTCTAAAAGGAGACCTTTGCATGACCTTGAGTTGGAGGTGGCAGTGAGTAGGAAGAAACAAAACCCCATAATGATTAAAATTGAATTTCCCACCACCTGCTGGGATGGAGATTGAGTTTTATTTAGGTTTATAGAAAGGAAATAAAGAAATGTGACTTTTTTTGTATTACTAGCTTGTGGACCAAAAATCAAACCTTTTTCATATATAAAAAACTTATTTTTAAAATGCTGTATTAACATTACCACCAACAAATACAAGGCAGGAAATTGACTTCAGACTGCATGATTCATTTAATCTTGCATATTTTGTTCTCTCATCAGATCTAGATCACCTACTGACTCTCTCTAGCTGTAGCTCTCTAAAGAGACTTCTCCCCACTGAGACCTAGCGGGGCCAACACAGCTAGATGTGGATATAAGCTGTGTGCTCTGAAAAGATGGGTGCCATGGTAACCTCATGAACAAGGAAGGGTCGGTGATTCTAAGTCATGTGGGCAGGCTTTTGTAGACACACATACAAATGCATATTCATTGATTAAACAATTTCCTAGTGTTTTTTTTTTTGTATTTGAACTGTATCATTATACGAACACAAAACAAAAAACAATGTGAAGAAAATTTCTTTCTATTTATCACTAGCTTGAGGGTATGATTTAGACAATATTTCTAAAGAGAAATGAAAGAGGAAGAATAATTTAGACACTACAGTAAAGCTATGATTTCAAGAGGGTTGTGAGCTGTGGGATAAGTTGTGATGGGTGTTGGGGGCCACCTCAGGAGAACCAGTTTGCAGCCACATGGATTCTCTTGCGGTTCTTTGAATAGGTTGAGTTTTTCTTGCCTCTGGATCTTTGTACTTGCTGTGCCCTTTGTATAAAAAGCTCTTCCTTCACTTTTCTTTGTGCCTGGCTCCTTCTCAGCCTTCCATGACCGTGCTTTCTAAAATAGGTCCTCTCTCCCTGTTCTGCCTCTCAGCATCCTGCCTGCTTCCTTCATAGCTCTATCATAATCTTAAAGTGGTATTTGCTTACTTCCTAATCAGGTTATTTATTTATTTGATCTGCTCCCCACTCCCTGCTCCCTGCCATAATATAAGATCCATGAAGTTAGAGACTGTTCTCTTTACCCCAGTACTCAGCTTAGTGTTTGTACAGAAAACAGTATCGATTAATATGTGTTGGATAAGGTGCAAATGGAACTCCCAGGAGTCAGGCTTGGCTGTACAATTGGTAGTTCCTTTTCCTCCCCTCAGCAGTGCTGCACTTGAACAAAAACCTCTCTGCTTATACTCACTTTATCTCATCTAATCCTTTTCACATTATTATCTTGGTTTGGCTGGGCCCTAGGCTTCTGTTTTGTAGATGACTGTTACGTTTGCTCCATGTCACCCTGATTCTCCACCACGGCTTTTGCCTCTGGTTTTTGCTGTGTGACCTGATTTCTCCCAACTCCTGCTGCTTTCCTTCTTAGCAATGGCTCCTGTGACATTGTCACTGACTTGACTGGATTAGATTCCCATAGCAGATGCATTCCAATTAAAATTAAAAAAAATTTAATTGAACAAAAATAAGCTATACTTTCATAAAAAGAAAAATAAAAACCAGATTTTAACATAATTTTAATTAAGCTCAGCTTAAATTTTTTATTCTTATTTATTTATTTATATTGGAGACAAGATTTCTCTTTGTCACCCAGGCTTGAGTGCAGTGGCACAATCATGGCTCACTGAAGCCTCATCTTGCTCTCAAGTGATCCTCCTGTCTCAGCCTCCAGAGTAGGTAGGACTACAGGCACACTCCAGCCTGCCTGGCTAATTAAAAAATAAATTTTTTTGTAGAGAGAGTCTCACTATGTTGCCCAGGCTGGCCTCAAACTTGGCCTCACATGATCGTCTGCCTTCAGCCTCCCCAAATGCTGGGATTACAGGTGTAAGCCACCATGCCCAGCTGAGGTCATCTTAATTAGACAATTAAAAATAATACATGGGTTGGTTATTCAATTCCATACTCCAATTATAAGACTTAACGAAACTATTTATTATGAACCACTTTTGAAAGTTTTACTAAAAAAAAAAATCTACATTCAGGATATTCTTCCAGGAACTCAGAGTGCCCAAATTCTTTAATCAATTTATGTGATGAGAAATACACCTAAAATGACCTTACTAAACCCCACCACTAGTTGGAAATCAAGACATGGAAATTCTTATCAGGAATTCAATGACTTTCTCAGAAGAGACTAAATCTTTATCACTAAATGCCCTTCATTCTTAGCAAGGGATTTGGGATTTTGAATGTCATCTAGAAGGAAAATTCCTTTCCTAAAAGGACAATTTCCTTTACTTTGATTGGTGCCAGTGTTTCTATTTTCGTGTCTAGACTGAAACCACATTATCTTCCTGCTACCTAGTTTTTGAACTCTTTCAACACCCTCTGCCTCAATGGAGAATAGAACCAGCCTCAGAAACTTACTCTTATCTTTGTTGGTGTCCCTTCTGTGCATCAGATGGAGGCTTTACATTATGTTTGGAGGGAGCAGGCGGGAGGAGCAGCTGGTATGAGAAGTGAGCAGCCTGACAACAGTAAAAGTGAGAAGCTTGTGAGCATGTGTGTGTGCACGTGCGTGTGTGTGAAGAGAGAGAAAGTGCCATAATATGAAAATTTGCCCATAAATTGTAAACCTTGCAGTCTGTTCTCCAGAGCTAACAGTACAGTAAATGTGCCAGGTAAAAAGTCAGTGAGACCCTAGACGTTGTGAAAATCAGAACAGCAGAAATTTGGATTAATATTTGTTAAAACAAAGCCCAATTTACAAAGAATTTCAGTGATACATTATAGCATTATGTTTTTCATTGTTTCTTTTAGATATAATTCAATTTACATATTTAATTTACTCAGAATACTTTTGTGCCCTTATACTGTGTCTGGTTCTGTCACAGCCTCTGGGGATGACAGGGAACAAGACAAAGACTATTCTCATTGAATTTACTAATTTTATTTTCTTTTCATTTTGAGACAGGGTCTCATTCTGTCACCCAGGCTGGAGTGCAGTGGTGTAATCTCAGCTCACTGCAACCTCCGCATCCCAGGATCAAGCCATTTTCCCACCTCAGCCTCCTGAGTAGCTGGGACTACAGGTGCGTGCCACCACACCTGGCTAGTTTTTGTATTTTTTTGTAGAGACAGGGTCTCACTGTGTTGCTCAGGCTGGTCTCAAACTTCTAGGATCAAGCAATCTGCCTGCTTTGGCCTTCCATACTAATTTTTTTTTTTAATGGCAGAACACTGAGGCTATTTGGGATTGCTGTAACTGTTGTTTTTACACAGTGAAATAAACATTGTCCCTTTTTCAAGTTTGAATTATTATTTTTTAAGTTTCAATTATAAATAAATTATTTTAACATTAGGTTTGTTGTTGCAACAATGCATTTTATAGAGCTATCTAATTGAAATCTTTCAACTTTTTATCTGGAATGTTACCTGAAATTGAAAGCCTACATATCTTTTCAAACATTAATGTTAGCCCAGGATGACACATTTAATTGGAGATTATAAACTATAATTTTTATCTTTTTCATTTTGTGAGCCATTCATTTTTATTCTATTGTATTTAAATCTAATTAAATGATTAATTTGAATAGGTAATATATAAACATATTACAGCATTAAAAATATGCACAGAGACATGAATACTAAGAGTACATTTCCCTTACTTCCTCTCTCCTGGCCAGCTTCTCCTCCCTGTAGGCAACCTTTGTTATGAGTTTCTTATATATGTTTAGAAAGATATTCATTACGTAAGCAAGCATATGTATGTATGTGTATATATATATTTCTCTGCTTCTGCAAACCCAAAAAGAATTATAATACACATATTTTTCTGCATTCCTTCACTTAACAATATATCTTTTTATTCCAAATTAGTATATATAGAGAGCTCCTTTTAACAGTTACATAGAATTCCATTGTGTAAATATACTATATTTTATTTAAGCAGCTCCTGTTGATGGACATTTAAGTCCTTTCCAATCTTTCCAAATAATGCAATGATGTATATCCTTGTGCATGCATAATTTGGCAAATATTCATATGTATTGTAGGATAAATATCTGGAACTGGAATTCCTGGGTCAAAAACTAAGTACACTTGTGCTTTTCATATATATTGTCAAATTGCTGTCAGTATGTTGTATCAATTTACACTGATAATATATTCTTTGGGCAAGCTTTTGAGAAAACAGGTTCTTAGGTATTGCCAAGTTTTTGATTCTTATCAATCTAATGGGTAGAAAAAGCTACCTCTTAGTAACTTTAATTTGTATTTCTGTTATTATGAGTAAGACTGAGCATCTTTTCATATATTTAAGACTTATTCACATTTCCTGTTTTTTAAATGGCTTAAAACAACACAAACTTATTAAATTATAGTTTTGGAGGTCATAAGTCTTTTCTCCACATTTCTTTTCTAGAAACTGTCTGTTCATAATCATTGCTGGTTTTTCAACAGAGCTAGTGGCATTTAGCCCTAGTGTAATGCAAAATATGTTGCAAATATTTTATCCAATTTTTTGCTTTCTTTTAACCTTGTGATGGTGTTTTTTTTTTTCCCGTAGAGTTTTTATGTGGTTGAATTTATCAACCTTTCATTTTATGTTGTCTAGTTTTGTATTATATTGAGAAAGGCCTTCTTACCTCAAAATTATAAAAATAATTCTCTCATGTTTTCATACATTTATAGTTTTCGTTTTGTTTTTAACATTTAAATATTTAAGACTTCTGGAGTTTTTTTGGTGTAAGATATGATACTGGGACAAAAGGAACTCTACTGGTTAAGCTCAGCTAAGAATGATAATTAAAGTAATGAGATATGGATAAGACTGAAGTTTCTGTGTCTCTCTCATGCAAATTCAGAGCTTGTATGATATTTCGTGATGAAGGATTTCTGCTCTTTCCATTTCATTACTTCACTATCAGAAACTTCTATTTCCAAGGTCACTTTATGGTCCAAGATGGCTGTTGGAGTGCCATCCAAGACTTACGGATTCCAGCCAGCAGGAAGGAGGAAAGGATGAAAAAAGCCATATCCTTTCCCTTTAAAAACACTTACTGAAAGCGGTATATCAATTCTATATTCATCCTTATTGGCTAGTACTTAAGTCACAAGGCCAAAGTGAACAGTCAGGGAATCAGGGAAATGAAACTATGTATCCAGCTAAAGATCAGGAATTCTGTGACCAAAAAAGAAGCGGAGAATGAATATTGAGGGATATTTCATAGTCTGTGCCACAAGACCCAATTTTATTAATTTTCTAGATGGCTATCTGCTTGTTCCAACAGTATTTATAAAGTAATTCATTGTCATCCACACTTCTGAAATGCCACTTTGTTAATTTTTATACGTACTGGGTCTATTTTTGGATGTATTCTATTTCATTTTCTGTTCTGTTTATATGCCAGGACCACACTGTTGTCTTTTTAGTCTACAGTCTTTCATATCAGAAAATATTATTTTTACTTATTTTTTCCTTCAGAATTTAGCATTTTTTGGGAGGGCTATTATAGGATTTTTTTTTTAAATAATATGATTGGTCCATAGATATTTGGAAAAAAACTTTATCATCTCTTTCCAGAGTATAAAAGTGGTTTTTAAAAAATAACATATATATCTATTTTATTAGGCATTTTTTCCCTAAATTCTTATTTATTTTTGTTTGAGCGTTCATAACCTGGGAAAAATGAATAAAAACTACTACCATTAATATATTTCTGTATATTTCTTCTTGTAGTACCTTGTATTTTTGCTTCATAAATGTTGATGATTGGTTATTAGGTGCATAGGTATTTGTTACTTTTAGATATCCATTGTGTGTCACGTTTTTTATTCTGATAAAATATCTTTGTTTTGGTTAAATACTTTTGGCCTTGAATTCAGCTGGATCAGAATATTAAGATCATGACTGCTTCTTTCCTAACGGTTTATATATGCTGACATATTTGCCCACTATTTTTCACTTTCAAGTTTTTTGAATCACTTTTTAAAGTTGTTCCTTTTATATCTTAGCATTTTGCTGAGTTCAATCAGTTCTTTCTCTCTTTATTTTTGAGTGAGTTTTCTTATCTGATATATTTGTTAGTTCTGTTCTTAAGTTTCACTCTGTTTCTGTAACTTAAAAAACTCATAAATAACCTGCCTTTGCTTTGCTTTCTATTTCTTTTGATAATTTGGAGGGTTTGTACTTGGTTAAAACTTTATTAAATATTCTTAATCATTTTTTTTAGTAAATATATCAACTCCATACTATAAGCAATGAGAAAATGAGTATATTTCTACATTCTCTGACTACTTTTACCCAACTATTTGGTTTTAGTTATTTATATTCTTTTTCTAAGTATTTACCTTTAAGTATATTGTATATCCATTACTTGAAAAGTTCACTTTAAATGATCTCTTTTGACTTCTGGCTATCGGCATTATTATACTAAAGTAACAGGGAGAACAAGTAACACACAAAGCTTACCAGATAAATGTAGCCACCAAGTCCATGAAAATTGTGACCAAAACCCTCCACGACATCAATAAAATCTTAAAGAAGCAATGAAGAAAGAATCAATATCATGAAAATGGCAATACTGCCCAAGGTAATTTATAGATTCAATGCCATCCCCATCAAGCTACCAATGACTTTCTTCACAGAATTGGAAAAAACTACTTTAAAGTTCATATGGAACCAAAAAAGAGCCCACATTGCCAAGTCAATCCTAAGCCAAAAGAACAAAGCTGGAGTCATCATGCTACCTGACTTCAAAGTATACTACAAGGCTACAGTAACCAAAACAGCATGGTACTGGTACCAAAACAGAGATATAGACCAATGGAACAGAACAGAGCCCTCAGAAATAATGCCGCATATCTACAACTATCTGATCTTTGACAAACCTGAGAAAAACAAGCAATGGGGAAAGGATTCCCTATTTAATAAATGGTGCTGGGAAAACTGGCTAGCCATATGTAGAAAGCTGAAACTGGATCCTTTCCTTACACCTTATACAAAAATTAATTCAAGATAGATTAAGGACTTAAATGTTAGACCTAAAACCATAAAAACCCTAGAAGAAAACCTAGGCAATACCATTCAGGACATAGGCATGGGCAAGGACTTCATGTCTAAAACACCAAAAGCAATGGCAACAAAAGCAAAAATTGACAAATGGGGTCTAATTAAACTAAAGAGCTTCTGCACAGCAAAAGAAACTACCATCAGAGTGAACAGGCAACCTACAGAATGGGAGAAAATCTTTGCAATCTACTTATCTGACAAAGGGCTAATATCCAGAATCTACAATGAACTCAAACAAATTTACAAGAAAAAAACAAACAACCCTATCAAAAAGTAGGTGAAGGATATGAACAGACAATTCTCAAAAGAAGATATTTATGCAGCCAAAAGGCACATGAAAAAATGCTCATCATCACTGGCCATCAGAGAAATGCAAATCAAAACCACAATGAGATACCACCTCACACCAGTTAGAATGGCAATCATTTAAAAAGTCAGGAAACAACAGGTGCTGGAGAGGATGTGGAGAAATAGGAACACTTTTACACTGTTGGTGGGACTGTAAACTAGTTCAACCATTGTGGAAGTCAGTGTGGCAATTCCTCAGGGATCTAGAACTAGAAATACCATTTGACCCAGCCATCCCATTACTGGGTATATACCCAAAGGATTATAAATCATGGTGCTATAAAGACACATGCACACATATGTTTATTGCGGCACTATTCACAATAGCAAAGTCTTGGAACCAACCCAAATGTCCATCAATGATAGACTGGACTAAGAAAATGTGGCACATATACACCATGGAATACTATGCAGCCATAAAAAATGATGAGTTCATGTCCTTTGTAGGGACATGGATGAAGCTGGAAGCCATCATTCTCAGCAAACTATCACAAGGACAAAAAACCAAACACCGCATGTTCTCACTCATAGATGGGAATTGAACAATGAGAACACATGGACACAGGAAGCGGAACATCATACACCGGGGCCTGTTGTGGGGTTGGGGGAGGGGGGCGGGAGAGCATTTGGAGATATACCTAATGTTAAATGACGAATTACTGGGTGCAGCACACCAACATGGCACATGTATACATATGTAACTAACCTGCACGTTGTGCCCATGTACCCTAAAACTTAAAGTATAATAAAAAAGAAAGAAGCAATGAAGACATTTATAAGATAAAAATTCATTGCCAGGACTTGATGGCATTAATAAATAGATATTCAAAGCAAATATACAAGAGTTTAGAAAAGTTGGTCAGATACCAGAAAAAGATGGAAATGAACTCAAGAAAGTAAGACTGTTGGAAACAAAGGAAGGGACACATGAGATAGAAATGAGAAAAGTGAAAAAACTTTTAAAAAACAAAAGAGAGAAAATGACTGATACTAAAGACAAAGGAGCTCTATCATAGGTGTTTGGTATCTCTAATTATGAGAAACAAATTAAGATTTTTTTAAATATGTAAGTCAAAAAACAAAGAATAAATCAAAGAAGATGAAAAGATTTGAAGAGTGAAAGAACACACTGTTGTAGGAAAATTTAACACACAAAGTTTGAAAACCACACATATCCAAGTAAAATGAAAGGACTTCAGATAAATAATCCTTTAGGCATTGAGGCAGAGAAGAACAAGCCATCTGTAAGGGGAAAAAAAATCAGGTTCAACTTGGATTTCTCCTCAGCAACATTTAACATGAATACATAAATGGGAAATACATGAAAAATCTTCAGGAAAGAAAACATAACTCTGAGATACGGGGGGAAAAGTTATTTTCCCACTTTCACTCACCACTCAACACAACACTTCTGACACCTGATGTGTGTGGGATTTTCCCCACAAACCAAGCAACTCTCCAGTGGACACCAGCTAGGTTGTCTTCTAATTCAATTCAATTCAATTCTGACACTGTCTGCCTGGAGGTAGCCCCAGATCCCACAGGTTAAGGGGGTTCAGTCACAGAAGACTGTCCCCTACTTCAAATTCTAATCACAAGTTCCAGGCTGTGACCTATATTTCTGACCTACCATTTATAAATCAGGGTTCTCATGACCTTCAACTCAGTTTGAATAATTGGCTAGGACTGCTCACAGAACTCAGGGAAACACTTTGCTTACATTTACCAGTTTATCAATAAAGGATATAATAAAGAATACAGATAAAGAGAGGCACAAGGCAAGCTCTGGAAGGACTGAACACAGGAGCTTCTGTGCCCATTTACGTGGTTGTGCCACCCTTCCAGCACATGATGCATTCACCAGTCCAGAAGCTCTCCCAACCTTATAGTTTAAGGACTTTTATGGAGGTTTATTAACTCCATTTTCAGTCCCTCTGTCTGCTCTAGAGAATGAGGGGTGAGACTGAAAGCTCCAAGCTTCCAATCATGGCTTGGTCATCCTGGTGACCAGCCCCCTTTAGGAGCCCAGCAAAAGTCACCTCATTAGAACAAAATATGCTCTTATTACCCAGTAAATTTCAAGGGATTTAGGAGCTCATTGTCAGGAACCAGAGTCAAAGATCAAATATTGAACAAAAGATTCTCCTAGCACCCCTATCACTCAGGAAAATGCAAGGATTTTAGGAGCTCTGGGCCAGGGGCTGGGGGCAGTTACATATATGTCTTACTATTTCACAGTAACCCAAGGATTTAATCCCCAACCAAATAAGCCTCAAATATAAAAATATGGGAAAAATTTGCACTTCTAAAAAGTCAAAGAATACATTTCCCCCTAAGCCCTTCTGAAAGATGATGTTAGAGAACAAACAGCAACGGAAAGAGATGAATAGAGAACCTCCAATAAATAGAACTGAAAGTGAGCATTGACTCTACCCATAGGACTAAAATTAAAATAAGTCTAAAATGACAAAAGTACTTGCTATTTTTCATGGCTAGCATATATATTTAATAATTTAAGAGAAAAATAATTAGACTTTATTGGGAATTCAGTTTTGTTGTATTCTGCATCCAGACTAAAGAACTTTTAGGTTTCTTTCTCTTAGATCAATTTCAAAGTATATAAAATTTTTATTTGAATAAGATAATAACAGTACAACTGCCATAATTTTGAGCTGATCCAGAGTTGTGGTTTTTTTTTTTTTAATTTTTGTAAAAGCCATATATCTGCATTGTAGAAAGTTAGAAAGTACAGATAAGCAAAATTAAAATATCATGTTTCTATCACCAAGAGATTACTATTCTTAACCTTTTAGTGTATATCCATGTTTTGTATGAAACCGTTTTTCTCAAAATTTATTTTTTGAACATTCAGTTGGAAAAAATATTTTTTCTCTATCAAAATAAATCTATTAACTGTATTTTGTGTCTGTGTTCATGAAAAAGTAAACTCTAGTGTAAAGAGAAACCCAAGAGATGGCGCAGAGAAGCAAAAAGAGAAAAAGACTTGAACGTCTAAGGAAGTACAAATTCATTTGATGGTGAATTGCTCTCTTTTATAGATAACTTCATGAGCATCCACAGACTCTGCTTAGCAACACAGCTGGAGGTTATCAGTTCAGACAGGCTAGAGAAAAATGTCCAAATTACTTCTCAACCAAAATGGAAATGTTTTCCAAACATTGCAGAATAGGAAGAAGCCCAGAGAATGAGTGAGAGCAGCAAGTCCAAAATATAAAGGAAACAATTCATTCTGTAGTTCCAGTTTTTAAATGACAATAAAATTGGCCTATCGCTTTTTGCCTGGTCTTCTTCTAAGCACCTCACATGTATTACTGCATTTTTTTTGTAACATTATTAAATAAAATTGTTCCTCTGTATTGCCATCAGTAATTCAAATGTTCATATATTGGAGATTTGTTTTTATTGGGTAGTATATGGTAAATGAGACACTCCTGATAAATGATTTTACCTAAGGAGGAAGATGGCTCAAAACGGGCTTTGTAAAGATAGGCTTTACAGTGGAAGTGGAACAGATTACATACAACAAGGCCTTGAATGCCAGGGTTTTTGCTTTGGATGGAAATCTTTCTGAAAGGCAATGGTAAATCTTTGGAAATTTTTGCTTAAAAGAGATTATATGACCAAAGCAGAGTGCAAACTTTTCTTCTGTAATTATTTGATTTTGATACCTTCAAAGTTAAACTAGCTTTGTAACATGGTTGGATATTAAGAGATGGAATGCATGATACTGAGTTAGTTGTGAGAACTTCAGTGGGCCCAGGTAAGTACGATCACGAAAAAAGTAAGATTGTTTGAAGACTGTAATATTGCATTCCGATGCAAACTTATGACTTTGTCATTTTACTAATTTTGTGATTTGGGGCAAATTTTCTAATCTATGAGTTTTAGCTTTTATATCTGTAAGATATTAAAAGTATTTTATTTTTTTCTATGCTATTATTGTAAATGGATTTATTTTCTTAATTTTCTTTTTAGATAGTTATTAGTGTAAATAAATGCAACTGCTTTTAAAATTTTTTATTATTTTTATTTATTTATTTATTTATTTGAGATGGAGTCTTGCTTTGTTGCCCAGGCTGGAGTGCAGTGGCGTGATCTTGGCTCACTGCAACCTCTGCCTCCCGGGTTCAAGGGATTCTCCTGCCTCAGCTTCCTGAGTACCTGGGACTACAGGCTCCTGCCACCATGCCTGGCTAATTTTTGTATTTTTAGTAGAGACAGTGTTTCACCATATTGGCCAGGCTGGTCTTGAACTCCTGATCCTGTGATCCACCCACCTCGGCCTCCCAAAATGCTGGGATTACAGGTGTGAAATTTTTAATTTTTATTTTGTTCACAGGTACATGTGTAGGTCTGTTACATAGGTGAGTTTGTGTGATGGGAGTTTTTTGTACAGATTATTTCATCACCCAAGTATTAAGCCTAGTATCCATTATTTATTTATTTATTAATCTTCTCCCTCCTCCCACCCTCCACCATAAGGTAGGTCCCAGTGTGTGTTATTCCCTTCAATGTGGCCGTGTGTTCTCATCATTTAGCTTCCACTTGTAAGTGAGAATATTCTGTATTTGTCTTTCTGTTCCTGCATTAGTTTGCTATAGATAATAGCCTCCAGCTTCATCTATGTCCCTGCAAAGGATATAATCTCACTCTTTTTTATGGCTGCATAGTATTCCATGGTGTATATGTACCACATTTTCTTTATCCAGTCTAACATTGATAGGCATTTATGTTGATTCTATGTCTTTGCTGTTGTGAATAGAGCTGCAATGAACATACACGTGCATGTGTCTTTATGATAGAATGATTTATATTCATTTGGGTATATACCCAGTAATGAGATTGCTGGGTTGAATGGTATTTCTGTTTTTAGTTCTTTGGAGAATCATTACACTGCTTTCCACAATGATTGAACTAATTTACATTCCCACCAACAGTGTATAAGCATTCCCTTTTCTCTACAACCTTACCAGCATCTGCTATTTTTGATTTTTTAATATAGTCATTCTAATTGGATGTGAGATGGTATCTCGTTGCAATTTTTATTTGCATTTCTCTAATGACCAGTGATGTAATATTTTTAAATGTTGATTTTGTATACTGCAACTTTACCAGCTGCAGAATGTTGTTAAATTTAAACCTCACTTTTTTGAATATTGATTTTGTATACTTCAACTTTACTAGTTGCAACTTTACTAGTTCTAACAGTATTTTTTTTGGAGCTCTTAGGGTTTTCTACATATAGGATCATGTTATCTGCGAACAGGAATAGTTTTACTACTTCTTTTCTGATATCTAAATCAGATGTCTTTTATTTCTTTTTCTTAACCGATTGCTCTGGTGGAGACTTCAAGTACTATGTTGAATATAAGTGGCGACAGTCGGGATCCTTGCTTTATGCCAGATCTTAGAGGAAATGCTTTCAATTTTTTCCCATTGATTATACTGTTAGCTGTGGACTTTTCATAAATAGCTTTTATTGTGTGAGGGAATTTCCTTCTATACCTATTTTGTTGAGAGTTTTTATCATGAAAGGATGTTGAATTTGCCAAATGATTTTTCCACATCTATTGAGATGATTGTGATTTTTTTTTTATTTGGGGTTCCATTTATTCCCTCTGCTTTATTTTTTATTTTTATTTTTTATTATACTTTAAGTTTTAGGGTACACGTGCACAACATGCAGGTTTGTTACATATGTATACATGTGCCATGTTGGTGTGCTGCACCCATTAACTTGTCATTTAGCATTAGGTATATCTCCTAATGCTATCCCTCCCCCCTCCCCCCACCCCACAACAGGCCCCAGTGCATGATGTTCCCCTTCCTGTGTCCATGTGTTCTCATTGTTCAATTCCCACCTATGAGTGAAAACATGCGGTGTTTTGTTTTTTGTCCTTGCGATAGTTTGCTGAGAATGATGGTTTCCAGCTTCATCCATGTCCCTACAAAGGACATGAACTCATCATTTTTTATGGCTGCATAGTATTCCATGGTGTATATGTGCCACATTTTCTTAATCCAGTCTATCATTGTTGGACATTTGAGTTGATTTTTATCCTTCATTCTGTTACTGTGGTATATGACAGTGATTGATTTGTGTATGTTAAACCAGCCTAGCATTCTGGGGATAAACCCCCCTTTGTCATAATGTATAATGCTCTTGATATGTTGTTGAATTCAGTTTGCTGATATTTTATTGAGGAGATTTACATCTATGCTCTTCAAAGATACTGGTCTATAGTCTACTTTTCTTGTGGTATCTTTGTTTGGTTTGGTATCAGGATGATGCTGGCCTCATGAAACGAGTTAGAAACATTCCTTTTACTTCTATTTTTTGAAGAGTTTGAAAAGAATTGGTGTTAATTTTTCTTTGAATGTTTGGTGGAATTCAGTGATGAAGCTATCTGGTCCTTGGCTTCTATTTGTTGAGAGGACGTTGATTACTATTTCAATCTCCTTATTAGTTATTAATCTGTTCAGGATTTCTGTTTCTTTTTGATTCAGCCTTGATAGGTTGTATATTTCCACAGTTGTATCCATTTTCACTTATACAATATATTGGCATATAATTGTTCATAATAGTCCCTTGTGATCTTTTAAAATTTTTATTACTGAGGCATCCATTGTAATGTCTCTTCTTTCCTTTCTAATTTTATTAATGTAACCAAAGAGGTGACAGATTTGTTGTCTTAGTCCATTTGTACTGCTGTAACAAAATACCTGAGACTTAGTAATTTTTAAAGACTGAAAAGCCTCAGGCACCCTACTCTAATTGGTGAAAGCTGTGGCATGGGCTGCACCAAGCAAAGATTTGTCTCATGGAGAAATCTATTTTTCCAAGGTCAAGGAACCAGCTGGTTCAGTATCTAGTGAGGGCCTTTTTCATTGATAGCGTCTTCTCACATTGGCACTCTCACATGGTGGAAGATGGAAGAGTAAGAGAGGTGAACACTCTCTGAAGCTTCTTTTATAAGGGCATTAATCTATTTATAAGGTCAGAGCCCTCATGACTTAATCATTTCCCTAAAGGCCTCAATTCTTAATATACCCACAATGGAGATTCAGTTTCAACATGAATTTTGGAAAGAATATCACATTTACACCATAGCATCTATACACTGAAAACTATAACACGCTAATGAAAGAAATTGAAGAAGACAGAAATAAATAGAAAGATATCCTGTGTTCATGGATTGGAAGAACTAATATTGTTAAAATGTTTACACTATTCAAAGCAATGTATAAATTCAATGCAGTCTATCAAATTTCAATGGCATTTTTTCATAGAGATGGAAAAAAACAATTCCTATAGAACCACAAAAGATCCTGAAGATTCTAAATTTCATACAGAACCACAAAACATCCTAAATAGCCAATCTTGAGAAAGAAGTACAAAGTTGCAAACACCATACTTCCAGATTTCAAATTATGTTACTGCATATATAGTAACCAAAACGGTTTGATACTGGCCTAAAAACAGACACGTAAACCAATGGAACAGAATTAAAAGCCCAGAAATAGGCCCAGGAATATATAGTCAACTAATTTTCAACAAGAGCACCAAGAATATATAATGGAGAAAAGATAGTCTCTTCAGGAAATGATGTTGGGAAAACTGGATAGTCACATGCAAAATCATAAAATTGGACCTTTATCTTATGCCACACACAAAAATCAACTCCAAATGGATTCAAGTAATACTTGAAACCATAAAACTTCTAGAAGGAAACATAGGGGAAAGGCTCCTTGACATTGGCTTTGGAATGTAATTTTGGTCATCATACAGGCAACAAAAGCAAAAATAAACAAATGGAACTATATCAAACTGAAAAGCTTTGCACAGCAAAGAAAACAATCAACAAAATGCAAAGGCAACTGACAGATTGGGAGAAAATATTTGTAAACCATATTCCTGATAAGGTATTAACATCCAAAGTATATCAGGAACTCAAACAACTCAATAGCAAAAAGCCAAATAACCTGATTAAAACATGGGTAAAGGTCTCAAATAGACATTTTTCCAAAGAAGACACAAAAATGGCCAACAGGTGTATGAAAAGGTACTCAGCATTGCTAATCATCAGGGAAATGTAAGTCAAAACCATGGTGAGATATCCCTCACACCTGTTAGGATGGTTATTATGAAAAGATGAAAGATAGCAAGTGTTGGGGAGGATGTGAGCAAAAGGGAACCCTAGTACACTGTTGGTGGGAATGTAAATTGGTACAACTATTGTGGAAAATAGTGTGGAGATTCCTCAAAAATTAAAAACAGAACTACTATATGATGCAGCAATCCCTCTTCTGGGCATATATCCAAAGGAAATGAAATCAGTACCTTGAAAAGGTATCTGTTGTCCCATGTTCATTGCAGCTTTAGTCACAATGGCCAAGATTTGAAACCAACCTAAGTGTCTATTGACAAATGAATGGATAAAGAAATTGTGGTATATATGTGTGTATGTATATGTGTGTGTGTATGTATATATATATACACAATGTGATATTATTCAACCTTAAAAAAGAAGGAGATTCTGCCATCTTTGACAACATAGATGAATTTGGGAGATATTATGCTAAGTGAAATAAGCCAGACAGAAAAAAAAATACTGCATGACCTCATTTATATGTGGAATCTAAAAAAGTTGAATACATAGAAGCAGAGAAAGAACAGTGGTTACTAGGGACCTGGGGATAGGGGAAATGGGGAGATGTTGGTCAAAGGCTTCAAATGGACAGTTCTATGATGAATAAGTGCTAGAGACCTAATGTACACCATGGCGACTGTAGTTAATAATAATGTATCGTATACTTGAAATTTGCTAAAAGAGTAGATCTTAAGTCTTCTCACTACACACACACAAAAGTAATTACATGAGGTGATGGATATATTACTTGCTTGTGGTAATCATTTCACAAGGTATATGTGTATCAAAACATCAGTGTACACCTTGAATAGATATAATTTTTAAATTTGCCAATTATGCCTCAATAAAGCTTAAAACATATGGAAAGTAATGTTCATTTCACAGGGTTGTTAGAGTTGAGACAGTATCTACAAAGCAATTAATACAATGGCAGCCATATGTAATAGGTGCTTAATGGATGAAAAGTAATTCAAAACCCCAAAACAAACAAACTGAGGGGTAAGTTTTATGAGTAGAGGAAAGTTAATTGAAGGGAATACAGTATCCTTCTTTCTTTCATGTACCAGAGACACTTGTACTTAACAATTGTACAAAAATAATTTCTGTGTCTGTCTCCCCTCTACAGACTGTGAGATTCTCAAGATGGGAGAATGTCTTTATTGTTATGTACTCATACCTAGGACCATTGCTGACACACAACACATAATCAATATTTGTTGCAGTGAACTGAGCTGAAATTGACCACCATTAGCTGTTTCTCTCTGCATGCTACTGTATTATGGGAAAATCGCTGAACAAATATTCCCCAACCGTGGAGTATGCTTGTGGTTTTCTGACTTAAAATAGGAAGTATTTGATGTACGTAACATTCAAATTCTGCGCGGGCTCTGGGCGATACCTCAAAGGGAGAGATGTCATCTGAACCTGAGAGCGGAAGGACTACAGGACTGCTTTGAGGACGGACGTGTTATGTATTAAGATGTTCTGGACTGAGAAAGCAAAAAAGGTGTAGAATATGAATCTTAAATGGACAAATCCCAAGGACTCTGCTTCATTGATGTAAAATCAAGCTGTTTCTCATACAGGCGAGTTCTGCCTGAGAGCCTGATTGGGGTGAATGACAGCAGGGAGTTCCTTTCTTCCTTCCAGGTGGGCTAGGTGCTAAGTTACAAAGGTGAATCTCAGCTTCTGCCCCTGTGAGCTAGTCTAGTGTGACAATGAGGATGTGCACCTCCCCTACAATGTTCTACCTAGTTTGCACCAAAATAATCCTTAATGTTTATAGGTTTCTTAAACAAATTTTTTAACCCCTTTTCTTCTTGCCCCGAGCATCATTGTGTTTCTGGCTTAGCCAAAGTTTTCCTCTTGCCCCGAGTCTTGTCATCGTAGTCCTGGTTCAACTTCCACATTGCCAAATTCATAATAAATTATTATAGTGGTCATTTCAGAATGGAGGGGATTATTGGTGAATTTAATTTCATTTCTTTGGGTTTTTCCTTGATTTATTTTTAATTAAAAAAATGGAATGCTTCACGAATTTTCATGTCATCTATGCGCAGGGGCCGTGCTAATTCTTCTCTGTACTGTTAAAATTTTAGTATATGTGCTGCTGAAGCAAGCACTTCTTTTTCTATCACCTCCAAGTGGGCATTACTTTTGCTATTAGTTACAGAAGTTATTGAGAAAAAAAGAAAATTATCAACTTGCCCTGAGAAATCCTAATTATCTTCCTTTAAACATTTAAACTCATATAATTGTATTAACATTTTAACAGAGAAAATCTACACCCCCCCCACTTCCCACCTTCTGAGACATTAATGTGTTACATTCCACAGTTTTTGGGAGGTGGCATCTCTCCAGAGAGTACAGGATGGGGGAGTTACCCAAGGCTTGGCACGATTTACGCTGAGTGAGATCATTGCTCCATCTGAGGGTTCTTCACAGTCCAGAATGTTGAGAGATGCAGGACTCACTCCAAATGCCACATGAATCTGTGGACTGTGACCCAGTAATCACGTATCCCAAGAGGGGCTGCTAGATATGTTTTAAGAAGCCAGTTGGTATTAATTAATATTACTATTTTCTTGTCAGCTGCTTTTGACACTTCATAAAATTATTCATTAGCTAGTTAGCTCTCTTCTCGATTCTCTTTACTATGTTTGCACTAATTTAATTTGGAATTGTTACAACCATTGCCACAATTTTCAGTGTGGCAAAATCTTAATCATTAAATCCAGGGACCTATAAAAGTTCAAGATGATAGAATATTAGAAGTGTGTTTAATAGGCTTCCTCTGTGCAGCAGATACTAACTGGCTATAACAGTTTCGTCTTTTCCATGGGGATATGTTTCAAGACCCCCAGTGAATGCCTAAAATCATGGATAGTACCAAATCCCATATATACTATATATTTTTTCTATACATACATACCTATGATAAAGTTTGATTTATAAATTAGGCACATCGAGAGATTAACAATACCTAATAATAATATAGAACAACTATAACAACATGCTACCACCACTACTCTTGTGCTTTGGGGACATTATTAATTAAAATAAAGGTTACATGAACACAAGCACTCAGATACTGCAACAGTTGATCTGATAACAAAGAGAGCTGCTGAGTGCCTAGTGGGTGGGTGGCCTCTACAGCATGGCTACACTGGACAAAGTGATGACTCCTGTCCCAAGTGGTATGGAACAGGACAGCTTGAGATTTCATCATGTTACTTAGAATAGCTATCAATTTAAAACTTACGAATTGTTTATTTCTGGAGTTTTCAATATAATCTTTTAGGATTGTGGTTGACTGTGGGTAACTGAAACTGTGGAAAGCAAAACTGAGTATAAGCAGAAGCTACTGTATTTCTAAACTCAACCTTCTCTTTTCACTCAGCTCCTCTTAAACCTGTAAGTACTCACCAACCTTAACATGGAATACTAGAGTATTAAAATGAGTGATGATGGATGGGATTTATTTTGAGTACAGGTCAAGGTTGAAGTTACTTTCCTTAGAAATAAGCATCCTTACCACCCCTGACCCGTGATTACTCAACTGTTTATAGTGAAATTTTTTTGATTTTATTTTAAATTACAAAGAGAAGTTGTAGACTCACCTTCTCATATTTATGGCCACAGGAGAGATTTCAACAATCTGCAAATAATCGGGGATCCCTAAGAGTAGCCTGGCCAATATCCAGGTAGTGAACGAGTGAGATATGGAAACAGATTTATTGACCTATTCTGCCCCTCTTACATTGAGATCATTATCTACAGAAGCAGTCTTGCAATGAGTTGTTATTTTTTCACATAATAGGCCCTAATTCTTTTAGGTAAATGAATGCTGAAGTAGAGAGTAGTAAATAGATTACACAAAATTGCAGAATTGTCTCTCTTGCAAACATTGAGAAACTTGACAGACTTTTTAGAACTCCCTTTGTAGCGTTCAGTCAGATATTTCCTTAGTGCCCATGACAATCCTGTGGTTCTATTAAGCCACTGACTACTTACACATAAGGCTTCCAAAAATACATCTCATTAAAATCTCACAGAGCCCTAACAAGTGAGAATGTTAAGCCTATTTTAGAGAGAAGGAAATGGAGGCATAGAGTGGTTAGCAACATGCCCTAGGGCAGAGAGCCGAATAGCAGAACTGAGACTTGAAACTCTGGAGTCTTGTTGCCAAAGCTCGTGTGCTTTCCACTGGTCTGGAGTCAAGAGTTTGGAGGCACTGGGTGAGGGGAGATTGGGTGCTGAGGGTCAGTGAAAAGAGGCCTTTGCAGATAGCCTTTATCTAGTTGTAAATTTTTTCCTTCTTATTAGGTAGGTCTACTCTCCAAAGCCAGATTGGGAATTGATAGGCTGGTCTTTGGATCTGGAACCAAGGCAGTCACTAGTGACATAGGACAGCTGAATTTGAATGGTGTGTTGAAAAATGCTCATGCTGTGGGGTCAACTGCACCCCACACTCTCCTCCCTGCTCCCTGGCATCAGTCTATGGGGCCTCAGGCAAGCCTCTGACTTCCTGGGCCTCAGTTTCCTTATCTGTCAAAGGAAGGCAGTGAACTAGACAATCTATAAAGACCCTTCCTTCTGTGATAT
Source organism: Homo sapiens (assembly GCF_000001405.40). Taxonomy (NCBI): domain Eukaryota; kingdom Metazoa; phylum Chordata; class Mammalia; order Primates; family Hominidae; genus Homo; species Homo sapiens. The sequence continues at coordinate 149,931,893 of NC_000004.12, read as the reverse complement.
TCTGTGTTGCTGATACAGCCTCACTCTGAAGAGCAAGAGATTCATCAATCCATTACAAATTGAATTGGTTGTTAAAAGTTCTCCCATCTTATTTTGGTTTCAGAAATATGTAACACTGTACTGTTTTGGTAATATTTTCTTCCTCTCAGGGTAGATATAGTATATGATGAAAATTAAAAGAAGCCTGTGAATAGAAGTGAGAAGAGTTGGGACAGTGAATCAGGTGGCAGAATATCTGGAAGCTTCTTGCAGACACAGATGGTCGGCGTAAACTGTTGTGGCTGGGAATTTCTGCCAGACATCCCATGGAGTTTATTACTAAATGTGGGATCAGTAAACTTTTAAAAACATACTGTGCATGTAAAATCATTTAACATACTGAAAGTGCAAAATCTTTTTGTTTCAGCAATACCTAATTCTGCCCTTCTGCTTTATAAATAATTTAAATTAAAATCTCATCTTTGGTGTTGAACAGTTATATTTTTACAGTATTTTTGAATGACTCATTAGGAAAAGTGACGGTTCTGATTGTTTGGTAGCCCCTGGTTCTAGGATAAGCTTCACTTAACCTCCAAAAAAATTTTTAAGACAGAAATACTGTAAAGGACAATTAAATATAAAATTAATGTGAAACACTGTAATAAAATGAAAGGATATTATGCCACAGTGTGTGGTCTGAGTAAAAAGCATTAAGGTTGAACCAGCTGCTAAACTCTGCACTAAAGCAAAACAGTTAATTTTATAATGTAGCAGGCAACCATAATTAGGGAATGGTTTTATCTTTAAAATGTAACCCTGTATAGTAAAGCCAGAGAGCCTTGCAGGTGGAAGCTGGGATTTTTATGGAACATTAAAATGTTTCAGTATCCCAGCTGCAGAAATTTGTAATTGAATATACGCTGTTTTTCCTCAGCATATAATAGCTAATATTTTACAATTTATAAATATTTTCACATATATTATCAAACTTGATCATTGTACCCCAAAAGGTACGTGGAAGATATTATTGCACTAACAGCTTCACTTTAGGGATGAAAAATTGGGCTTCAGACAGGCTAATGACTTGCCCAAGTTAAAATAACTAGTAAGCAACATAGCCCATACTCAAAGTGAGTTTCTATTGCAGAGTCTGTCTCAGCAGCCGTAGACAGAAGCTTCATGGAAGAACATTTAGTAGTACTTATTTTGTCCGGAAATGAGTTGTAGACACTGGTACAATTTCTGCTTTGATCTTCAGGCAAAAATTATTTACAATTGAATCTCCAAGTTCATTCTTACCTAAGTAAGTCATCTGTGAATTGATAGTATGATGTCTATTTCTGGGGAAATTGAATTTGAGGTTTTTAGAACAAAATAAAATTGCCAAAAATCTTTGCTGAGTTGATATTAGTTTTTAAACTCTAAATATGTTGAAGCCAAAGGACATTGGCTGGCTTTTTTATTTGGCATGGCTAAAGGAGCCATCCCTTTATATGTAAACATATGTAAATAAATGCAGAAAAAGAAACTAATGGAGTATAGAATGTTGGAAGAGATTATTAGGTCAGTGAACCCAACCTCCTTCTCATGGCAGGAATATAATCCATATCTCTTTGGCAGGTATTTATCTAGTTCATTGCTTTAAAAGGCAATCAATTTTTTATAGGATGGCAGTATTCATTATGGACTTCTTTCTCAAAGTAAATCCAACACTGCTTCTTGTCAACTTCCTTAAATTGGTACAAGCTCCACCCACTAGAGACCCTCAGAGTTAGTCTAAGTTCTCAGGAAAGTCTTTTCTTGTTTGGTCCTTTTTTCTCTAGACCCCATTAAGTTATTATTTATGACATGGTTTCTAGACCCTTCCACTTTCTAGTCCTCTTTCCTTGGAAGTGTTTGTCAATGTATCCCTTAAATGCAGAATCCAGAGTTGAATAGAATCATCTAGATGTAATGATATTGAGTAGTGGTATGACCAATATTCTTGTTTTGGACACAAGGATTAATTCTCCTTAAGGATGCATCTTATATGTTAGTGCCCTGCCAGAAGTTTGACCGATAGCCGGCTGGGCCTGGTGGCTCACACGTATCATCCCAGCACTTTGGGAGGCCAAGCGGGGTGGATCAGTTAGGTCAGGAGTTCGAGACCAGCCTGGCCAACATGGTGAAACCCCATCTCTACTAAAAATACAAAAATTAGCCAGGTGTTGTGGTGGGTGCCTGTAATCCCAGCTACTCGGGGGGCTGAGGCAAGAGAATTGCTTGAATTTGGGAGGCGGAGGTTGCAGTGGGTGGAGATCGTGCCACTGCACCCCAGCCTGGGTGCCAGAGTGAGATTCTGTCTCAAAAATTTTTTTTTACTCATAGCCACATTGCAATTAAGAGAAGCTCATAGATTACTTTTCTGCCCCACTTGATTGCTCTTGTGCCAGATCTACCACATTCTGAACTCCAAGACGGTTTTTTTTTGATCCTCAGTGTAGCACTTCACATTGATTCCTAATACATTTTATTATGCTGGTTTTGACCTATTATTTTACAATTTTGAAATAGTCATTTTTAAACCTTCTCAAATTTGTATTCTCAGCAGATTTTGTGAGCATGCTTTAAGTGTCTTTATTTAAGTTGATAACACGTTTAAGAGTCAGGGTAGACTGTAATGTTCTGTGGAATGCATCTAGGGACTTCCCTTAATATTGACAAAAATCTATTAACATTCTTTGAGCACATTGCTTAACCAAGAAGAGTTCAGTCAGAAAGACTGTTATGGTCTAATTCTTCACGATTGAATTTGGGCCTTGGTTTCTGGTACAATCCCTTATACTGCACAGGTCCCTGACAAAGTTATGTGGAATTGAATGGAATGTCCCTCTTCATGGCTCTGCTTTGCATTTTGGATCTTTGGCTCCCTGTAATCAAACAAAATCTTATGTATACTTCAGAGGGTAGCTCATATCCCTCATCCTACAGAAAGTTTTTCTCTACTAATTCTAAGCTAATAAATCCTTTGAAAATTCTGTAGCTTAACTTGCTTGTATACAGAGCTGCACATTTAATTATGGGCAACTTCCTGCTGTTACTTAAAGTTTGTGAATGTAATTGTGTGTTTGCAATGGTGTTTGCATAGCAACACCTTTTTCTTTTTTTCAGTGCAACATTCTCTACTATTTCAGCCCCTTCTGGTTACATATTTACTGTCTGAGCATTACCCCAGTGTGGTCATATTTGATTGGTTCAAGTTTGGTTACCTGACCCAGGATTGGACAATCAGAGTGCTTCCCGGGAATTTTGAAAATCAAGAAAGAGGTGGCTAGCTCTCTTTAGAAGCCTAAATCTTGTAAAAATGTTTGGGAGTTATTCATGGCTGCAGCCTTGCCATCAGAAGACATGAATAAAATCAAATCAATGAGAGAGAGACAGAGAGAGAGAGAAGGTATGGGGGAGAGAGAAATGAAGGAGCTGTAGAGGAAAAGTAGCCATTACAACTGGAAAATTCTGATGAGATTTGAGTCCCTGAACTCAGTGTTCCCAAGATCCAGCCACATTCCTCAGCTTGGGCCCCATAAGATACACTCAATGAATTATCCTTTCTTAAGCCAGTTCAGACTGTTACTACAATATTTAAAACAGAAATTTTAGAGTTGTCCATTGGCATCTCCAATAGCAGAAAGGAACCCTAGAATTTGAGATGGAAGACAGGGTCTTCTTCTAGCTGGATAGACTGCCTCATACAATTTTTATTTTTTTCACATAGTATTTAAAAAATTAAAATAGTAGCCAGGTCTTTTAAAATTAGGACATTTATACATACTGGATATCTGGCTTCTCTTGAAAAGTTGGCAGATCTGGTGGCATTGGGTTGGCATCCTGCCTCGGCAACAGAGGCTGGAGCTGGAGACCAGTTACCTCCTTTAGAAGAGGAAGGCACTTTTTAGTTTGTTTGAGTGCTTACCATCCCCTACTTACTAGAAAATGAGGCCAAAATCAATCACATCACACACACAGACACACACACACACCATACACACAAATATGTATTTTTAAAAACAGTAACTTTAAGAATAAGGTAAAAATTTGCAAAAGGAAAGGCTGACAAAGCCATGTGTTTGAAGAAAACTTTATTTGTGAAAGTAAAAGCTACTCATTAACTTTATTGCTTTGCACCCATACGCATATAAGCCTGGAGAGAAATGTGCCCTGTAGAATGGAGAAAAGACAGGGCTTACCTAGAAAAATGGCCAATGTAATTAACCTGTGGTAGGGAATGGCCGATGAATTGCTAGAGATACTGGTGTTTAATGTTCACTATAAAGTTATTCCCGACTTTAATTATCCTCAGTAAACATATGTTGTATATGTTATATGTAATGGCCTTAGGTGAAGAGTGTTGGTGGAATAAAGGCAATGGGAATTTCAGTCTGGGACAGTAGCAAATCTCCAGTGAGCTGAGAACAATGGTTAGAAGCCAGCTGGCAGTGAGGAGGATTGAACTGGATGGAGGCATGAGAAAAACTAAATTTCCCAGAATGTACTAGACGATGACAAGATTATGCTATCGTGTGGGCTGGATGATGCAAATAATTGAGTAGAATCATTTTATTTGACATTAAATGCAATTACTTAAACAGCTAACATGACATTTACTGCCATGTAGTTTGAGTTTAATATTTTATCTCTTGGGTTTTGCCCTCATCATCAGCTGTTTCTAACACTTTATATTTGTCTTTTATTCAGACTCCTGAGTGAGATCTGACTCGGTGAGTCCATCTCTATCTAAGACAAAACATCTCTAGTGGCTAGGAGTCTTTTCCTAGATCTTCATATAAGTTGCATGACAGCCTGTAGCTGGTGGCTATTGGGTCAAATGTGGCCAAGGAAGTAGGTTCTAATGGGCAGTTTCCCAAGAGTAAGATAAATTTGACTCTAAATACCCTGCAGCATTGTACCTAATCATTCTACCTAATATCGTAAAATTTACTCTGTAAAGTCTTGTCTAACTCATCATATATTATTATTTGGAAGTGAGTAGGAGGGCACAGTTAATACATTAAAAATATAGAATAAATATTCTGATGTTTATTCTTGGTTTTGTAAACTCAAACATAATTATCATTAGTTCCTTGGTGGTTGTTATGTCTTAGTTTGGGCAGCTGTAACAAAGTACCATAAACTGGGTGGCTTATAAACATCAGAAGTTTATTTTTTACAGTTCTGGAGACTGGAAGCCCAAGATCAGGGTGCCAGTGTGGTCAGGTTCTGTTGCCTCTTCTGGGCTGTAGACAGCCAATTTCTCCTTGTATCCTCATGTGGTGGAATGGGAGCTATCTAGTTCTCCAGCCTCTTCTTATAAAGGCACTCTGCCAGTCCATTTTGTGTTGCTGTAAAGGAATACCTGAGACTGGGTAATTTATAAAGAAAAGAGTTATATTTGGCTCATAGTTCTGCAGACTGTGCAAGAAGTATGGTGTAGTCAGAATGGCTATTACTAATAAGTTGAAAAATAACAGATGCTGACAAGGTTGTGGAGAAAAAGGAATGCTTATACTATTGGTGGGAGTGTAAATTAGTTCAGCCACTGTGGAAGACAGTGTGATGGTTCCTCCGAGACCTAAATACAGAAATATCATGCAACCCAGCAATCCCATTATTGGGTATATACCCAAAGGAATATAAAGCATTCTATTTTAAAGAAACATGCATGAGTATGTTCATTGCAGCACTATTCACAATAGCAAAGACATGGAATCAACTTAATGCCTGTCAGTGATAAACTGGATAAAGAAAATGTGGTACATATACACCATGGAATACTATGGTATAAAGTTACCACATGTTCTCACTTGTAAGTAGAAGCTAAATGATGAGAACACATGGACACATAGAGGAGAATAACACACACTAGGACCTTTCAGAGAGTGGGGGGAAGGGAGGATGGAGATGATCAGAAAAAATAACTAATGGGTACTAGACTTAATATTGGGCAATAGAATAGCTGTACAACAAGCCCCCATGCTACAAGTTTACCTGTGTAACAAACCTTCACATCCTGCACATGTACCCCTGAACTTAAAAGTTTTAAAAAAAGAAGTGTGGTGCCAGCATCTGCTTCTGGTAAGGGCTTCAAGAAGCTTACAATCATGCCAGAAGGTGAAGGGGGAGCCGGCATATCACATGGCAAGAGAAGGACCGAGAGAGAGAGAGGAGGAGGTGCCAGGGTCTTTAACAACCAGGTCTCATGTGAACTCATTACCGTGGGAAGGACACCAAGCCATTAATGAGGGATCTGCCCCCATGACCCAAACACCACCCACTAGGCTCCACCTTCAACATTGGAGATCACATTTCAACATGAGATTTGGAGGGGAAAAACATCCAAACTATATCAAGCACTTATCCCGTTCATGAGCGTTCCATCCTTATGACCTAAGCATCTCCCACAGACCCTACCTCCAAATGTCATCACACTGGGATTAGAAGTTCAGCATATAAATTATGGGGGGACACAAACATTCAGTCTATTGCATGTTACTTTCATTTCATTCAACATTTCTTCAGCTTTGGTCAGAATGAACACCAATACATTCATAAGATACTTCATCTGAAGACTGAAAAATGGAAACTCTTTATGTGAAAGCATTTTCATATTTTATTTCATATACTTATCTTCATTTTATATAAGCTTGCACACATTTTATCAGAAAAAAAAACCTTAAGTACTCCAATATTTTATTTCTGAACTAAGTGTCTGGAATTAAACTTTGAGGGACATTTTATTTGAATAAGAGTTAACCAGAGTGTCAGCTGTGGTACGAAAACCTACTTTTATTTTCCTTTTTTTTTTTATATGGAGTTTTACTCTTATCGCCCAGGCTGGAGTGCAGTGATGCAATCTCGGCTCACTGCAACTTCTGACTCCTGGATTCAAGTGATTCTCCTGTCTCAGTCTCCTGAGTATCTGGGATTACAGGTGCGGGCCACCACGTCCGGCTAATTTTTTTGTATTTTTAGTAGAGATGGGGTTTCATCATGTTGGCCAGGCTGGTGTTGAACTCCTGACCTCAGGTGATCCACCCACCTCAGCCTCCCAAAGTGCTGTGATTATTTTACTTTTATCTAATGCTTTAGTCAACTTAATGTATGCTTGGCCTGACCTCACAATTTCTGTTTAGTAGAGTACAGTTTAAAGAATATTAATTGTGAAGGAACAGTCATTGAGTCATCTTTTAACATTTTTCTTTAAGTGAACAATGAAATTTGAAGCAATTTTGCCTTAAGGTCTCAGGCACTTCGTTGTTGAAACACTGCTCTGCGTGTAACTATGGTATATTTAGTTCCACCTTGTCACCTGCCTAGTGCTTATTAATACTATTGATACAGGAGTGCTGGGAAGGGAAGATTGTGGTCCCTTTAAATGATAAGGAACGGGGAAGGGAAGTGCTGGGTAGAGAAAGGCCTGTCCCTGGCTAGGGCTCCACCCCCATGGACCTAGGTGATGACAGGCATTTCTGCCTTCCAACCCAAATGTTGTATTTTCTAAGACCACCCTGGCCCGCCACACCCCCATCCTGGGCCTATAAAAACCTGAGACCCTAGCAAGGCAGAGACAGAAGCAGCTGGAAGTCATGAAGAATACTTTGGTAGAAGAAAACATGGGTGGCTTGTCGTTGAGAGCATGCTGACAGGCACCAGCAGACCGGCAGGCCATCCAGTAGCGGAATGTCCCAGAGTTTGGCCGGAGCAGTCTGAGAAGAGTCGGGGCTGCCTAGCAGCCTGACTCCAGGGGAAAACCATCTCTCTTCTGGCTCCATCATCTGTTGAGAGCCACTTCTACTCAATAAAACCTTGCACTCATTCTCCAAGACCATGCGTGATCGGATTCTTCTGGTACACCAAGGCAAGAAACCCTGGAATACAGAAATCCCTTTGTCTTTGTGATAAGGAAGGGGATCTAACTGAGCTGGTTAACACAAGCCGCCAGTAGATGGCAAACTAAAAGAGTATTCTGTAACACTCACCCACTGGGGCTTCAGGAGCTGTAAACATTCACCCCTAGACACTGCTGTGGGGTCACAGCCCCACAGCCTGCCCATCTCTATGCTCCCCTAGAGGTTTGAGCAGCGGGGCACTGAAGAAGCGAGCCACTTCCCCATTACACACCCTGCGAGGGGGACAAGGGAACCTTTCCCGTTTCACTATTGATTAGAAATGCCGCCCATCAAGTGTAAAATCAAATATTTGAAAGTCAAGTGAAATTATAAACTACATTTCCAGGCTTAATGTGCTGTTCTGAAGCTGGTTTGTGACATTCTCTGCCTATTCCCAGAAATGCCGAATTAGCAGCCAGTGATCCTGTTACATGGTATTTGCACGAAGTTGTCATCTTTCTAGTAAGGATGTGGAAACTGGACAAGAATAAACTTTAATAATGTTAGATTTGCACTTGAGGAAGCAGAGGTAAAATTACTAACAAGGAAACTACTGCGTCGAAGGCAGGACAGCCTCTAGGAAAAATTGAAAAACAGTGTCCAATGACGAGATATTTGCTTTGTAACTCATTGGCTGAATTCTGAATAGAAATGTAGAATTTCTGGGAATTTTGAAAATGTGGCAAAACAACAGGTTGGGAAAAGGATGTCTTGGTAATTTGAGGGGTTGGGGGCGGGGTAGATTCCAATGTACACATCGCTTATTTGTGTAGATTTCTCCACAGGTCTTGTCATTGTGTTAGTTTATTATATGTTAAGTGAGACAACTCCAACATGATTGTCATCTTGAATTTGGAAGTATAATTTGGGGCAATAATATAAAAATTGTTGTTTATTCTCAAATGTTCTAAAGAGTTTTAGAAAATGAGTTACAAACTTCTGTTGTTAAAAAAAGTAAAATCTTTAGATTTTTGACGATTTGCAGAAAATAGGCAACCACTTAAATGAAGAGAAAAAAGTCTCGGCTGGGCGTGGTGGCTCACCCCCGTAATCCCAGCACTTTGGGAGGCCAAGGTGGGCCGATCACCTGAGGTCAGGAGTTCCAGACCAGCCTGGCCAACATGGCGAAACCCCGTCCCTACTAAAAACACAAAAATTAGCCAGGCGCAGTGGTGGGTGCCTGTAATCCCAGCTTCTCAGGAGGCTGAGGCTGGAGAATTGCTTGGATACAGGAGGCGGAGGTTGCAGTGAGCCAAGATCGCACCACTGCACTCCAGCCTGGGCAACAGAGAGACTTCGTCTAAAAAAAAAAGTCGCCAATATTATAGTAAAAGAAAAAAGTCAATTAAAATTCCTGGATTTGCAGTACTCATTTTCAGAAAATAACCTGAGAAAAGGAAGGATCATGCCTACTCCCCTCCAATCCACAAACTACATTCAATATATTTTTCACCATATGGGAATGGGTCTACTCAGTTTTTTTCCATCCACCAAAATTGTCTGTTGTACTGAACTGCATTGACATACATTTCCTAAGCTATTGGTAGTTTTTTTAATTTAACTTTGATTTATGGAAACTTATTTTATATTTCATATAATAGAGCACAGATGGTCTCTGACTTATGATGGTTTGACTTAATGATTTTCAACTTCACAATGGGTTTATTGGCATATTAAATGCATTTTCGACTTATAATATTTTTGACTCCAGTGGTTTTATTGGGCTATAACCCCATGATAAGTCAAGGAGCATCTGTAATGAGAAACTAGTTAAAAGGCAAAGGAGTCTGAAGCCAGGTCACTTGTTTGGTATATGGGATACAATTGTCAGGAAATCCTTTTGCATTCCTGTACCAAACCTTGAAGATATTCTGATTACTGAAATGTTCGAAGAAGCTTTCCAGTGTCCAATTTTGTAACCCATTTAAATGCTTGCTCTTTTTTTATTGTAGCAAACCTATGCAGTGCCTAGTTTTCTGAATTTCCTCATTTATGTTTGCCCATTTTCTATCTCCATGAGCTTTCTTTTTTTTTTTTTTTAGCTATTCAATGATTATTTGAAATTTCACCTCCTACACTAGGATCTTGACTTTTTATGACAGTATCTTGGATACAAAATAATCTCTGAATAAATATTTGAAATCATTAATTATGTTGACTGTGTAGTAAACTCTAAAATACAAGTGGAATGATCTCATGTCCCAGAAATTTCTGAATTTTTAAATATTTGCCTACAAATGTAAAAACATGGAATAAAAGCAAAAAAGTTCTGACAATTTTGTGTAATGGGAAGGAAGCAAGTAGACCTGGGTCCTAGTCTTGACTATGCCTCATGTGTAATCGTTTCACTAGTCCTTTTTAATCCCCTTGAGCCTGTTAACCTTATTTTTTTATTTTTATTTTTATTTTATTTTTATTTTTTTTAAGTTTTTTTTTTCTTTTATTATTATACTTTAAGTTTTAGAGTACATGTGCACATTGTGCAGGTTAGTGACATATGTATACATGTGCCATGCTGGTGCGCTGCACCCACTAACTTGTCATCTAGCATTAGGTATATCTCCCAATGCTATCCCTCCCCCCTCCCCCCACCCCACAACAGTCCCCAGAGTGTGATGTTCCCCTTCCTGTGTCCATGTGATCTCATTGTTCAATTCCCACCTATGAGTGAGAATATGCGGTGTTTGGTTTTTTGTTCTTGCGATAGTTTACTGAGAATGATGATTTCCAATTTCATCCATGTCCCTACAAAGGACATGAACTCATCATTTTTTATGGCTGCATAGTATTCCATGGTGTATATGTGCCACATTTTCTTAATCCAGGCTATCATTGTTGGACATTTGGGTTGGTTCCAAGTCTTTGCTATTGTGAATAATGCCGCAATAAACATACGTGTGCATGTGTCTTTATAGCAACATGATTTATAATCCTTTGGGTATATACCCAGTAATGGGATGGCTGGGTCAAATGGTATTTCTAGTTCTAGATCCCTGAGGAATCGCCACACTGACTTCCACAATGGTTGAACTAGTTTACAGTCCCACCAACAGTGTAAAAGTGTTCCTATTTCTCCACATCCTCTCCAGCACCTGTTGTTTCCTGACTTTTTAATGATCGCCATTCTAACTGGTGTGTGGTGGTATCTCATTGTGGTTTTGATTTGCATTTCTCTGATGGCCAGTGATGATGAGCATTTTTTCATGTGTTTTTTGGCTGCATAAATGTCTTCTTTTGAGAAGTGTCTGTTCATATCCTTCACCCACTTTTTGATGGGGTTGTTTGTTTTTTTCTTGTAAATTTGTTTGAGTTCATTGTAGATTCTGGATATTAGCCCTTTGTCAGATGAGTAGGTTGCAAAAATTTTCTCCCATTCTGTAGGTTGCCTGTTCACTCTGATGGTAGTTTCTTTTGCTGTGCAGAAGCTCTTTAGTTTAATTAGATCCCATTTGTCAATTTTGTCTTTTCTTGCCATTGCTTTTGGTGTTTTAGACATGAAGTCCTTGCCCATGCCTATGTCCTGAATGGTAATGCCTAGGTTTTCTTCTAGGGTTTTTATGGCTTTAGGTCTAACATTTAAGTCTTTAATCCATCTTGAATTGATTTTTGTATAAGGTGTAAGGAAGGGATCCATTTTCAGCTTTCTACATATGGCTAACCAGTTTTCCCAGCACCATTGATTAAATAGGGAATCCTTTCCCCATTGCTTGTTTTTCTCAGGTTTGTCAAAGATCAGATAGTTGTAGATATGCGGCATTATTTCTGAGGGCTCTGTTCTGTTCCATTGATCTATATCTCTGTTTTGGTACCAGTACCATGCTGTTTTGGTTACTGTAGCCTTGTAGTATAGTTTGAAGTCAGGTAGTGTGATGCCTCCAGCTTTGTTCTTTTGGCTTAGGATTGACTTGGCGATGCGGGCTCTTTTTTGGTTCCATATGAACTTTAAAGTAGTTTTTTCCAATTCTGCAAGAAAGGCATTGGTAGCTTGATGGGGATGGCATTGAATCTGTAAATTACCTTGGGCAGTATGGCCATTTTGACGATATTGATTCTTCCTACCCATGAGCATGGAATGTTCTTCCATTTGTTTGTTATCCTCTTTTATTTCCTTGAGCAGTGGTTTGTAGTTCTCCTTGAAGAGGTCCTTCACATCCCTTGTAAGTTGGATTCCTAGGTATTTTATTCTCTTTGAAGCAATTGTGAATGGGAGTTCACTCATGATTTGGCTCTCTGTTTGTCTGTTGTTGGTGTATAAGAATGCTTGTGATTTTTGTACATTGATTTTTATCCTGAGACTTTGCTGAAGTTGCTTATCAGCTTAAGGAGATTTTGGGCTGAGACAATGGGGTTTTCTAGATATACAATCATGTCGTCTGCAAAGAGGGACAATTTGACTTCCTCTTTTCCTAATTGAATACCCTTTATTTCCTTCTCCTGCCTAATTGCCCTGGCCAGAAATTCCAACACTATGTTGAATAGGAGTGGTGAGAGAGGGCATCCCTGTCTTGTGCCAGTTTTCAAAGGGAATGCTTCCAGTTTTTGCCCATTCAGTATGATATTGCCTGTGGGTTTGTCATAGATTGCTCTTATTATTTTGAAATACGTCCCATCAATACCTAATTTATTGAGAGTTTTTAGCATGAAGGGTTGTTGAATTTTGTCAAAGGCCTTTTCTGCATCTATTGAGATAATCATGTGGTTTTTGTCTTTGGCTCTGTTTACATGCTGGATTACATTTATTGATTTGCGTATATTGAACCAGCCTTGCATCCCAGGGATGAAGCCCACTTGATCATGGTGGATAAGCTTTTTGATGTGCTGCTGGATTCGTTTTGCCAGTATTTTATTGAGGATTTTTGCATCAATGTTCATCAAGGATATTGGTCTAAAATTCTCTTTTTTAGTTGTGTCTCTGCCCGGCTTTGGTATCAGAATGATGCTGGCCTCATAAAATGAGTTAGGGAGGATTCCCTCTTTTTCTATTGATTGGAATAGTTTCAGAAGGAATGGTACCAGTTCCTCCTTGTACCTCTGGTAGAATTTGGCTGTGAATCCATCTGGTCCTGGACTCTTTTTGGTTGGTAAGCTATTGATTATTGCCACAATTTCAGATCCTGTTATTGGTCTATTCAGAGATTCAATTTCTTCCTGGTTTAGTCTTGGGAGGGTGTATGTGTCGAGGAATTTATCCATTTCTTCTAGATTTTCTAGTTTATTTGCGTAGAGATGTTTGTAGTATTCTCTGATGGTAGTTTGTATTTCTGTGGGATCGGTGGTGATATCCCCTTTCTCATTTTTTATTGCGTCTATTTGATTCTTCTCTCTTTTTTTCTTTATTAGTCTTGCTAGCAGTCTATCAATTTTGTTGATCCTTTCAAAAAACCAGCTCCTGGATTCATTAATTTTTTGAAGGGTTTTTTGTGTCTCTATTTCCTTCAGTTCTGCTCTGATTTTAGTTATTTCTTGCCTTCTGCTAGGTTTTGAATGTGTTTGCTCTTGCTTTTCTAGTTCTTTTAATTGTGATGTTAGGGTGTCAATTTTGGATCTTTCCTGCTTTCTCTTGTGGGCATTTAGTGCTATAAATTTCCCTCTACACACTGCTTTGAATGTGTCCCAGAGATTCTGGTATGTTGTGTCTTTGTTCTTGTTGGTTTCAAAGAACATCTTTATTTCTGCCTTCATTTCGTTATGTACCCAGTAGTCATTCAGGAGCAGGTTGTTCAGTTTCCATGTAGTTGAGCGGTTTTGAGTGAGATTCTTAATCCTGAGTTCTAGTTTGATTGCACTGTGGTCTGAGAGATAGTTTGTTATAATTTCTGATCTTTTACATTTGCTGAGGAGAGCTTTACTTCCAAGTATGTGGTCAATTTTGGAATAGGTGTGGTGTGGTGCTGAAAAAAATGTATATTCTGTTGATTTGGGGTGGAGAGTTCTGTAGATGTCTATTAGGTCTGCTTGGTGCAGAGCTGAGTTCAATTCCTGGGTATCCTTGTTGACTTTCTGTCTCATTGATCTGTCTAATGTTGACAGTGGGGTGTTAAAGTCTCCCATTATTAATGTGTGGGAGTCTAAGTCTCTTTGTAGGTCACTCAGGACTTGCTTTATGAATCTGGGTGCTCCTGTGTTGGGTGCATATATATTTAGGATAGTTAGCTCTTCTTGTTGAATTGATCCCTTTACCATTAAGTAATGGCTTTCTTTGTCTCTTTTGATCTTTGTTGGTTTAAAGTCTGTTTTCTCAGAGACTAGGATTGCAACCCCTGCCGTTTTTTGTTTTCCATTTGCTTGGTAGATTTTCCCCCATCCTTTTATTTTGAGCCTATGTGTGTCTCTGCACGTGAGATGGGTTTCCTGAATACAGCACACTGATGGGTCTTGACTCTTTATCCAATTAGCCAGTCTGTGTCTTTTAATTGGAGCATTTAGTCCATTTACATTTAAAGTTAATATTGTTATGTGTGAATTTGATCCTGTCATTATGACGTTAGCTGGTCATTTTGCTCGTTAGTTGATGCAATTTCTTCCTAGTGTCGATGGTCTTTACATTTTGGCATGATTTTGCAGCGGCTGGTACCGGTTGTTCCTTTCCATGTTTAGCGCTTCCTTCAGGAGGTCTTGTAAGGCAGGCCTGGTGGTGACAAAATCTCTCAGCATTTGCTTGTCTGTAAAGTATTTTATTTCTCCTTCACTTATGAGGCTTAATTTGGCTGGATATGAAATTCTGGGTTGAAAATTCTTTTCTTTAAGAATGTTGAATATTGGCCCCCACTCTCTTCTGGCTTGTAGGGTTTCTGCCGAGAGATCCGCTGTTAGTCTGATGGGCTTCCCTTTGAGGGTAACCCGACCTTTCTCTCTGGCTGCCCTTAACATTTTTTCCTTCATTTCAACTTTGGTGAATCTGACAATTATGTGTCTTGGAGTTGCTCTTCTTGAGGAGTATCTTTGTGGCGTTCTCTGTATTTCCTGAATCTGAACATTGGCCTGCCTTGCTAGATTGGGGAAGTTCTCCTGGATAATATCCTGCAGAGTGTTTTCCAACTTGGTTCCATTCTCCCCATCACTTTCTGGTACACCAATCAGACATAGATTTGGTCTTTTCACATAGTCCCATATTTCTTGGAGGCTTTGCTCATTTCTTTTTATTCTTTTTTCTCTAAACTTCCCTTCTCACTTCATTTCATTCATTTCATCTTCCATTGCTGATACCCTTTCTTCCAGTTGATCGCATTGGCTCCTGAGGCTCCTGCATTCTTCACGTAGTTCTCAAGCCTTGGTTTTCAGCTCCATCAGCTCCTTTAAGCACTTCTCTGTATTGGTTATTCTAGTTATACATTCTTCTAAATTTTTTTCAAAGTTTTCAACTTCTTTGCCTTTGGTTTGAATGTCCTCCCGTAGCTCAGAGTAATTTGATCGTCTGAAGCCTTCTTCTCTCAGCTCGTCAAAGTCATTCTCTGTCCAGCTTTGTTCCTTTGCTGGTGAGGAACTGCGTTCCTTTGGAGGAGGAGAGGCACTCTGCTTTTTAGAGTTTCCAGTTTTTCTGTTCTGTTTTTTCCCCATCTTTGTGGTTTTATCTACTTTTGGTCTTTGATGATGGTGATGTACAGATGGGTTTTTGGTGTGGATGTCCTTTCTGTTTGTTAGTTTTCCTTCTAACAGACAGGAACCTCAGCTGCAGGTCTGTTGGAGTACCCTGCCGTGTGAGATGTCAGTGTGCCCCTGTTGGGGGGTGCCTCCTAGTTAGGCTGCTCGTGGGTCAGGAGTCAGGCACCCACTTAAGGAGGCAGTCTGCCCCTTCTCAGATCTCCAGCTGCGTACTGGGAGAACCACTGCTCTCTTCAAAGCTGTCAGACAGGGACATTTAAGTCTGCAGAGGTTACTGCTGTCTTTTTGTTTGTCTGTGCCCTGCCCCCAGAGGTGGAGCCTACAGAGGCAGGCAGGCCTCCTTGAGCTGTGGTGGGCTCCACCCAGTTGGAGCTTCCCGGCTGCTTTGTTTACCTAAGCAAGCCTGGGCAATGGCAGGCGCCCCTCCCCCAGCCTCGGCTGCTGCCTTGCAGTTTGATCTCAGACTGCTGTGCTAGCAATCAGCGAGACTCCGTGGGTGTAGGACCCTCCGAGCCAGGTGCGTGATATAATCTCGTGGTGCGCCGTTTTTTAAGCCCGTTGGAAAAGCGCAGTATTCGGGTGGGAGTGGCCTGATTTTCCAGGTGCCGTCCATCACCCCTTTCTTTGACTAGGAACGGGAACTCCCTGACCCCTTGCGCTTCCCGAGTGAGGCAATGCCTCACCCTGCTTCGGCTTGTGCATGGTGCCCGCACCCACTGACCTGCGCCCACTGTCTGGCACTCCCTAGTGAGATGAACCCGGTACCTCAGATGGAAATGCAGAAATCACCCATCTTCTGCGTCGCTCACGCTGGAAGCTGTAGACCAGAGCTGTTCCTATTCGGCCATATTGGCTCCTCCCCCAAGCCTGTTAACCTTATTAGTAAAATAAACAGAATTGGTTTGGTAGAGCTCTCATCTTATTCTAGAATTGTACGACTCTATGTAAGACTAATTTTTCTCTATCTCAATGGTCTTAGGCTTTTTTGATATCAAACTACTTTTCCCCTTGGGACCTATTCTTTTTTTGGGGGGTGCTACACAAGGGCTAGAAGAGGTGCAGAGTTTGGACTATTTTTAGAGACAGCAGGTCTAGCTAAGATGCCCAAGTGGGACGCCCTGAGAAGTCAGGACGGCATGAGAACACTGGGTGTTTGGGGATGAGGGCAGGGAAAAAGAGATAGAACCCCCTCAGGATAAACTTTACTTGGTACACAGTTTTGCCCAGGACTCTGTGTGAATGATTTCCATGGGAGAGAAATTTGAGGAAGTAGAGTAATGGAACCATAGAAATGTTACAGTGATTCTTTTTTTCTTTTGTCAAAAAGAAAACCTTTCTAGCCACTAGTGCTGTGCTGAGCCATATAAGAGCCAGAGGAAAAAGAAAAAGGCAGTAATACTTATCTTTATTTAAAATTTTGGTATGTTGTTCATCATGGATGTTTTTGCGTTAATTTTTATTTCTCAAAATATTACATTAACTTATTACTTATCTGGATTACCAAGATTTTTGGCACTCATTCAGTTTTGCACCCAGAGGGACTATCTCACGTGCCTCATCCTAATCCTGGCCCCTGCTAGCCACTCAATAATAACATTTTATTTTTGATTTCTATCTGCCTCCTAAGTAGGTTAGCAATATGAGAAAGGAGGGTCTGCTTTTGGTCGCACATTGAGAATGCGCCCTCTAGTGGGGTTCTTGCTCTCTAAGGACTTTGTAATGCATCAGTTGATGGCACTATATGGACCAAAAAAATGTATAAAGTGCAGTTTTCAAGAATGTCATCCGTGGTCTCTTTTGTTGCAATCAAGTGCAGTTCACATTCCTAGCAACCACTAAATTGTATACTTAGTGAGGTTATTCCTGAAATTTTAAGACAAAAGATTAATGCAGAAGAAATTCTTTCTGTAGGCAACACAAAATTACACCACTAAATGAGACAATCAGTCTGCCAGCAGCAGGAAGAGCAGCCTGCAATTGCTCTGGGAAATGACATGGGAAAATTTTTTAAAGGAGGAAAAGGACTGGAAAGTGTAACCACAATCTGGTGGTGTGGAAGGATCTGGGTATTTAGGGGAGCGGAGGACAATTCCCAGAATATGCGTAGGGTAACTAATAATAGGCCTTGGACATGTTTCCTTCCATTCAACCAAAATAGTGCTTTCCCACAGTGCTGTCATGGAGAATGGAAATAATATGGGCTACTGAACTAAAAGAAGAAATATTTACTTAATTGCATGTGATTATTTAATAGAAAAACACAAACAAAACCAAGTGTTAAAATGGGGACTATTTTGCAGGCCATTTATAAAAGGAGTATAGTGTGACAAGATTAAAGATTACACAGGCTGGCTCTTTGAGATACAGGCCAATTCTTTATTCCGTCCTTTTTTTTCTTGGCTATTCTAAGGCTTAAAATAAAGTTGCTTGAGAAGGAGAAAACTGCTGGTGGGAATGTAAAATGGTGCAGCTGCTGTGGAAAACCGTTTGGTGGATCCTCCAAAAGGTTAAACCTAGAATGATCATATGCCCCAGCAGTTTCACTCTTAAGTTATAAACTTAAAGGAATCAAAAACAGAGATTCAAACAGATACCTGTACATCAGTGTTTGTTGCAGCATTATTTACAACAGCCAAAACTTGAAAACAATCCAAGTGTCTATCAACAGATGAATGGATAAATAAAATGTGATATGCACATACAATGGAATCTTATTTGACTGTAAAAATGAAGTTCCAGTATATGCAGTAACATGGATGAACCTTGAAAACATGCTAATTGAAGTAGCATAAGCCAGATACAAAAGGACACATATTGCATGATTCCACTTACATGAAATACTTACAGTAGGGAAGACTCATACAGATAGAAGTAGATTAGTGGCTATTGGGGGTTGAGGAGAAGGAGGAATGGGAAGTTGTCACTTAGTGGGTATAGAATTTCTGATGAGCATGATAAAGTATTTCAGAAATAGATATGATAATGGTCATACAACATTGTGGATGTAATTAATGTTGTTGAAATGTACATTAAAAATGACTAAGATGACAAACTTTATGTTATATATATTTTACCACAATAAAAAGAAAAAAATGTAAACCAAAAAAAAAAAAGAAGGAAAAAACTCAGGACAGCATGGGTATGTGTGAAATATAACACTGTCTGTACGGTATTCAATGAAGGCCAATTGCTGTATTTGGAGCCATACTCTTGACTGGATATGACAAAAGCAACCTAGTGTTAGTGAGTTACTTCTCCATGAAAATTTCATAAAAGAGGTTCTAGAGAAGTAAAACATTGTGTGAACCATTAAACAGGAATTTAATATGAATTAAAAAACACACAAGTGACCATTTTGGCTTCACAAAACTCTATTAAGGCTAAATGATTCCTTGGCTATAGCGATCACTATGTTGCCCCTCTTTCCTGCAACTAATCAATAGCATCATCTCCTAGGAAGGGAGGGGTGATCCTGACATCCCTCTTGCCACTGCTGTAACGTTTTCTAGCAAATTTACACACGGCAGTAGCGGTCAATGGGCTGGGGTGGGGAAGTGTTCTTTACACCTCTTCCAAATAAGAAATAGCTGATATCTTATTGGTATAATTTTGAAATATTGTGACTCTAAATGTCTGAACACATTAGAATGTGGAATTAAAAGCATTTTTATGCTATAGATTTTCTGTGATTAGCTTAAAATATACATGGCAGGTTATACCTTTTAAAAAATCTAATTTGAATTTGATATACATTTAAATTTGGCAAGAATATTTGTGGGCTTGTTAAGAAATTCTGCTTATCTATTCATTAAATCCAGGTTCACCACATTAACCATTTCTTGGCCTTCTTGGATTATTATAGATATCTGAAAGTATTAAAGTTTAATTAAAAATATCTATTTTTCCCAGACTAAACTTACAGGTAGGTAGTCTATACAGGTTTCACTCCATGTGCAGCTGCTAGAAGCTGAGGTACAGTTCTTCATGTTTGCCTAACAGCTTAAATAAGGTTTGGAAGCCTAAGGAAGAAATGTGACTTTCCCATGGTGTTGGAAAAACTTTATCCCCCTTAAAGCCTGCTTCTACAATTTTCTCTTCAAAAATGTCGTTGTTATTTTTAGCTTTCTGCCAAGTCCCTGTGTGTGTTTTGTTCCTTTTTTTTTTCTTTAACTGCTTCATGCTTATTATGCTGAGAAAGGGTAAGGGGGATTTTATGACTCAGTAAATCATCTGTAAATATACTACATGTACAGAGTATCCACCTAACGTGTAGGAACATGCACGGTGTTAAATAGGTGAATGTATAAGTACCTGTAAAAGTGTGTGTAGACATGCATCTCTGTGCACTTCCTATGAAGAAACAGGAGCCAGAAAAAATAAAAAGTGGGGTGGTCTATTTGAGGTAGGTGCCCCCTGAAACCAAGTGGCTGTACACGTATAGTGCCGACACCTACACTTACATATAAACGATGATGTGATAATACACCTTTTATAAAGACTAATTTGAGGCACATTTAAGTGTGTCTAAAACACATGTATTAATCTCTGGAGTTGTCATTTAGAAAAATTTTCAAGTGTTCTATTGTTTTGATGCCTTAGGATTCTAACTTGGTGTGATGTTTGGTTTGGTCTGAAATGGATGAAATCCCTCCAAACTTAAAATGTTCCTCACAATCATGTGTAACTTCAAAGAATCTTTGGAAATGGTTCTGTGTGCACATTTGCATCAATAGTTTGTTCAGTCTGAGGGTTGTAGTTGCTGATGCTAAGGGCCCAAATGATTGCACTTGTAAGTGGCACTTCCTGGCCAGAGAGAGCTGTTGTTGAATCTCAGCTAGGAAAAACTCCCCATTTTAGCAATTCATGTGTGCATGTGCATCGGTGACCTGCCCTCATTCCTTTAAGAAAGCAAGGACACCGCATGTTCTCACTCATAGGTGGGAATTGAACAATGAGAACACTTGGACATAGGGTGGGGAACATCACACACCGGGGCCTGTCGTGGGGTTGGGGGGACGGGGGAGGGATAGCATTAGGAGATAGACCTAATGTAAGTGATGAATTAAGGGATGCAGCACACCAACATGACACATGTATACATATGTAACAAACCTGCACATTGTGCACATGTACCCTAGAACTTAAAGTATAATAATAATAAAAAAAGAAAGCAAGTGTAGGAGTGACACAGAGGGAGGCACCACCACACCCCACACCCTGATAACCTCTCACCTCTTCTCTCCTCTTTGCCACTCCACCCTATAAGTGGAAGAGTTGGGCTCACTCCTTAAATAAGAAAACAGATCCTGGAGAATAGAAAAACACCAGCAATTACCATGTCAGATACACACATAATACTTATTCTAGGAGTGCTCACACATTCAGCATGCAAGCACCTAAGAATTATATATGTGCTTTTTGTTCAGTGTAATTTCAACAAATGTGTAATATTATAAACATTGATTGAATATCTGTGTTTTCATGAAAGTAAGGTCCTGTTTTTATGCAAATATTAACAAATTAGTTAAGAAAACACGAGGAAGCAATGAGGAAATATGACTCATAGGCAGATGGTTTCTGAAATTATATATTTTTCTGTGAAGCATTAACCAATGCTTTTTAAAAGCAAAACAACGTTTTGAATGTGGGTGTATAGTATAAGGTAAAATACCTTCATTGCACAGTGCAAAGTTTACTTTGCCATGTGCTTAATGTATAATATGTAATGACTTTCTTCTCTTAATATATTTCCTCAAAATTGTTTGGTAATTTTTTTTAGGTGGGGAGAATATTTCTGGGACAGTTTTTATTTGAGGGCTGAGAGAAATTTTGAGAGAATTATCCAGAGCAGAAAAGATTTTATTTAAAGAATGCCTTCTTTAAAGTTGTGATTCTACAATTTCTCATGTAAAGTCTTCCTAAGGTTTATCAGCTGCTCTCTGTCAGGAAAATCGTGTAAAATTTTTCATCTAAGTATCCCATCTCGCACATCTAAATCCTTATTTTCTTATCTCTCTAATTAAGAACAGCTGGCCACAGAATTCTCGGTAAGGCCTTTTGTATATGTGAAATAGCTTACTAAAATTCTCTCACAATCTGGATTTTAAAATCATTTGTTTTCCACAGGCATAATTTTATAACAACTGGCTGATTTTGAAGAATCTCCCCACCCACCTTCCTATATCCTATTCCATCTTTAAGTGGTGGAAATGGAAGTGGACACGCAGTGGAGCCAAAATGGAGAAAACGGGGATTCTGGTTTGTCAGTGCAGCATTCCTACTTTTATGTTACATTATTTTAATAGATTTCCAGATCACAGTGACACGTTCATGTTTAAAATTCAACTTGATGTCCCATCTGACCTCTAAAGTGATTTCTACTCTCAACTGGGCAGCCCCAGTACATGAAACTGTCTGGCTGGTCGCTCACATGAATGGTCTCTCAGGCAGGTTTGCTTCCTGGGACAGCGTGGAGATGCAGCTGCAGAGAAGCCTGATCCCTCTCTTGCTATCCTGTGTGTCTCTCATCAAATGACTGCTTAATAGAAAATCACCACTTTCCCGGATAAAGTTGTTTCTCATGTAGAGGAATATGAATTGTGCTTCCTAGCTGGCACTTTTATTTTTAAAATATTAATTTCCCTTCCTTATTTGTGCTACTCTTTTGTCATCCTCTCTTTAAATATTAGCTCGGTTTTGACCACTTCCTCGATTTTAATAAAATACATCTTCATATTATGGAGCTCTTCTCACTGCCTCTTAGATGTCAATTGCACATTTAAGGCCTATGGGTTTTCATTTTATCACCAGGCCAAGAGACTTTGGTTTAGTTCTCAGAGGTTGATAAGCCCCGAAGGAAGAGTTATCCATCTTCTAGTGTGCTGGGTAATTTTATTCTGTTGGCTGGAGTCCAGGTCTAGACTATGCTATCCCTGTTTTCTTTTTTACATTTCTTTACCTTTCCCGTTTCTTTGATGAGAATACCATATGGCACAGGATAAGAATTCTTGCTAAAGTTGGGACATAGCATTTATCTCTGCCCCTTGATCTGCCAGGCCTATTACTCTGTCATGTTACAAAATTAGGTTAGTCTAATGAGACCTGTTCCTTACAGATCATTCATTTTGATGTATTCAAGGTGTTTGTGAATTTATCGTGTAAAGATTTCTTTGCTCATTTTTCAAGCATAGCTAATAGATTTGAAATATTTGGAAGAATTTCATTTTTCAAATATCATCTACTCTGACCCTCCCTGACCATTTTAAAAAAAGGGAGCTATTTCAAATATACAGAAAAGTGTAAAGAATCACATGACAAGATAATATCCCATAGTTTAACCACATAATTTTTAATCCATTTTTCTGTTGGTAGACATATAGGTTATTTTCAACATTTCACTATCACAAATAGCAGTGCAAAGAATATTGTGTATAGGTCTCTTTGGAGACCTTGTTACGGTTTCTCTAGGAGTAGAATTGCTGAGACAAAAAGTATGGCTATTTTCAATTTTATTAGATATTGCCAAATTTTTTTCCAACATTGTACCAATTTGTAACTCCATCAGTAGTTTAGGAGAGTTCATTGCTTCATATTCTTGCCAACATTTGGTACTGACAGACTTTAAATTTATTGCTAACTTCATGGGTGTGAAATGGTATCATATCATAGTCTTAATTTGCATTTTCTAGATTACTGAGTAGGATAACATCTTTATATTTGTTCATTAGCAATTCGTGTTTCTTTCTCTTTGACCTTCCTATTTCTATCTTTGGCCTATTTTATACTGAGCTTTTGTTTTCTTATTTTTCAGAGTTCTTGCTAAATTCTGGATCCCATCCCTTGATGGTTATATTTGTTATACCTTCTCCTGGCATATAGCATATTTTATTTTCTTATTTATGTGTCTTTTGTGCTACTAAAGTTTTATTTTAAAAGTATAGTCAGTAGTATAAGTATTTTCTTTATTGCTTGTCTTTTGATGCCTTGTTTCAGAAATATTTTTTCATCCTGCAAACATAGTCTCCCTTTCTTATAAATGTTGTAAACTTTTGTTTTTCATTTTCTGTTCTTTTAAATCACAAACAACTTTTGTGTATGGCAGCCCAATTTATTAAATAAATATGTTTTAACATAAATATTAATATATTTGCTCAATTATCTGTACCACAACCATTTATTAACACCTTCTTTCTTTTTTGAGCATTTTATTCATCTCATTTGTGTAATTAGTCAAGACTCCATTGTCTTAATTACTAGAGTTTTGTAGTAAGTGTTGATTCCTCACTGCTTTGTCAAGTTACCCCAGCTTGTTTGTTGTCTCCAAAACTATCTCAGCTTTTATTGTTCCATTACTTTTCTAAATAAATTTTAGCATCAGCTTTTCAAGTTTCATAGAAATCTATGGAGTTTTAAATTGGAATTACATTGATTTATATATAAATTTGAGCAAAATGAAAAACTTTATGGTTCAACTCTTTCCACCCATGAACATCATATATTTCTTCTTTCATTTGGTTATTTTTTTCTACCTTGAGATGATGTTTGGTAAATTTTTTCCATATAGGTGCTACCCAACATTTTAAATTTTATTTGTATGTATTTTATAGTTTTTGTTGTTGTTATGGAGTCTTTTTAAAAATGGAGTCTTTTAAAAAATACATTTTCTAATTGTTACACGTATATGGAAGCATTACAGATTTAATGTATTGCTTTTTTCTCACCTTGCAATTCAGCTAAACTCTCCCATCCAAGTACTAACCAGGCCCAGCTCTGCTTAGCTACTGAGATCAGATGGGATTGGGTGCATTCAGGGTGGTATGGCGGTAGACACCATTCAGCTAAACTCTCTTGTAATTTATCTGCAGATTTTTTTTAAGTGTTCTAGGTTGAAAATCATGTTATATACAAAACAGTGATACTTATGCCCACTCCTTTCCAATCCTTAACTCTTTTTTAAATTTTATTTTACTGATTGATTAGGAATTCCAGGACAAGGTTGAATAGAACCAATAATAGAATATCCTTGTCTTATGTTTGACTTTAAAGGGAATGCTTCGAAACATCCTGATTTTTCTTTAGTATAATATTCCATTAAGTATAATACTCATTCTGAGTTTTTATTATATATTCTTTTTAAATTAATGAAGTTTTTTTTCTAGTACTATTTTGCTAATGTAAAAAAAGTCATGAGTAGGTTAAATGTTATCAAATGCCTTTTTTTCACTCTACCTGTTGAGGAGATTATGTAATTTTTTTTCTTATAATCCATTTGTATGATCAATTACATAAACAGATTTTTATTGCATTAATTCATCTTTGTATTATTGTGATAAATAAAATATTTTATTTTTTAAAAATATACTGCTGGATTTGGATTGATAATATTTTGTTTAGGATTTTGTGTTCATGATCATACGTAAGATGAATCTATAATTTTACATTTTAAAATATCTTGATTTTTGTGTCAAGGTTATTTCTTGATACAAAATGAGTTGGGCATCAGTATCACCCTCCTTTAAATTAAATCAATATATATAAGACTAGAATTATCTGTTCTCTGAATGTTTGGTAGAGAACTTACTTTTCCCTTGTAAAGGCATCTGAGCCTAGAGTTGTATTTTTCACAAATGAAAATAACCTTTTCTTAACTGTTATCATATATATTAATATTCCTTTATTTAAATACATGTATGTTATGGAGAATTATATGTGGATGTGTATATGAAAATATTCAAATCTCCATATGACACAACTCTTATTTATACATATATTAAAATACAGAATGCCATGCATATTGTTTATGACAATTATCTAATCAGGGGCACAGTTTTCAGTTCTGAGCTCCTATGTAAATCCAGAGCCCCTTAACCTTTGGAATTTTTAATAATCCAAGTTTGTAAGATTGAGTATGTTGGTGCTATGATAATAATAACAATTAATATTTGTTGAGTACCTATTCAGGGTCAGGAAGTTTACCTACATTATTAACATTTAATGCCTATGACAATTATTTGAGACATAGCTAATCCTATTAGGCATGAGGAAGTTGAGGCCAAGAGGATGGATAATTTGTAGAAAATATCATGGATAGTGAGTGGCAGATTTGAGATTTAAACTAAATGTGTCTGAAGGAAGGCTGGTGTTCTTTTCACAACACCTAACTAGGAAATGAATGATAAAGATAGATTCAGTTTTGATAATAAATAATAACAAATTTGTTGCTGTTACTTTTTGAAATTGAGGTTAATGATATAGGACAGCAGGAAAATTGACTATGGCAAATATAAATACTGCTATGGCTTTCATGTACTGTCACATAGCCTGTATACTGCACAATTCCAGGGGGCACCATGTATATGAGCCCCAAAGTGAATGGTGCTTCTCTGGATTGTACATATGATGGCATTTAATGCTGTGAACAGGTACTTGCCTTGCAAGGTTCTGAGGAAAGAAAGAAGTCATTCTAATGAGGATATACTTACTTTACAATTAGTAAAAGATTAACTGCATTACTGGGCAGAGTTTTGGGATTCATGTTAGTACATAAATGGGACTTGTTAAGATTGTATTTTACAAAACTTCTGTTTGATATTTGCTGTTTTTGGTTTGATACTTCATAAAAAAGACAAATATATTTTGGGTAGGGCAGCTACTTAACCTCTAAAATTTTAGTTGAGCATTGGTTGTAAAATTAAAGAAAGAAGTTTAAAAAGGAAATTCACAGGTTTGATGATTACTTCATGCAAAAATTCTTGCAATGCAATGGAAAAAGGAAGCAAGTATGTTTCTTAAAGAGGTAGAGACTTTGTTTCTCATTTCTTTATTTTTCCTTATTGAAATTTAATTTGGAGTTTTTAGTAACTAAGGATAAGTGATAAATATAGTAAATGTGACAATCTATTTAGTCATGATGCCAGCTTTGGAAATAACGAGTACACTAAAAAAGGAATTTCATAGCATGAATATATTTTACAGGCATTAGAAGTAATGTGTTTTTTTTCTCAGAGTTTTTTTTCTGGTCAATATTGTGTCCTATATTTTATGTTTTGAATGCAAAACTTTTATAGTATTTATGATTTTCCCTGACCCATCCATTCTTCTGTGCTTGTTTCTCCATTTCCACTACACTTTTACTTCCTTTACCCTGAATATATTTTTTACTTCTAAGTCCTTTTATCACAGCAGTATCCACTCTCCCTGCTGGCTGTCAGTTCTTTTTCTCCTCTCAAAGTCATTTCAGTCATTGTTTTTTATGCCTCTCAGAGGAATAAAAAAAGGGCTGGTCTCTGAATTATTATTTCTCTTTGAAGCAAGGAGAATGCCAAGTGTGCTAAAAATCACTTTAATTTAATAGGCTCCCAAAAAAGTGAATTCAGTTTTTCTCTCTATGGCCATTAAAAAATTTATTTACCCTGTCATTTAAACTTTATAACAGATTACAAAACTTTTAACATTTAATATGACACGAACATTTGGCACCTTTCTTTTTGAACTCACCTTCAGGCAATGTGTAAAAACAATGCCTCTCTACCCTTGGTGAAAGTTTTGACGTCTCAAAACAAATGTGTTAATGCAATGTTTTTCTTGAGTGAAGCAACACTAAAATAGTTATTTTTTCCCTTGGATTTTTAAAGAGTTCTGCATATATTCCCATGGAAAATCTTGAAGTCTTTCTCAAGTATTACACACGTATGTACATATGCATGCAGCCCCCAAAGGTTAAATTGTTAGCTCATTCACTAGGATATGGAATGTATTTCCCCATAATAGTCATAGAGTGGTGGTTATATTTATTTACATCCTATTCCGCCCCAATGTCGATACTATATCACCAGGCCTAACTTCCATCAGTAAGGTCTTATATGAGTACTACATTCTGATATCTGGTGGTAGTGATGGCTATGGAGGTGGGATGGGTAATATCTTTCAGGGGCATATCCCTTGAGTGAGTCAGGCACAACTAGCTACATATAATCTTGACTTGATTTTAATTATTATTTACACAGAGCACAAAACATGACATATCTTGGGGAAATAAGATAGTCTGAAAAAACCAAAGCCACATGATGAAAATTAGAAGGGCGTATAATATGGATCAAGGTTCTCAGGCATCCCATAAACAAACACATAAGTGCATTAACATAATTTAACAAAAATGTAATTGGGGTTCCATGAGCAACATATTTTTATTTTCAATATTGACTGTAAATGCCTTCTTAATTTCTTTTCATAGCTAAATGCATTACAACATTGAACTAAAGAATACAAGTTTTTGTTTGTTTGTTTGTTTTGAGATAGAGTCTTGCTCTGTCACCCGGGCTAGAGTGCAGTGGTGTGATCTTGGCTCACTGCAACCTCCGCCTCCTGGGTTCAAGCAATTCTCTGCTTCAGCCTCCCGAGTAGCTGGGATTACAGGCGCCTGCCACCATGGCTGGCTAATTTTTGTATTTTTAGTAGAGACGGGATTTCACCATTTTGGCCAGGCTGGTCTTGAACTCCTGACCCCATGATTGACCCGCCTCAGCCTCCAAAAGTGCTGGGATTACAGGTGTGAGCCACCGCGCCCAGCCAAGAATACAAATTATAACGCCTTATTGATAAAGAAATCTGAGATGGTGAAAGATGAATGGAGCATTTGTCTTCCCCATTCTTTATTAAATTTTGTTTTTGTGACAGGGTCTCACTCTGTCACCTAGGCATGTGGTGCAATCATGGCTCACTGCAGCCTTGAACTCCTGGGCTCAAGTGATCCTCCTGTCTTAGCCTCTTGAGTAGCTGGGGCCACAGTTGCACTCCACCATGCCCAGCTAATTTTTTTTTTTTTTTTTTTTTTGGTAGAGATGGGGGTATCACCATGTTGCCCAGGCTGGTCTTGAACTCCTCGGATCAAGCGATCCTCCCACCTAGGCCTGCCAAAGTGCTGGGATTACAAGCATGAGCCACTACACTCCATCATCCTACCATTCTTCAGCCTGTTTTTACTTTTTTTCCAGGCCTGACTAATGCTTCTCCAGCCTGCCCTAATTTTCCTTGTGAAGTCTAAAGTGTATTTGTATATAGGTTTTGGAGCATAATTTTAACCTCTAGAATATCCTCTCTCCACTGATCTCTCTCTCTCTCTCCCCTTCCTCTCCCAGCATTATTTATTTATTTATTTAGGGATGGGTTTTGCCATGTTGCCCAGGCTGGTCTCAAATTCCCGAGCTCAGGCAATTCACCTGCCTCAGCCTCCCAAAGTGCTAGGATTACCGGCGTGAGCCACCGTGCCCAGCCTCTCCTAGCATTTCATTCAGTTTATCTTATTCATCTCTCAAATTTGGTAATCTGAATATTTTGCCTATATGTGATTTCATCAGATTTCTCCATTTCTATTTTGTGTATTGGAGTTAGGGATTGTGTACTTAACATACAACTACATATGAAACACTAAAAATTTGACTTATTTTTTTCCTGTAGATCTAAGACCATTGGCTTGTGAATCTTTTAATATGGTTATAATAATAGTACCTAATATTCTTTCTTTTGTGGAGCTGGCTTTGTTGTACATGGAGAGTTTAGCCTTGATTATTCTCAATCTAGATTCTGTATTTCTTTATTTCTGGATTCAATCTGCCTTCACCCAACAGTTGCATCACAGAGTGCCTAAATGCTACTTAAAATGAAATCTGAAAAACTGATAATTAAATAAACTTTATTATTATTTCTGTACTAATCTTTTATGAGGGAAGGATCAATAACAAATACATTACCATCAGATGCTTATTCAAGCAATAAGAATACCACGGAAGCAGTAGACAGTTTAATCTCTTTATTCTCACTACACTGATTTGATTGGAAAGATTTGAAAATCAATTTGTTTCAAGCAATTTGGGGTGAGGGGAGGACACAACATATGAGAATCAAGAAGAAACCAGAACTAGACGTCAGCTCAGAATTCAAGGCAGATCTAGGGATTTGGACAGCAGGAGTCTATTGATTTTGAGTCAAGGGCTCTGCCATTATTGTGATTCAGTTACCTTTCATGTGTCTGTTTCATTCTCCTCACTCTACTGACTTTATTCATCACCCTCCATTCTTTATATATCTTTTCTCTACCTTATGCCTTCTGCTTACTCATAATTTTGGTTTGCTCATAAATTCAGCTCTCACAGTTTCCTTCATCCTATATTTTTCCATGAGCCTTCACTGGCTTTCTTTAATAGATATAATATATATTTTTAACAATTTTAAATTTCCTAAGACAGAGGTTGATATTTTTCAGGTCAAATAATATTATAGATTACTGACTAGACTGTGGATTGACTTCTTATGGGTCAATAATCATCTTAGTCCAATCAGAAGATGTTGCCCGGACTTTCAAACTATGCAGAAGCTGTGGGCATGGGGCAGTTTCCATTTGCAGGGGCTGCTGGCATGGTAGCCACCATGATTAACGAAATCTGTCCTCATTATATGTTAGGAGTTAAAAGCTTCTCAACCAAATGTTCGATCTGTTAAGCAATGATGAACTTTCCCTTAGAAACAAAATTATACAAGTAGAGGTAATTTCAAAAGAAGAATATCTGAAAATTTTTACCTCTCAATTCACTAATGACTCATTAGTATACATATTATTTAATTATAATGTGATTAAAATTCTAAGAATAAATACTTTTCAATTCTTACTACTGTAAAGCACACTTCTTGAACCTTAGTTAATATTTACTGACTACTGTCACCTGTGATAACACAGTAAGTATAACTTATACAGTAAACAATCTGATTGGCTGCTGAAAAAGGAATGGAGAATAAAGGATTTAGGACCATGTATTGTAGAATTCAGATAATTAAAAAAAAAAAAACAAAAACGAGTGCCTTTATGGTCTATGGGATGGTCACAACGCATTGCTTAAATTTGTGTGGGAAATACACCTATTCTTCCTGATATTTACTTTCACAACCGTAATCTGTAAGATGAAACTGTGTCCTTAAAACATCAAGTTATATCCAGTAGAGGAATTGGACAGGTGTGCTGGAGGGTGGTTAGAGGGAAATTCCTAGTAATCACCTTCTGTGTACTATGCAACGTATTATATGTGTCTATAAAACATTTATAATGCTCATTTTATAGATGAGGAAGTTGGCCTAAAACTGCCCAGTGTCACACAATTCCTAAATGAAAAACCAGGCATGATTCTTTCTTCATGTTCAAAGCTCGTATCCTTTTTTTAAAAATTTATTTCAGTAGCTTTTGGGGTAGAACTGTTTTTTTGTTACGTGGATGAATTATATAGTGGTGAATTCTGAGATTTTCATGCACTTATCACCTGAGTAGTATATATTGTATCTAATATATAGTTTTTTATCCTTAGCCCTCCTCTTACCCTCCCCCTACTGAGTCGCTAGAGTCCTTTACATCACCTTATATAAAGCTCATGTCTTTTAACAACAAGTTGTTGCTTTACTTTGGCCCTTCTCTGATATTCTTTCCCTCTTCAATATTTCTCAAATAATGATAATTTCCTTAGATATTTTATGACAGTTTTCAGTATTCCAGCAGGTGCAGTCATTGTGGACTGGTGAGAGAGGAAGAGATAGAAAAGCAGCTTAAACTTCTGAACTGTTAAAGAACTCCCAGAGGTCTTGGCTTTGAATACAAGAAAAGGAATATGAATATTTGCATATATTTCTAGGTGCTCTTGCCACAATTGCTGATTAGTAGAATGGGTTGGGTGGTGGAGTATAGCATATTATCCTACGACTGACAAATGAAGGTAAGCTATTCTTCCAGTGGGATACCCAGATCAGTATCTGTACTATCTCAGAACTCTGCATATATTCCCAGGGAAAATCTTGAAGTCTTTCTCAAGTATTACACACATATGTACATATGCATGCAGCCCCCAAAGGTTAAATTGAACAGAAGGTTCTGTTAAATTAAGGTTAATTAACAGAAATAATAGAAATCTCTAATTTCTAACCTTTATTTATATTCTATATTTTATGAAGTACAGTATGCAAGAACCACAGCATAAATCAAGAAGTTACAGACCAACCAGTTTTAAGAAAATGGAAGCAAAGCATCATAATAACCCACCAGCTTTAGGACAAAGAACTTTAATTTTTTTTCATATAATGTAGGTTAATTAGAATTAAACCTAGAAGGCTAAATGCATTGACAATTTTACAAGTTAAATTTTATTCTACTTTGTAAAAGTATGAATAACTCTTAATTTTACCTTTTATTTCACTAATCTTATATTTTAGAACAAAATTCCATTGACCCTTCAATGAAGAGTTCTAATTTACATTTCAAATTTGTGCCTAATTATAAAATTTTAGAATAACTTAGGAAATCATGTGGTCTCTAGCTTTCAAACTGATTAATTGCTTAGGCAATGATATTAAACTCTGGTTTGATATCACTCCAGGGTGAGTACAGTGATCTAAAAATTATTGAAATAAACTTTAAACTACAAAGTAAATGTATACTTTGAATATTGAGTTGGTAGACATAAAAAACTATTTAAACCAACTTGATCTATGTGTCATTAATAGAATACTCATTTAAACAATGGGAGAATGTGAATTCTTTTCAAGTGTACTTGGAACATTCTCTAAGATAGACCATATGCTGAACTATAAAACAATTTTCAACTAGGTTTAAAGGATTGAAATTATGCAGAATTTGTTCTGTGACCACAACTGAATTAAATAAGTTATCAATAACATAATAATCTAGAGAATTCTGAAATGTTTGGAAATTTAACAACACACTGTAAAAAAACTGATGGGTCAAAGAAGAAATGACAAGAGAAATTAGAAAATAGAACTGAATATTAATGAAAATAAAATATATAAAAATTTGTGAAATGCAGCTAAAGCAGGGTATAGAAATCCATTCATATCTTTAAATGCTTATGTTAGAAAAGCGATTTAAATATAATGATCTTGGCTTTCATCATAAGAAACTAGAAAAAGAACCCAAAGTAAGTAGGAGGAAAGAAACAATAAAGAGCAGAAATTAACAACATAAAAATTAGAGAAACATTAGATAAAATCAATACAACCAAAAGCTACTTCTTGGAAAGTACAAAAAATGTTGATAAACCTCTCATCAGACTAATCAAGAAAAAGAGAGACAAATCACCAATGATTGAAAGAGGGGATATCACTACAGATCCTACAGAATTTGAGAAGACAACAGAAAATATTTATGAACATCTTTGTGCCAATAAATGTGACAACTTGGATTAAATGGACAAATCCTTGAAAAATACCAATTAACAAAATGAACTAAAATATAAATAAAAAATGAGAATAGATCTATCTCTACTAAATAACTTGAATTCATAAATAGAAACCTTACCTCAAAGGAAACCATAGTTTTACTAGTGAATTCTATAAAACATATAAGAAAGAAATATTTCTGGCTTTATAAAAACCTCTTCCAGAAAATGTGAGGCCAAACTAATTTTATGAGGCCAACATTACTCTAATATTAAAACGAGTTATCACAGTAAAATAAAACTACAGATCAATATCCCTTGTGACATAGACAAAAAAATCTGTAACAAAATATTGACAAATATGTATTATGTTAGAAAGATAGTAACTCTCCACTAAGCATGGTTTATACTAGAAATGCTGATAGAATCTACACCCAACCTAAACAAATGAGGCATTTAAGTTGGCAGAAAACCTTTTCAAAAAACCCTGCTAAACGCGAGTTTATTGTTTAAAATCGCCTACTTTAAAATATATCTATAGGATTTGCTAAACATATAAAGCTTTACAACACAATTCTTGTTGGCTACTTCTAAGTTTGCATGCTACATTCTTGCATCTTATTTTTCTAAAACCTACCCATTAGCATTGGTATTGTGCCTGATTTGATAGACATTTTCATAATTCAGAAGAAAATGGAGGAGATTAAAAGAAAAAATTTTAGTTGTCTGCTTTTCTGATCTAGAATAATTTTTCTATTTAAGGCTACACATTGAACAAATACAAATCTTTTAAAATTGAAAAAATATATTTTTTGCTTATGATAAAAAATTTATATAATGCAAATAAACAAAAAGTATAAAACATAGTCTAAGATTCCATGCTTCTAGATTATTATAATCAATGTCTTGATGTAACTTCTCTATACAGTTTAATAATAAATATGTCAGTGGGAAGAGAACTAGGGAGAATTAATAACTGTGAGATTTAATCTGGAGAAAATGAATGTAGGACATTGGGTAAGTGACTTAATCCCTTTGGGCCTCAGTTTCCTCATCTATAGAATGTGGGGACCTGATTAGACATTCTCATGGTCCCTTCTAACTTTTAAGTATATATTATTTCAAAGTGAATCTCACAACTCTTGAAGGCATAGAAATAAAGTGAAAGTCTATACTAAGCAGAAGGTGGCAGTGTTGTTGAAGAAAAGGCCTAGATTTTAATACCAGTAAATGCAGGTGGATTGCTATGCATGGTGTTTGCACCTTGATAAAATTAGTGCTGGAGCAAATTAGTGACAAACCACTAATTTAGCAGGATTAAGATATCCTGTTATAACAGGTAGTTGTTTTTCTGAGGTCAATAATATCATTATATATGACATTGCTTTGCTGTGAAATGAGACAGAATCAAATATGATAACCTAAAGCTCACACAAATATAGAAATCATGCTAAGCTCAGAGCTTTTAAGTGAATAATAATTATTGTTATATTGGTTTCAGGTATTTTGAAAGAGTTTGCCTGGCTATTATTAAGTGACAACTTCCTCATACATATTTGCAGTTTGGCACAGATATTTTTAGTGAGGCAAAGTTTTTCATTCTTTGTTTTCCAACTTTTTGAAATAAAGGAGGATTCAAGCACACACGTTTTAATGGGCTTTAGAGAGCTCATCTTTAACACATAGTAATGGTATTCAATAATTCAATCTTTGTTCTTTGTCTTAGAAATATCTGAGTTCAGTGCTTATAGTGGGGTTAAGATATGATATTTAAATTTATGATTTATTGTTTGTTTAGCATAACATACTAGAATACCATTTAATAAGGCAATCGATTGTAGGGACAATTGTTAAATTAAGATTTCATTTAGAATGAAGAAAATCTGTTAGTAGATTTTGGTTGAGTCAGGTACAGTACTCCCCTAAAATCCCCCAAATTTCTACATTAACTAGATACCACTGTCTTAGTCCATTTGGACTACCATAACAGTGTATGATAAATCAAGTAGGTTATAAACAACAGAAATTTATTTCTCTCTGTTCTGGAGTCCAAGATCAAAGTGCCAGCAGCTTCAGTGTCTGGTGAGAGCCTACTTTCTGGCTCATAGACAACACCTTCTTGCCGTGTCCTCACCTGTCCCTCACACATCATTAGGAGTGAGGGAGCTCCCTTGGGCCTCTTGTGTAAGGCTCTGCCCTCATGACCTCATCACCACCCAGAGGCCCCGCCTCCTAATATCATCACTTTGGGGGTTAGGATTTCAGCATATGAATTTTGGGGAGACACACACATTTAGACCATAACAACCATTTTTTACTGCAATATCCCTCTCCCCTCTGCATTTCTGGGAATATATACTATAGGAAGCAGATACACATCCACGCCAAATTGTCTTTCTGTCCCTCTGCAAAATTTTGGGGAAAGATTAAACTATCAGAAAAAACAGAATCAGCTATGCCAAAGATGAAGCATGAGATCACATGTTAATGCTAACACTCTTCCAAAACTCCTTTTTGTCTGGGTTTGTGTCATTTGCATGCAGCCCACAGGGTGGAGGCAGAAACCAGTGTGGGAGAGTGGGAGGCCTCTCCAGTTGTAGGAGTCAAAGCCTCCATTCTTAGTTGAATACCCTTTATTTATTTCTCCTGCCTGATTGCCCTGGCTAGAACTTCCAACACTATGTTGAATAGGAGTGGTGAGAGAGGGCATCCCTGTCTTGTGCCAGTTTTCAAAGGGAATGCTTCCAGTTTTTGCCCATTCAGTATGATATTGGCTGTGGGTTTGTCATAAATAGCTCTTATTGTTTTGAGATATGTCCCATCAATACCTAGTTTATTGAGAGTTTTTAGCATGAAGGGCTGTTGAATTTTGTTGAAGGCCTTTTCTGCATCTATTGAGATAATCATGTGGTTTTTTGTCTTTGGTTCTGTTTATAGGATGGATTACGTTTATTGATTTGTGTATGTTGAACCAGCCTTGCATCCCAGGGATGAAGCCAACTTGATCATGGTGGATAAGCTTTTTGATGTGCTGCTGGATTCGGTTGGTCAGTATTTTATTGAGGATTTTTGCACCGATGTTCATCAGGGATATTGGTCTAAAATTCTCTTTTTTTGTTGTGTCTCTGCGAGGCTTTGGTATCAGGATGATGTTGGCCTAATGTAAATGACGAGTTAATGGGTGCGGCACACCAACATGGCACATGTATACATATGTAACAAACCTGCACGTTGTGCACATGTACCCTATAACTTAAAGTGTGTGAGTATATATATGTATATATGTGTATATATATGTATATATATGTGTGTATATATATATTTATATATGTATATATGTGTATATATATGTATATATATGTGCGTGTGTATATATGTGTGTGTGTGTGTGTGTGTGTGTGTGTGTGTGTGTGTGTATATATATATATATAGCGCCTCCATTCGCCCACTGCTGGGCCACCATCCCCCAAGGTTGTTGCCTTACTCCTAAATTACCATGGCTTTTCCAGCAGGAACATTAAAGTTTCATTTTAGGTAACATCTTTCCTTCTTTATGAAGCTGACTCCATGTATCTAAGCTACATATTCTCATGTCTGGGGTAACTTCCTATATTATACCATGAGCATCTCTTTCTATTGCCTCAAATTCCCATGGCAGCACCCATCAGAGTGACCTCCTTGTTCTTCCTTGATGATGCCAGACCTGTTCCCACCTCAGGACTTTTACAGTGGCTGTTCCCTATGCCTGGAATGCTTTTCCCCTGATAATCATGTGACTAACTTTCTTAATGCTTCCAAATCTTTTTGTTCTAATGTCGCTTTCTCTGTGAAGACTTCCCTGATCTTCTATATGCAGTTGCTACTCCCTTCACCCCCACCGTCCTCTGTCCCCAGCATTCCCACTCCCCTTTCCTCTCAATTTTTTTCCATAGCACTTCCCACCTTCTAATAACTACATAACTTACATATTGATTTTGTTTACTGTTTGTCTCCCTCTGCCAAAATGTAAGCCCTACGAAGACAACACATTTTGTCTGTTTGACTCACTGCTGCATTTTCAGTGCTAAAAAAGTGCCTGTCAGAACAGAAATAAGCAATAACTACTTCTTGAATGAAGATATCAGTACATTTTCTCAAAAGAATTTTCTAAGTGGTTAGAAAATTATTATTCTCTATTCATTTTCTTCAAAATAAAAGAAGGAACAGGGATGTATGCAGTAGACAGAAGCATACATACTTTTCAAGCTTGGTAGATATTTTAAAAATATTTCAGAGTTTCTTTGTATTCTTAATGCAACCAAAGACGACTTACAGGAAAATATGTGTCAGGATAAGAATTGAATTCATATCCTGCTGTATAAACTTAATAATAGAATAATTTTAAGATATAGGTTAAGGCCAACTTGGATCTTTTTGAATATTCTCACAGGTAAGTTTATTATTCTGTGCCCAGTGTTTCCTCTAGTGGGCTGCAGTAATGCTTTGGCTGCCAGGTCACTGGGCAACATTGCCAAGAGGTGCTGAACATTCTAACTCCCTTCCTTTCCTTCCCCTGGCTAACCTGGAAAAGTGCAAGAAGTATAACATATTCTGTAGATCACTAGCCAAAGTGTGGTTCCTCTGGGGTGCGTATCTAAGTTATGTGCTTATTAGGAGCTTTGTGAGTTAAAAATCTATACTCAAAGAAAGTTATTCTGATGATACTTTACCTATAATTTGGAAAGCAAAAAAGCAAATTTTCAGACACTCTGAGCTCAACCCAAACTGGATAACTCTGTTTTCCTTATAAATACAATTTAAAAGTTAGCCTTACGCCAGGATCCTCCCTTCTCTCTGTTTTTAAAAAAATTTAATTTAAAAGCAAATTTTACTTTTTTTTCTTTTTTTTATGAGACAGGGTCTTGCTCTGTCACCCAGGCTGGAGTGCAGTGGTGACATTTCAGCTTACTGCAACGTCCACCTCCCGGGTAGCTGCCTCAGCCTCCTGAGTAGCCGGGATTATCCTGCCTCAGCCTCCTGAGTAGCTGGGATTACAGGTGCGTGCCACCACACCTGGCTAATTTTATTTTTTTTGTATTTTTAGTAGAGATGGGGTTTCACCATGTTGGCCAGGCTGGTCTTGAACGAACTCCTGGACTCTAGTGAGCCGCCCACTTTGGCGTCCCAACGTGCTGGGATTACAGGTGTGAACCATCGTACCTGGCCCAGAGACCCTCCCTTCTCTTGAACAGATCTTTTCAGTTTTCTTACATTCAAAATTTCCTCATTTTTAAGGCTCAGTTTAAAGGCTACTTCTTGCTTATTTTTGTTCCTGGATTCTCCAGATGGAAGGTAGTATCTAACTTCTGTCTACCACCAATGCTAGTCTTTCATTTTGAGGAGTTTATAGGCCAGCAGGAAGGATAAGTTGTGTTTGCTAATAACTATGAAACAAGCTAGAAATTGATCAACGTGGTGTTGGATAATCCGATACAATCCTACAAACATTTAGAGACAGATAGTCAGCTTCTGACTGCTTCATGGTGGAGGTGGTATTTGACCCTTAAGGAATGGATACAATTTGGGTGGGCAGAGAAAGAGGAGGAAAGAAGGACTTGCCAAGTTAGAAGTTAAGAGCAGACACAAACATGGAAACAGGAATTCTTATAAGAAATAGTTATTGGTTCAATGAATGTGATGTAACAAAGTTTAACAAAGGAAACCTAATGAGAGCCAGGGCTGGAAAGGTAAGATTGGTCCAAACCATGAAAAGATCTGAGTGTCAGGCTAAGGAATTTAGATTTTTTTTTTTTTTTTTTTTTGAGACAGTCTTGCTCTGTTGCCCAGGCTGGAGTGCACTGGCACGATCTTGGCTCACTGTGACCTCTGCTTCCTGGGTCCAAGTGATTCTCCTGCCTCAGCCTCTGAGTAGCTGGGATTACAGGCACCCACCACCACGCCTGGCTAATTTTTGTATTTTTAGCAGAGACAGGGTTTCGCCATGTTAGCCAGGCTGGTCTTGAACTCCTGACCTCAG
Organism: Homo sapiens; assembly: GCF_000001405.40. Classification (NCBI taxonomy): domain Eukaryota; kingdom Metazoa; phylum Chordata; class Mammalia; order Primates; family Hominidae; genus Homo; species Homo sapiens. The sequence continues at coordinate 149,893,164 of NC_000004.12, read as the reverse complement.
GTGATCCACCCGCCTTGGACTCCCAAAGTGCTGGGATCACAGGCATAAGCCACTCTGCCTGGCCAGGAATTTAGATTTCTATTGAAAATGGAGAATTATAGACTTTTTTATCAGACAAGTGACATGGACACAGATCTACTTAAGATTAAATTAAACCAATGTATAGATAGAATGGCTGAGAGTGGGGACATTCTGTAGACACGGAGACCATTGCAATAATCAAGCAAAGAGATGATAGAGGCATGAACGTAATAGTAGCAGTGAGAAAAGAAAGATTGGGATGGTTGATTGACAGGGCTGAGCTAGAATCAACAGGACTAGACAACTGGCTGGTTGAGTAAAGGGAAGAGGTGTTGTGTCTAGGTTACTGGGAGAATGGTGTTTATTAACCAAAATGAGTATGTAGGTTTTTTTGTATGTGGGAGAGTTAGGTTTTACTGAGAAAAGAAGAAAATGTTGTTTAGGGTTGTTCCAGAAATATATCAGAGTGGCTAACTAGTAGGTTATAGATGCCAGCTTTTTCTAACTTCATAAATATTATTATATAGGCAATTTAAGGTGAAGAACAGTGTCTGATATTTTTCATTTTCACCTTTCATCTATCCTGAGATCTAGAACAGTGCTAAGCACATTGTAGGTACTCAAGACATATGTATTGATTGATAATGTATTTTACTTTTGGAGACAGGTTTGTGGAGAGAAGGTACTGGCCTCACTCTAAAATTGCTGATTAAAAAGTGCCCACTGGCCAGGCATGGTGGCTCATGCCTGTAATCTCAGCACTTTGCGAGGCCAGGGTAAGCAGATCATTTGAGGTCAGGAGTTTGAGACCAGCCTGACCAACATGGTGAAACCCCGTCTGTATGAAAAATACAAAAAATTAGCCGGGCAAGGTGGCACACGCCTGTAATCTCAGCTACTCAGTAGGCTGAGGCACGAGAATCACTTGAACCTGGGAGGCGGAGGTTATAGTGAGCCGAGATCATGCCAGTGCACTCCAGCCTGGGCAACAGAGTGAGACTCCATCTTAAAAAAATATAAAAAGTAAAAAATAAAAACCACCCATGGCTCTGAAGTTTCCTTCCTTGACTAGCCTGAGGCCTGACATTCCCTGCACTTGAATTCTTTGGGTTACTACAATGTAGGTGGCCATTAACATGTAAATGATATCTGCATGGACATAACACACTACAGCATTAGGTCTTTATTAGTTAACATATTCTTTAAATGAACAAATCAGTTCCTTAGATGAGAGCTGGGTTCTAAGGGAATAAGAGAAAGGACAGGTACTTTCTGTAGAGAACAAATGAGAAGGGAAATTGTGAAAGTAGGGTCAGTGACAGGCCCAGTAAAGTGGTGAATTCTGGGCAGATCTGAAGTAGGGGCTGGAGGAAAGATGGGAAAGAGTAGTGCTGGGCAAGCAAAAACAATAGAAATTCACTACACTGAATGAATGGGATCATTTAATTCACAGTGTAAACCAAGAATACAATTTTAAGCCCCCCAGCCAGTTAAATGGATCCTCTTGTTGGCCACAGGCATTCCAAAGTAAATCTGAAACACTAGTTAAGGCCATAATGGGAAGTAGGGGGGTGTCAAACATTCCTCACTATACCATCCTCCCTTTGGAATTCAGACACAACTGACCAGCGTTAAAATTAAAACAGAGATCTTAAGACTGACAAAACTGACACTTTGTTGCAGTAAGATACACAATTCCAGCCTGACTCCAGTGTAGCACTGCATGACAGATAACAGGCTCTAAAGGAAATTGAAGTATTTTACCCCAAAATACATTTCTTTGACATATTTTGAAATGGCCCTGCCAAGCTGTGTCTTGTGGGGAAAAATCTACATTCTGTAGAGAATCCCCTTCCCTTTCCAGGTATTTTCCTGATCCAGGAGAGATTAAGAGTCTGGTACCTTTTTAGGTTTGATTAGAGACATTTAGCATCTACGTTCCCTGAAGCCTGCTACCTGGAGGCTTCATCTTCCTAATAAGAACCTTGGTCACCACAACCACCTGTATTTTAACCCAGACACTTCTTTCTATTGATCCCAGGACTTCAGATAATAATTTAACTCTTTCAACCAATTGCTGATCAGAAAATCTTTGAATCCACCTGTGACCTGGAAGCTCACCACCCCCACCCCCAGCTTCAAGTTGACCTGCCTTTCCGGACCAAACCAATGTACACCTTACATGTATTGACTGATGTCTCTCTGTAACTTCTGTCCCCCTAAAATGTGTAAAGTCGAGCTATAACCCAACCACCTTGAGCACATGTTCTCAGGACCTCTTGGGGCTGTGTCATGAGCCTTGGTCATTCATATTTGGCTCAGGATAAACCTCTTGAACTATTTTATAGAGTTCAACTCTTTGTGTCAACAACAGTGTCATGTGTCTTCAGTTATAGATAATATAAATTGCAGTGTTATTTACAGTGGGGAGACTCTGAGGCTGGAAGTCCAGAGGCCTAGCTGTCCCCACTTCACTGGCTAGGTTGCCTAGCACAGTTTCTAAACCTCCAAATGCCTCTTTGTGAGGCAACCTAACATAGTGTAAAGAGGCTCCAGATCCAGAAAATCTGAGTTAAATTTTGACCCTTTCACTTACCAAGTCATGTGCCCTTAGAAAACTTACTTCAACTTGTTCAGCCTTAGTTCCTATCTTTGTAAGCTGGAGATATCATTACATCATACCATTTTTTAAAGGATGAATGAAATGACAAATTTAAAGCACTTGGTAAGTAATGGGACCTCAGTAAATATTATCCTCTTTTTCCTTTCCTCTCTTCATTTTCCAAGTCTATGAAATGATAGAACTGGACTAGATACATTGCATATCCCCCTTTCCATGCTTCTTTTAAAAAATGATTCTATGAATTCTTGAAATCCTTCCTCCTACATTCCTGCCAAAAGTCTACAAGAATCATAAATTAATGCTGCCGGGAAAATGAGTCAAATAAATGACTTCTTTTCTCCTCCTCTGACATGTTGGTGTTCCCTCTGTTACCCTTCCCTTCCTTTTCCTCTCTCTTCAGAAGGCTGTGTTTTAGTTTGGCTAACGTTAAAAAAAAATCAGTGTTAATTGTGAAAGCACAGTAAGGAAGAATTTATTCAGGAGCATCGTGATAGGTAGTGGCTCCACTGCAATGTAGTCTTGTGGTGGGGAGACAGATTGAGCTTGACTCTGAATACAGCATGGGTAAGTGGGAATTTATGGCCCAGGAGAGGGTGGGGGTCAGTGGATAGAAAATTAAGAGGAAACATCAGGGGTAAGAGGGATTCTGGCTAAATTGATCTAACAGGATGCTTGATGAGGGCAGGCCAGGGTGATCAGACATTATGGAGAGTGGGGGATGGTTGAGGATAAGAAACCTGAGCAGGTATCCAGGGCAATCAGATACTACCAGTGGGGAGTTCTTGCTAAACTTAGTAGGGTTCTTTGCTAAAACTGGTTTTTATAAGAAAGGGCACAGATGGGCCTACGAAAACGTTCAGGAGCTGACTAAAGTTTGGACAAACAAGAATCTTTGTCAATACTAAAGGCAGATTACAGCCACACCTTTCCAATGGTACTAAATGACTGTGGCTGAACATAGGATTTTTTTTTTCTTTATGTGTTGACCAACAGGCTAACAGAGATGTTGGCAGGAGAAAAGAAGGCCAAGATTCCTTTGGTGAGGTGATTCAGGACTCAGGTACTGTTTGCTGGAAGACAATACCCTTAACATTCCCTGAAGAGGGAAGGGAATGTGTCCTTATGGCAATCTACACAAATACAGACAGCTGGGAGCTGCTGAGTCCATTTGTGAGGATAGTTGCCAAGCAGAAGTGCTTGGAGGCTGCCTGTTAACGGTGAAGAACAAGTTCTTGTGAATGTTTCTGAGGCCACACTTGATCCCTTGAGGCTGCCCACTTTAAAAAGGGTGAGGTCTTCTCACTGCCTGATTTTGACTTCTGAATCCTAGCTACCGAGGTTTGTGTTGGAGTGCCTCAGTGCTTGCTGTAGGCTTGCTTCTGAATAGGCTGGCACATGGGAACTTATGCTTCTTGTGTTTTGTCCCTGAAGTGTTCTGCATCAAGTGCTTGTTCTGTTTATTATTCTTTGTGCTTACTCTTTGTTTTTTTCTGTTGTTATTTGAACAGAATCACAAATGTACTAACTTTTTCTGAATTTTGGTCCATCTCAAGGAAGGCTCCAATCTAAGCCCCGCCTCTGGGTAGAAAGGGTTCTTTACTGCCTTTTGCTCTAAGAGTTGGCTGTCAACAACATTTAGGATCTCCACCTGGAATCTAGATTGTCCTTGATATGGTTTGGCTCTGTGTCCCCATCCAAATCTCATCTTGTAGCTCCCATAATTCCGACATGTTGTGGGAGGGACCTGGTGGGAGATGACTGAATCATGGAGGCGGGTCTTTCCCGTGCTGTTCTTGTGATAGTGAATGGGTCTCACAAGAACTGATGGTTTTAAAAATGGGAGTCTCCCTGCACGAGCTCTCTCTTTGTCTGCTGCCATCCACATAAGATGTGTCTTGCTCCTCCTTGCCTTCTGCCATGATTGTGAGGCCTCCCCAGCCATGTGGAACTATAAGTCCAATGAACTTCTTTCTTTTGTAAATTGCCCGGTCTCAAGTATGTCTTTATCAGTAGCATGAAAATAGACTAATACAGTTCTACTGTGTTTTGGATGAAGTTGGTAATAGATCTTAACAAAAGCAAAATATGGCTTCAAATAAGAAGAGTAAGCCTGTCCTCTTTCTCTGTATATTAATATGCTATTATACTTAGGGAACAATGCTTTCCAGATTCATATCAGAGAACCAAAAAAGTGAATGCAACTTTCTGCTATTTTATCACTCTCAGTTTCAATTAGTTGGAAAACCCATCTGAATAGGCTAGCAAATAGGACTTGATGGGATGAGAATTGAATGTAGGCTGGCTGGAAAGACAGCCATAAGATCATACTGCAACACACCTGCAATCCTGATTCAGGGCTTATACTTTTCATTGACCAAGACAAAGATGTCCTGGACAGGGAAATTGTCTGTGCAAAGTTCCCTACCAAAATATCTCTAATCCTTATGGCAGCATCAGAGAACATTCTGTTATCCATTTCATTAATTTCTCATGGAGCACAATGACACCTACTGTTGTTATAAGGTGTTTTCCTAAAATTTGATAGACTTATTTCTGAGAGCACAACTGAGAAAGGTGGTTACTCCCAGAAAATACTAGTGAAGAATTCATACATTCAGAGTTGAGCTTCATAGGATTAGTTAGAAGACCAGAAGGGCAAGAGAGATAAGGAAAGGTTGGGAACATAAGTGAAGTTTAGGGGTAGAACATTCATTCAAAAGGGAGCTAATGGATGGGAAATAAATGGAAAGCGGGTGTTATGGAGGAACTGGGGGCTTCAGCAAGCTTTAAAAAAAAAAGCCAGATACATTGTGTTTAAAACGGTGAACAAGTTAGACATATGGAAGTTTCAGTCATTCAGTGAGAATTAATTTAAGATTTCAGAGAGAGTAAATGAGAAGTCCTATGTGACTAGATGTAGATACCTGTGGGAAGAGCTTCAGGAGTTAAGACTGGAGTAGTAGTTGGGGCTAGACTCTGAAGGTCTTTTATGCCTTTTTAAGGAGCTCTAACTTCATCCGAAGACAGCTGAGGTAAAGCAATGGGGTCTTTGTCTTGGGGAGTGGCAGAATCAGCACTTGTTTTTAGGATTATGTATGTGAATCCTTGCCATGAGAAGGAGAAATTGAGGTTATTTCTTCAATGCATTTAACAGATAAGGAGTGCTTAGTCTAAGGCAGAGGCAATGGTGCAGGAGAGAAACTAGATTTGCAAAGCATTTCTGTGATTGATAGAACTCATGAGTTTTGATGACTCACTGGGCAGGGTGAGAGAAAGAGAGGAAGCACAGAATATTACCAGGCTTTTACATTTGAAGTGTCACCCTTAACGGAGACAAAAAAATGAGAAGGAACAAGTTTTGAAGTGGGATGGGTTGTGGCAGAGCTAAAATAAGTTTTGGTCATGGTGCATGAGAAAAAGCTATGAAACATAAAGGTGGATATGGGTGTCTGGACCTTGGGAAAGATTGGGGCTGGAGCTGAAGATTGAAAGCTTATCAGCTGTAGATGGTAGCTGAGGTCATGAAGAGAGAGCAGGTGGTGTGAATGGAGAAAATGACCTCAGATGCAAACACGGTAACCAATAGAAGTAGAAGTAGTAGTCATTATGGCATAAAAGAAAATGACCAGAGAGGAAGGAGGAGAAGCAGGAGCTGACGGGGCTCTGGAAGATATGATAAACAGTACTAAATGCTGCAGAGGGCTAGGAGGGGTGAAGACAGAAAATAGAAAGTTGGATTTAGCAAATGAGAAGGCAACCTAGAGCATTGCCAGTAGAGTGGTGGAGGCAATGAATTGAGGAATGTCCGTGTAGTGAGAAAAAGTAGATAGTGTGGATAGAATTCACATTTGAGGAGTTTAGTGATAAAACGAGTGCACAGCACTAGAGAAGAAGGTCCTGTCATGAAGGTCGTTGCTGGATTCAGGTACCTAAAAAGCTTTAACCTTGCAAAGGGCTGTGAGACAACTTGGCAAATGTAGTCAAAATGAAATCACTCTTTATAGCTGTGTCTTCTTGGGTTTTAACTAATGTAACTCTTATGTCTTGGGATATATTCATTTCATCCTCAGAATATCTATGTTTACCAGCAAGCTGTATTATAAAGCAACTCTGTTACACATTATTTAAAGAATTAAAAACCATCCGTTTTGTTTTCCTTACCCAACTGCAAACATTTTCTTTTTTAAAAGCAGGGCTGGGCTATGATCATAGTTCATGGCCTACATCAAGCACAGGCTGAGACCCCTCACTTCCAGCTGGCCTTTCCCAAGTTTTCCCCAGTTCTTTGAGACCTTTGGAGAGTGGGTTTTTCTGTACATAAAAGACTCAGACATTTTTAGTCCCTCTAATTGCTCATCTCTTTGAGTCACAGATATACACACAGCCTTCTGAGAATTCCTGCCTTAATCTCTTTGATGGGTGATGTGTTAGCTATGCAGACTATTTTCAAGTTATTGTTTTAATAGACCTTTACCATCAGGCTCAAATAAATCATGACTGCTTTATACTGGTTGGAAGACACATTTAGACTTAATGGGAGAGCACAACTAAATCACAGTATAACACTTGGAAAATTTACCTTCTTTTAATGTCATATTTCTTTCTAAATGGCTATGATGAGTGGTTTTTTAGAAGGCTTGTGAAAGTAGTAGAGTATTTTAAAAACTTAATACTTTATGACAGGTTTCGAAAATATCTGAAAATCAGTATATATGTTCAAGCTTAATCGTTCTATATCATAATACCTGTAATAGATTTTAAAAACCTTTCTTGGCAATTAAAAAATTAACTAATCCTAAAGAGAGATGAAAAAAACTTAAAACCAAGTGAAATGTGTCAAGATTATTAGGTAGAAGCTGAAAATGAATATGTGGGTTGGAGAATAGGGCAGACTTTTTATTATATTTAAAGCTATCTAGAGTTTAGACAATGTGAAATTATTAATGAGGCTGGTTCTCTCCTTCTGCAACCAGGGGAAATAACTCTTCTGCCTATGGTTAGGGATCTTCCTCCTTATGCTTGTGACAAGGTGACCTCTAAAATCATGGAAGACATGCTAATGCTAAATAAAAGTTCAGACCAGGTAAAAATTTGTTTTCAGTACTTTCAGCCTCTTCTTTCTCTTCTCTCCCTCAGGGCTCACTCAGATTCTTCCTGGCAACTTCCCTACCTAATCCTCTTCTCAGAAAAGGGTCAGGTAAGGGCAATTTTCAGTTTGCAGTAAATTTGCTCATCTTTTACCTCTTCTAAGGGGATTTACATTTTAGGTTTTATTTCTAGTTATTATGTGATGGAAAGGCTTTTTCTTCTGTCAGATTTCCAGGCATTCGTCAATTGGTGGAAAGGTCTTTATAGGAAGAGGGGAGCTTGCTGACATGCTTAACATCACGCCATGTAGATAGCAGTTTATAACACTGTCTACTCAGGACCAGTGTGGTTTTAACAAGTGGGCTGAAGGTGTGACTGTGTGTTTGCAATGTGTGTTAAATAAACCACGTGTGTTAGTCTGGAAAGAGCTGAGCTGGGTCTACTTGCTCTCACTTGCTCAACTTCCTAATTAATCTTCAACCCAGGAACCCCAGCTTCCACCCCTCCTCCCTCCCTTCAGACTCATGAATGGTTCCTTAGTTATCAAATCCAGTAGACATTTTTTTTTTCTGTGCCTTTTCATGTCCTGGTAGCAACATTTAGTACTGGTGACCACGCTCTCCTCCTCTCAGTGGTTGCCATGATTTGAGCCTCTCCTTAGGAATTCTGTTGCCTCTGCTCACCTCATATATCAGGCTCCCTCTTGGTCCCTCCTCTTCTCACCTCTGCACTCACTCATGCACACTCATCATGCTCATTGCTTTAACTGCTCCTTCTGTTCTCTGCACATTCAACTCTCACAAACCATCTCTGTCTATCCTGGTTTTTTACTTGTTTTACTCAAGATAGAAACTTCAGCATTATTTTTGTTGCTTGCCTCCTTCTCATGCCTATACCCAATGACCAGATTCTATATGTTCATGTCTGCAGGTTTGCAAGCATTCCCTCATTTCTATTTACTATGACTACTGCTTTATTTCAGGAACGCACCATCTCTGGCCTGAGGTTCTGACTCTGCCTCTCCTATCTTCCAGGCTTGTTTCTGTACTAGAACGTTCTTTCCAAAATTGAAATCAGTGAGTATTGGTCTCTTCGTCATAGTTCTCTGTGTACCACTTATAGGATAAAATCTGCATTCCGTAGCCAGGCATGAATGATCTGTTTCCTATCAACTGCTCCAGTTTTCTCTCCTAGCTGTGACTCCAACTATATTGCACCCTTTGGCAATACCAATCTCTTGGCAGCACGTCAAGCAGGCAGTGCTCTTTCATGCCTCTACGTTTTGGCAGATGTAGTTCGTTTTGCCTGAAATGTTCTCTCATTCTTCCTAGGCTGAGAAAAATCTCTTTTCCAATTTCATTTTTTTTTTCCCTTTGGGAAGTTTTTTTGCCTGATACTTCCAGGCAGGCAGCAGGCATTGGTTCTCTTTTTTTTTTTTTATTATTCCTATTGTATCTTAAACACACTTCTAATACTTCTCTTATCATACTGTATTATAAGTTTTGGGTTTTGTGGCTGTCTCACCACTCAGCTACAAACTCCTTGAGGGAAAAGACTGTGTATTTCCTTAACTACCTGTGGTTTCCTGAACAGTGCTTAACATTTTCAATAGATATATATTCAGTGAAAGAATGTATGGATTAACTTAAAATGCAGAAACATGTCTTTCATTTTTCTAAAACTGTTGGGGCACTTAGAAAGAGACTTAGCCCTTAGCTTCTTCATCCTTATTTCTCTATAAACATTTTTAATGAAGACCTCTTCTTTAATAACCACTTATGGAATCTGCATATATACTCCTGAATTTGTCTCTAAGTTCTGCCATTATGGACACACAGAAAGGAGATAGTTGAGACTCAGAAAAGATGCAGAAACCACAAAGGGTAGAATGATAAAGAAGAAAGACAAACCCTAAATATGGCACAGTCTACCTTTTTTCCAATGAAAATAGGATTTAATTTCATTTTAAGGGTATAATTGTGATCAGAAGGTATTGACTAAAAATACCTTATAAAGATTCTGTTTGGTATTTCCAATAGGATGACATCAAGATTTTGAAAGCAATATTTCATCAGAATTATTTCTTTTTTGGCTGTAATATTTAATTCTTAAGTAAAGCCAACATAGCACACGGGGCATATAGTTTTCATACAATTACAGGTTCTGGGAGCTGGAAGGTACTTTAGAAGCGGTCTCTTGATTACCTTAGAGAACATTTACTAGGTAGTTACTAGAGCAGGTATTGTTTTACTGCTTCACATGTATTAAATCATTTCATGAGGTAAATGCTATTATCACCCCCCATTTTACAGATGAGGAAGCTGAGGCATAGTGAAGTTAAGTAATCCATTCAAGATTATGGAAATTAAGTGGAAGAGCCAGGCCTTAAACTTAATCTAGTTCAATCAGTTCATTTGACACATATGAGAAAACTAAGACTCATCAAGGGCACACACTTAATTACAAGGAACCCACTCTTACACTTTTGGCATAAGGAAATACATTGGCACTTTTTGATTTGTTCAGGGTATGTATTACAAATTGGTAGCAGACCATCAGGAGTAGTGCTTTTCTATAGTCAGTGTCAGCTTAAGTCAGGGGCTGTTCATAGCAAGAAAATTTTTGAGAATTCTCTTCAGTTCAGAATCAGAACAAAAAAAGCCAAATAAAATTCACACACATACACACGTTTCTTTGCACTGACCATTCTTAATTAGTGAGTCTCTTTTTGTTCATTGTGGGAACATAGAACAGGCCAGAAAATTATAAGAATACCCATTTGAACAGTACAATAAGATGCAGATATATATATATATATATATATATACATATATATAAAATTATTAAGACTTGATTTTAGAGTATTTGAAATTTAACTTTGATACAAAACTATTCCATGTTCGGTTTTTCTCCATTTCTGATGTAAAAGCTTGGATTCCTGAGTTCCTGGCCTCATTCTGAGAAGCAGTCAACCCATATGGGACTGCACATGTTAAGTTGCTATGGTTGTGATCTGCAAGGCTCATGGAAAAAGCTATTTCATGTTTTCTGTGGGGATTGCAGAACTAATTGGTGCACTGGTTTTTGTATCTTTAAATTAGCAGTTTTGTGTGGTGGTGGGCTATTCTTCTAGCAGCATGTTTCTACTTATTGAAAGCTTTGCTGAACACAATATACCCACTCTGCTATGTAAATAAAGACATTATTGTTGGAATAATGTAGTTCAGGGGATGCCTCTTCTGGTAGCCTATCTGTCAATCTGTGTTTAGTTGGCTTTCCCAGCCCACCCATTCTAATTACTGCTTTTCAATCTCCTAGAATGGGGATCTGGGAAGGGGATTTGTGACAACTGGGTTATTTAAATGGAATTTTCCAAATATACAGAATCTCCTCCTCAGATCCCAAGCTCACTCCCCTATTCCTTCCTGCTTGCTTTTGAAGCCCTTGGCAGGCTGTTATTATGGGCTGAAGGGCAGGTTTCAAGCACCCTCTATTTATGAAATGGCAAGGGCCAGTCAGTAAGCTGCATGTGTTTGGAATTGTTACCCTTTGTTCTAATTGCATTTTGACTTCTGCTGAATTTGGCAGTGTAAATTTTTTCAGGAGATAAATTCATAAGTGTCAAATATTAGATATACTGTCAGTCGTCTGGTTATTTTTGTGATTAAAGTTTGTGCTGACATTGGAATTAATAGAGGTAATTTGATGGATGCTGTATTCTAAATATTTTGTGTTATCAAATTACTTCTAGTAGGACCTATTTTTTGAAAAAGATCTGAAAATGTTAATTTGGAAGTGTGAAGGAAAACATTACCTTAAAAAGTTGTATACCTGTGACACTATTTGTTTTGTTTAGTAAAATGATGGATGTCTTTGCAATATCCCAGCCCTTGGCCTAAAGGCCAGTGGCTCAGAATCAGCTACCCAAAAGCTACACGTGGCTAGGATATGGTCTACTTCACATCAGTGTAGATTTCTCTGCATATCTTCTTACATATGAGAGCCTGCTATGTCTCTTATTGTGACCTATTTGTAAAGGAAACACTGAAACACTAGAGGCAAATTTTCCAGCTCTATAAAATGGATGGTTCTTCTCTACTCTCTTCTAAAATATTGTAAACTTGACACGGCTTATAATTTTCCTTCCTTCCTTCCTTCTTTTCTTTTCTTTCTCTTTCTTTCTTCCTTTCTTTCTTTCTTTCCTTCTTTCTTTCCTTCCTTCCTTCTTTCCTTCTTTCTTTCCTTCCTTCCTTCCTTCCTTCCTTCCTTCCTTCCTTCCTTTCTTTCTTTTTTCTTTCTTTCCTTCTTCTTTCTTTCTTTCTTTCTTTCTTTCTTTCTTTCTTTCTTTCTTTCTTTTCTTTCTTTCTCTTTTTAAATTGAGACAGAGTCTCGCTCTGTTGCCTAGGCTGGAGTGCAGTGGCTCGATCTCGGCTGCAACCTCCTTCTGCCGGGTTCAAGTGATTCTCCTGCCTCAGCCTCCTGAGTAGCTGGGACTACAGATGCACGCCACCATGCCTGGCTAATTTTCTAATACTTTTAGTAGAGAGGGGGTTTCACCATGTTGGCCAGGCTGGTCTCAAACTCCTGACCTCAAGTGATCTGCTGGCCTTGGCCTCCCAAATTGCTGGGATTACAGGCGTGAGCCACTGCATCCGGCCAAGGCTCATAATTTCTTTAAGCAGCCATCTTGTCCCTCCCCATATTTTTCCTCCCCAACCCTTCCTTTCTCTACCAATACTTTCTAAAATCGAGTACTGTCTGCATTTCTCATTTTCCACTCACGTTGTTCCTTGTAGACTGGCTTCTATTCCCACTCAACTCTCTGAGGACACTAATGATCTCCTCATTGTCAATCTCCTCATTGACAACATTTCTCTGTATTCCTTTCTTTTTAATGTCTATATCATCTCATCTTATTGACAATTCCCCCATGACCTTTGTATTTCTTTGTAGTAACCAAAATAGTAATAGTAATTCATAAAATTATTAATAATATAATTATAAATTACATGACATAATTTATAATAATAATTATTACTACTTTTATTCTTGATGTTGCAAAGGGCTGGTTGCCATTCTATTTTTGGGTTAATTTTCTCCATCTTCTTTAATGATTCTACTCTCTTCTACAATCTGTTAATCTGAGGCATTTTCCAATTTACTTAGCTGGGAAATTTTTGAGTCACTTTGACTTCTTGTTCTCTCTCTCTTTTTCCCCTCATAATTAGTTAACAAATCTTTTGGGTCTTCTTGTGTAGTGCATTTCCCCCTCACCTTTTCCCCCTCATTGCCACTGGTCTAATCTGTCTTCATTACCTCCTGTCTGGACTGCCGCCTCCCTTTGCCCCTCCTAGTGCAGCCCACATCGCAAGAATGAACTCTCCAAAATAATTTATGTGCATGCTGTCTTCCTTGTCAAAAGCCATGTTTTTACTAATAGGTGAAATTTTGAGCTTTGCAGTTATATCTACTTATATTACTTCCCATTGCTCCCTTATGTGAATGCTGTGCTTCAACCAAACATGCCATGGATGTTCTCTTCATTCCCATACCCACTTCTCCCTTCTCCTTCTTATTTGTTTGTTTTTTTTTTGGTCATTGTTTTCCCCTTTCCTCTTTTTACCACTCACTGACTTGTTCCACAACCATGAATGAAGCTCTTACCATGGGCAAGTCATTGTGTAGGTCCTGAAGACAGAAAAACAACTATAAATCAGTTACACCCCCTCCAGGTTCTAGACTAGTAAGTGGTACTAACAAGTGAAAAAATCATGTTACTAGGATAAATGACATAACCAAGTTCTGTTCAAAGAGCTTTTAGAAATGCAGAGGTAGTAACCAACACTGATTGGTAGTGTCAGAAAGAGTCCTACTGAGAATATGACCCATCAGCTGAATGTTGAAACCAATTTTTTTTCAGACAAACAAGAGGAAAGATCATTCCAGTCAGAGGAAACAAACTGCAATTATGAGACATTATGGCAAAATTCGGAAATTACTAGATATAAGAAAAACTGGAGATAAAGGGAGATGAGAAAGAAAAGGTAGGCAGTTGTGCAGATGATAGAACTTGTATTCTCTAATTCTGTGGTAGATGAAGGAGAGGCAGGGAAGTATTGACATAGAGAATGACACAACCTTGTTTGTAATTTAGGAATATTACTCTGGCTCCAGTTTGGAGGATGAAAGGTGACTGATAAACTGGAGGCTGGAGACCAATAGGATTCCATTGCACCAGTTCGCCCAAAAGATATATGGGTCTGAACCAAATCAGTGAACCAAAGCAGAGAATGGAGTGGTGTAAGAGATATTTATTATTTGCAGGACTTTGTGACTGATTGGGTTCTGGGGAAAATGGAGATGAAGGACTTGAGATAAAGAGCTGGATATCATTGTATAGGGGGTAGTTGAAGCTATAGGAGGAATGTAATCACCCTGGAAAGAGAAAGCTGAGGATAGAATTTCACTTCTAAAGAACAGAGATCATCTTCTTTCTTCCCTCTACTGCAGTTAGAACCCTTGATTCAAAGAAACTCTTACCTGGATGCCAATATATAAGGCAGATATACAAATGAAGCTGCTCATATAAAAGCTTAGCCTGTTTGACCTCCTCCTCATCTCACCTCATCAATGGCTGGGGTTCCTGAGGCACCAGAGGGGAATCACTGCATAGCGTTTGATAGAGGAGTAGAGGTAGGTAGGGGAAGGGAATCATATTTATTGAGTGTCTCCTTTGTGCTGAGCACTGGTCTAGGTACTTCTTGTGAATGAGTTATGATTATGATGGATGATCCTGGGAAAAATCAGTAATTTATTTTTCCAAGATATTAAAAGTTATTGCTATGCAAATCCTTCCTAAAGCACTTAAAAATTCTTCATTCCACTTGGAATTGGTGTATGTGCTTTTCAAATCAGAAACAAACATAGAGATGTTAAACCTGTTATACAAAAGTAGTCACTAGAAGCTATTTGACCCCAGAAATGTAGTTCTATTCATGAATGCTTTCCAAAAATTCTCTTCTGAAAATATAGATGTTCCAGGTAACTATTGGTTATAATCCCTACGAGGAATTATTTTGCCAGGTTATTTTAACACATCTGGCAAATTCATTTTATTCTCTCACACACTTCTTTTTTATTTTTATGGGCCGTCAATGACACCACATAAGGGATTCTGAGCTATGTGTTTTGTTTAATTTCCAACAATTTCTTTACTGATGGCTTTAGACATTTTTGAGAACTAAACACCATGGGAGTTTGTTTAGCACCTTTCAGCAAATAATCTGTTAATCATCCTGGTATATATTTTAATTTTTTTTCTTAGCTTGTATTAGCGTGTGTTAAAAATCTTACATTCATAGTGGTATTATAGTCTCCTTGGCTTTGCATTACTGCTTTATCAGGAGGTAGTAGAAAAGTTTTAAGATAAAAATTCCTTAAAAAATTGATTCATTCTGTGTGTTAGGTTTTAAATTACTTATAGTTTTAATTTCATTCTTTAAATGCATTAGCTTACTTTATATTTTGTTTCTCCATTGTGAATACATGATTCAACTTTTATAGATTTTCTTATGAAAATTGTTTATAATTTTTATTAGAATAACATATCATGTCTTTGTAAGATCTTATATTAAGTCATGAAGAAAGCTTTTTGTAAATATTTCATACTAAGAGTTTACAATGTATATAAATTGATGTAAATAGTTGAAGAGTTAGATTTCATATTTCTAAATTAACATCTTAAAAATATGGCTTTCACAATTTCCATATCTGAGAAAATGCTCTTCTATGGTCATAAGCAATGAACCTATTTTTAAATTAATCTTTCATATGGAAATTTAATTATTCATATATTGATGGGTTGTTTTATAAATTTTTTTTATAGTAAAGAAGAAGAAATAAGCCCACAACAATACAATAAAGGCTTTAGGGCCATTTAATCCAAGGAGCCAAGAACCTAAGAATTTTTATTTTTTTCTGGCGACATATTTAATGGACTGCCATTGTTCTCTTCATTTCTGGGTTTATTATGACCTGAATTAGGAAGGCTTTTGCAATTTCCCTTTTTAATTAGATAATAATTTTGTAGTTAGGAATTTCCTGGAGATAGCAGATTTATTGACACTGTAAATAAAATTCTGTATATAATTTCATGCTGTTCATTTCATTGTTGGTAGATATAGAGGTCATGCAGAGTATGGGGCAAATGTTAATTCGCCAAAAATTAAGTAAGTCTTTAGTAATATAGGATTATCTTGAAAACAATGGCAGAAAGATTGGGATAGTAGCCCAAGTGAGTGAAATCCTGCAGAAGATCAAGAATATTCTGACATTTTTCTAAACCCTGGCAAGCATGCCCTGCATTTTATAGAATTAAATATGTGAAGATATGGGAGAGTCTGAACTGTTAATATCAAGGATTCTCCAACCCCATAGTTCTTGAGATAAGAATATTTATAACTGAAAGATAATGAGCTGCAGTAATTTTCTCTTTTGTTGTTGACATTTAGGGTTTCTCACCCATATAGTCACTTGAACTCTGACCTGGGCTTTGTTCCTTTGTGTCTTTGGAAATCTTTGTAGGTATTAACACACAGCTATGAATATTTTTGCCTAAACAAAAATATTTGTTTCAAACTTTTTTTTTTTGCATCAGAACCTTCTTTTCACTTAAAATTTTTCACACAACACCAATCTATAAAAATTGCATTTTTCTACAATGAGTTTTTTTTAAGTTCAAATTTTGATGTTTACTTATAAAAGAATTCACTGAGAATGATGAAATTATTTTGACAAACAAAATTTAAAACTGGGCATTATAGATGAAAGTTTATCAGCAACCAATTTCTGTTTTCTGATTGCATAGTAATGAGAAAATAATGGTATACAGATAGGTAGCTACAAATAATAAAATAGTAACTATTTTATCCCCCTTAAGCACTTGCCTTTCAATTTCTAAATAACTTTCAACTAAGGAAAACCAGAGATTTGAAAGAGAAATAACAAGAGACTTTAACTTGTAGCCAAGATGGAATAATCAGACAAAACATATACAGTAACGGTTTTCAAATATTGGACATCAAGCAGTGCAGGACAGTGATCCCTGAGAGACAGGAAATGTGCATGGGGAGCCCACAGTTAACCCATCTTACTGTCTAGAAAAAATTTCCAGGCAGCAATACTGCAAGGAGGAATACAAAAGGAGTCCAGTAGTCTCTCTGAATTGAAAAGGTGTCACTGGGAATTAGGTAGGGCCAATGAGGCTAGACTTCATAAAACAGGGTATCTGAACACAGCAATACAGGGAGATGGCTTCAGAAACAGACAGTGGGTTCTCCTTGAGTCTTCAGCTGAGTATTATCCCTGAAACAACATTGAGAAACACATGTGTGTGAGAAAACTAGTCAAGGCCAGGGAAAGAAACAACCATACTGGTCCTGTCTAATAGAACTTAAAAGCAAGCCTCAAAGGATCAAACAGTTTCCTGGCAAGAAATACAATCTTAATGAGGAGAAAAATCAATTAATCAAAACTGACTCAGAAATGACCTAGATTACAGAATTAGCAGACAAAGACATTAAAATAGTTATATAACTATATTGCACATATTTTAAAAGTTACATAAAGATTGAGCTTATAAGGTAGAGATATGAAAGATATAAAAAAGGCTCATTAAATTTTTAGACATGAAATATAAAATATCGGTGATTAAAAAATACATTGTACAGGAACAACAACAGATTAGAATCTGTAGAAGAAAAGATTAGTGATCTTGAAGACACAGCAATTGAATCTACCCAAAATGACAGAGAAAAAAGTCTAAGTCCTCCCCCCAAAGAGCCCACCCTCAACAAAGATAAAAAACAGATTAATTGAAATCTAATAATATAAAATTATAATGCAATAAAAAGGATTATATTTTGTGACCAACTGGGGTGTGGGACTGAGGAATGCAACTAAGAACCAGAGACTTGAAAGAGAAATACCAGAGACTTTAACTTGTAGCCAAGATAGAGTAACCAGACAAAACATATGAAACAATGGTTTTCAAATATTGGACATCAAGCAGTGCAGGACAGCGACTTCTGTTTAACATTAAAAAAACTGATCAATATAAATTGACCATATTAACAGAACCAAAAAGAAAAAAAATGATAATTTCAATAGATGAAGAAGAAAACATTTTATAAAATCCAACATTCATTTGTAATGACAACTTTTAGAAAACTAGGAATATAATGGAATGTCTTCAACTTGATAAATGGCATTTATGAAAAACCACAGCTAATATTATAGTTATTGAAAAAAATTGAATGCTTTCTGTCTTCTCAGGGATCCAAAAGAATACCCACTCTCATCGCTTGCATTCAATATTTTCTGGCCAGTGCTATTGAACTATTAGAACTAATAAGTCAGTTTAGCAAAGATGCAGGTCTCAGGAGCAATAAATAAAAATCAGTTGTATTTCTCTGTACTGACAAAGAACAAATGGAAATTGAAAAGAAAAAAATATCATTTTTAAATTAATATCACAAAAATGTGAAAAATCTGACAAAAATGTGTAAGACATGCACACAGAAATCTGTAAGATATTCCTGAGGGAAATTAAGGAAAAATTAAATAAATGAAGAAATATTCTGTATTTATGCATTGAAAGACTCAAAATTATTAAGATACCAATTCTCCCCAAATTTACATATGCAATGCAATTTCACTCAAAATCTCAAGTCTTTTTTTTGTATAAATTGATTTTAAAAAACCCTAAAATATACATGAAAATTTTACGTGAAAAAGCCAAAACAATTTTGAAAAAGTTCAAGGTTGCAGGACAGACTTATAATAAATCTATAGTAATCAAAACTGTGTGATAATTAATGGCAGAGAGATAGGCATAGAGCTTTGGAATAGAATGGAGCATCCAGACTCCCCCACTCATGGTCAATTGATTTCCACAAAGTTTTCAAGGCAATTTAAGGGGGGGAAAATTGCAATCCTTTCAATAAGTGGTTCTGGAACAATGGATAGCTATACGCAAAATAATAAATACAATTTAAAAATTAGCTTTAGCTTGCCGTATTAAAAAGTTAACTCCAGATGGATCACAGATCTAAATGTAAGTGGTAAACTCTAAAACCTCTAAAAAAAATGTTGAGAAAAATCACAGTGGCTTTGAGTTTGGTAAAAATTTTTTAAAGGAACCAAATCAATAAATTAGACTTCAATAAAAGTAAAAACCTTACTCCTCAGAAAACATTGATAAAAATGGAAATAAAAGCCAGCAATAAGGATAAAGTATTTGTAAACAATATACCTGACAAAGCCTCTTGCTAAAGCTTGAGTATTTGTCCCCTCCACATCTCATGATGAAATGTGATCCCTAATGGTTTTAGATGGGGCAGAGTGGGAAATGTTTGGATCATGGGGGTGGATCCCTCATGAATGGTTTGGTGCTCTCCTCACAGTAATGAGTTAACAGGAGAGGTGGTTGTTGAAAGAGCCTGGTACATCCTCCCCTCTCTCTCTTCCTCTCTCTCTCTCTCTTTCTCTATGTGACATGCCTACTCCCACTTTTTCATTCAACCTAATTGTAAGCTTCCTGAGGCGACACCAAAAGCAGGTGTTGACACTCTGCTTCTTGCTTCTTGTACAGTCTGTAGAACCATGGGCCAGAATAAATCTCTTTCCTTTATAAGTTATCCAGCCTCAGGAATTCCTTTATAGAAATACAAAGTGAATTAATACTTCCTCATTTCTAGACTATATAAAGAATTCTTATAACTCATTAGTAAGGCATCAGTGCAATACTAATAGGAAAAATAGGAAAAATAGGAAAGTATTTAGACACATGGGTGTCATACAAACACAGGAAGAGATGATTAACATAATTTGTTGTTAGGGAAATGCAAATTAAGCCCATACTACATACCCACTAGAATGGCTATAATTTATAAAAACCTTACCACTTTAAATGTTGGTGGGGATATGAAACAATTAGAACTCTTATTCACTGCTGGTAGAAACGGAAAATGGTTAAAACGATTTTGGAAATTTTGGCACTTTCATAAAAGGTTAAGTGTAAAAGTACTATGTGACCCAGTCATTCCACCCATAGGTATTTATTAAATGAAAGCATATGTCCACTCAAAGATTTGCACATAAGTGTTCATAACTGCTTTAGTTATGATAGCCCCAAACTGGAAATGACCAAAACTTTATTAGCAAATTAATGGTGTGGTAAATGCATACAATGGAATATATTTCAGCAATTAAAAGGAATGAAATATTGATATGTGCAACCACATGAATGAATTTCAAAATAATTATACAGTGTGAGAGAATTGCAAGAAAAAAACACATATGTATGATTCAATTTACATAAAACTCTAGGAAATGCAAATTAATCTCTACTGACCAAAAGCAAACCAGTGGTTACCTGGGCACTGTGGGGAGGAAAAGCAGGAAGATTATACAGGGACACAAACACAATTTTGGGAGTGATGGGTATGTTCGTTATCCTGCTTGTGGTGCTGGTTTTATGAGTGTATGCATATGTCAAAATTTATCAAATTTTATACTTTAAATATGTGAAGTTTATTGTAAGGCAATTAAGCTAAATAAGATGTTTTTAAAAAGGAATACTTGTGAATATTTTGAGGCTAAATCTAACAAATATTCACATTCTGTAATATAAGCATAAGCATCAGATAAGAAACAGTCAAAATGCATTAGTTCTAAAATGATTTTTAATGCAATCCTAATACTGTGCTTCATCTTAACCCATTCACTTGTTATTGTAAAATTGTATATCATACATTTATGAGAGTAGATGCACCCATATTATTGCAGGGCACTTGCACAAAATTTTTTACAAGTATAGGCGTGCATAGGACTGTATATTTAGAAAAAGCACTTTATTGCCCAAGGAAAATGAAAACATGTCCATTAGGTCAAATACTTGAAGATGTTCTATTCACAATAGCTGAAAATGGATAAACCAACAGTGATATAGCCAGACAATGAAATATTACTCAGCTTTAAAATGAATGAACTACTGACATATGCAACAATATGTGTGATCAACAACATTTTGCTAAGTGAAAGAAGTAAGATACAGAATACTACATACTGTATAATCCCGTGTATATAAAATTCCAGAAAAGGCAAACCAATAGTGATGAAAAGCAAATTAGTGGTTAGTAAGGCCCAGAGGGCAAGAGTAGGGAATTGACTACAGAGGGGCACATGCAAACTCGGAAGGTGGTGGTATATATATATATATACACACACACACACACACATATATACACACATGTACATAGATACACATATACACATACATGTATATACATATATACACACAGGTACACACACACACATATATATATGAGAGAGAGAAAGAGAGAGAGAGAGAGAGAGAGAGAGAGAGAGAGAGAGACAGAGACAGGGTTTTGCTTTGTCACCCAGGCTGGTGTTGATCTCCTGGCTTCAAGTGATCCTCCCGCCTCGGCCTCCCAAAATCACATCTAGCCGAGGCTCACCATATTATATAATAATCTCTCAATTTTATTTAAACATTCCCTACAATATTTGATAAACTAATATGATGATTGAAGTTTCAGTCTCATCAGAGCACTCATCCTAATGCAGAAATATGTTTCACAAGTAGCCTTAGCAGCCTGGTGAGGACAATTCTTCAACTACTTATAAGGAGTTGTATCATCTGACTGTCATTTTAGGAATTTTTTGGATGAATCCAAAGATAGGAAGCTGAAAAACTGAATAAGCAACTGATCTATTAGTGAAACTAAAAGACAAGTTATAGGCACTTCGCACTCAAGGTGGATAGGTTCTTGGGGGAGTGGGAAGTTATGGAAGTGGAGGGAGCCAAGGGAAAGAAGGTTAGGTATTGACATAAAGGTCCTGTTGAACTCCTCCTGTGTCATGCCTGTATCTCATTCAACATGAGTAATGAGAGCAAAGATTGGTACTAAGACTGTTGGAATGTGAATAGGGGATCCAGGAATAGGTTGGTCCTTTAGGAGATGAGTGGAGGAGGGATAAAGAAGAAAAGTATAGATTCTGTTCTTATGATAGTCTCTTTTACTTCATAATCACATACATTGTTTTATTGTCACTAATGCTAGTGTATCAAAGTGGAAAGTGATAGAAGATGAGTTCAGAAAGATAGGCAGGGACCAGACCATACAGGGCCACATAAAGAGTTTGGATTTTTTCTAAATTTGATGGTAAGACGCTCTTTGCCAAGCTTACATTGGTTGTTTGCTGGAAACTTGAGCAAAGGGCTTTAGTAAGAATGCATTTGAGTGAAAAAACCCCAAACAAAACCATACAAGCATTGCCTAAAACAACCAGGGCTTTATTTGTCTCACACAATAAGAAAACTGAGAGCAGGCTGCCAGTCCAAGCCTGATGCAATGGCTCAGTGATGTTAAGGATCCAGTCTTTTCCCATTTTCCTATGCACTATGTCGAGTATGTTGTCTTATCTCTTGGTTGCCATGTGGCTGTTTCACTTTTGGATATCATGACCATGTTACAGGCAGACAAAAGAAGGAGAGAAAAGGACTGAAAGTGTATGGTGATTAAATCTGTTCCTTTGAAAAGCTCCTTTGGAAGTCCTATTCAGGATTACTTTGATCATTTCTGTTTGGTCAGAACTGGGAATGGCTACCCTTAGTTACAAGCACAGCTCAGAAGGTAAGTATTGAGCTGTTCACCTTGTATTCTTGAGCAAAATAAGGGTTCCACTTTAGTAAGAAAGAAGAGCAGCATGGGTATTGGATAGACAGCTAGCGGTGTTCTCCACTCGGGGCGAGAATGGAAACGGGTCATGTTTGAAGGCTACTTCAGGAACTATGGTGAGAGATGATGGTGCGTGGACTAGGAAGATAGAGGTAGTTGTAGTAAACGGTGGTCAGACTTATGATTTTTTTTTTTTTAAAAAGGATCAACATGCGCTTGGTAATGGGTTTAATGTGAGATGACAAGGTAGTGAGTAGCCAAGGATAATTTCCAAGTATTTTTCTTGCTCTATGGGTGAAAATGATATCATTTCCTAAGATCATGAAACTTGGGAGGAGTTGACTTGGGAGAAAAAAATCTGGAATTCTCTCTTATAGGCAGAGATGTCAACATTGCTAATGTCAGAGGTAGAAGTGCTTTTGGCTGACTATCAGATATGTTGTGGCAGATGTACAGAGGGAAGACGGGTTGATGGACATAATGGTTGAAATTTTCAAGCTTCCAAGTATGTTATCCCATAAAAAGCAGCAGCCAGCTGTAGCAAAAGAGTCTGTCTTTTACACTCTGGAGACCTTGAATCAATGGAATTCTCTCATATCATTATAGTTTTGGTGTAACCAGGCTTTTTAAGTAAGAAATATGCTCTTGGGCTTGCGAGTAGAGTGATTTTCTCTGAAATAGATAGGCCACTGAAGAAATAGAACCAATATGAATAGGGTGGGGAATATGCATGAGCTACAGGAAAGGGTATTGTCACTTTAAAGAGGATTTAAGAGTGAATAATTAAAATTTGAAATAGCAGAATGAAACTTCGAGTTAATACTGTTGGACACTGCTTCCATAATGTTACTAACCTAGCATGGTGCCTTTAGGATTGTTAAGATACAATGGCCTCTTAATCCTGAGTTAAGTTCCACCTTCTTGGCCTGCTTTTCAAAATTCTTCAGGATATGGCTCCATCCAACCATATTATGTCAGCGCAATTAGTTTCTGTGGGTTGTTTCTTCTGCCTCTCTGTTCCCCGGTCCATGTACATGTTGGTATCAGTGGTCCCTAGATGTTGTACAGATATGATGTGGCCAGGAGGCGACTCATCACGAGCTTCAGCACCATGATCACATGGGGATCAGAATTCAGTACATTGTCCACTAGACTCCATGGTCTGGAGCACCCTGAGATGCCATCTGGACCACCTTGAGAACTCCTCAGTCACAGCACTACACCTTGGTCTGGGCTTCTACCTCAACCACACTTCATACACTACCAGCTATTTTGCACAATACTGTTGTTTTCTGTGAGGATTGGGGATGACGCTCTAATTTCCAATCTGCATATATCTCTCTACTCTTGTTACCTTGGAGAGGTGTATTGTGATTGCTTCAGTCTTAGCTACAGGTTTTCTTTTTCTCTGTTGTAAATGAACAGGTCTCCTAGAACCATATGCAAATGCCCACTGACTCCTATATAACTATGCAGAGACTACTGTTACTATGTTTTTTCCTATGGATTAGGAGGACAGAGCCATACTTAAGTTTGTTTTGCTCTGTGGCTCTGCATTGCAGACCCTTTTTCAGGCTTTGTAACATCTTTCTTCTCCCACATCCTGGTTTATTGTTGCTGTTCCAACCTGCCTGAGCTCACTGTTCCTTAATATGCCCATTCTCTCCTGTGTGATTTTTTTTCCTGCTATTTACTAATCTGGAAAGGGCTTTTTTTCCCCTTACACTCTAGATCCTACATACCTGAAAGAGTCCAGCACAAATCCCAGTTTTACAAAACCTAACATATATATATGTTATTATATATAACTATATATGTTATATATATAACATATATAACTATATATAACATATACAGTTATATATAGTTTATATATATAACATATATTAGTTTATATGTAACATATAACTATATATAGTTTATATGTAACATAACTATATATAGTTTATATGTTATATATGTCATATATAACATGTTATATATGTCATATAACATATGTTATATATGTTATATATATAGCATATATATATGCTATATAACATGTTATATATATGTTATATATAACATATAAATGTAACATATAAATGTTATATATAACATAAATGTAACATATAACAATACATGTTATATATAACATATATAACAATACATGTTTTATATAAAAGTTTTTAATATTTTCTCATATAACTATGTTATATATAACATATAATATATAAACATATATTATATTATAATATATAAACATATATTATATATATTTATATATTATCATATATAAACATATAATATAAACATATATGTATATATACATATATAAACATAAACGTATATAAACATATGTGTTATATATAACACACACGACACATATATGTTATATACAACACACACGACACATATATGTTATATATAACACACACGACACATATATGTTATATATAACACACACGACACATATGTTGTATATGACACATACGACACATATATGTTGTATATGACACATACGACACATATATGTTGTATATGACACATACGACACATATATGTTGTATATGACACATACGACACATATATGTTGTATATGACACATACGACATATATAACATATATGTTATATATGTTTATATATACATATATTAACATATATGTATATATATATGTTTGTCCTATGGATTAGGAGGATAGAACCATACTTGTTTGTTTTGCTCTTTGGCTCTGTATTGCAGACATATATATATATATATCACATATATATCACATATATAACACATATATAACACATATATATCACATATATAACACATATATAACACATATATAACATATATAAAAATATATATAACATAACATATATAAAAATATATATATAACATATATATAAATATAT
This sequence comes from Homo sapiens, assembly GCF_000001405.40. NCBI lineage: Eukaryota > Metazoa > Chordata > Mammalia > Primates > Hominidae > Homo > Homo sapiens. Next base: position 149,867,786 of record NC_000004.12, on the reverse strand, counting down.
ATATAACATAACATATATATAAGTATATATAACATAACATATATATAAATATATATAACATAACATATATATATATAACATAACATATATATATATAACATATATCTGTGCTACTCAATAATGCCTTGTAGGCATAAAATAAAATGTGTGTTTAAATTAATCTGAGTTAAGGTAAACCTTCCCTAGTGGAATTTGGGATTTTCGCTATCCAAAACTGCATCTCACCCACTACCTATACTTTCTCTCTACTAGCTTTTTTTTTTCTGTTTACTGTTGAAATAACTGTGACCTTGGCTTAGACAATGGTTTATTACACAAGCAAGAAAAATAAATAAAATAGATCACTTGCACATTAACAATATTTAGTCAGTGTGGCGATTCCTCAGGGATTTAGAACTAGAAATACCATTTGACCCAGCCATCCCATTACTGGGTATATACCCAGAGGACTATAAATCACACTGCTATAAAGACACATGCACACGTATGTTTATTGCGGCACTATTCACAACAGCAAAGACTTGGAACCAACCCAAATGTCCAACAATGATAGACTGGATTAAGAAAATGTGGCACATATACACCATGGAATACTATGCAGCCATAAAAAATGATGAGTTCATGTCCTTTGTAGGGACATGGATGAAATTGGAAATCATCATTCTCAGTAAACTATCGCAAGGATGAAAAACCAAACACCGCATGTTCTCACTCATAGATGGGAATTGAACAATGAGAACACATGGACACAGAAAGGGGAACATCACATTCTGGGGACTGTTGTGGGGTGGGGGGAGGGGGTAGGGATAGCACTAGGAGATATACCTAATGCTAAATGATGAGTTAATGGGTGCAGCACACCAGCATGGCACATGTATACATATGTACTTAACCTGCACATTGTGCACATGTACCCTAAAACTTAAAGTATAATAATAATCAAAAAAAGAAAAAAGAAGAAGAAAAAAAAGAAAATAAACAATAGTGAAATAAAAAAATAAAAATAAAAACTTTTATGCTTCAGAGGACATCATAAGGTGAAAAGAAAGCCCATAAAATGAGAAAATTTTTGCAAATCACATATCTGATAAAGGACTTGGATTTAGAACGTATAAAAAACTCTTAGATCTCAAAAAGAAAAAGACAAATAACACAGTTTTTTAAATGGGCAAAGGATCTGACTGAACATTTTTTCCAAAGAAGATATATAAATAGCCAATAAGTACATGAAAAGATGCCCAATATTATTAGCCACCAGGGAAATGCAAATGAAAACCATAATTAAATACCACGCCATATCTATTCACTCACTCACTCACTCACTCAAATGGTTTTAATAAAGAGACAATAACAAGTGTTCACAAAAATGTGGAGAAACAGGAACCCTGATATACTGCTAGTGGGAATGTAAAATGTATGACTGCTTTGAAAAACAATTTGACAATTTCTAACAGTTATGATCCAGCAATTCTAATCCTAGCAATACACCCATGAGAATATGTCCGTCCAAGCACTTGTACGTGAATGTTCATAGCAGCATTATTCATCATAGCCAAAAAGTAGAAATAACACATTTGTACACCAACTGATCAATAGATAAATAAAATCTGGTATATCTATATAATGGAATATTATTTGGCAATGAAAAGAATTGAAGTACTGATTCATGCTACAACATAGCTTTGAAAATATTATGCTAAGTGAAAGAAGCCAGTCACAAAGAACCACCTATTTTATGATTCCATTTATATGAAATGTCTACAACAGGCAGGTCTACAAAGACAGAAAGTAGTGTTTGCCTAGAGCTAGGGGAGATGAAGGGATTGGGAGAGTGATAGCTAAGGAGTATGGGTTTTTTTTTTTTTTGGCAGGGAGGGGATAATAAAATGTTTTAAAATAGATTGTGGTGATAGATACACAACTCTGTTAATATATTAAAAACCATTGAATTGTACACTTTAAAATGGTGAATTGTGTGGTATGTGAATCTCAATAAAGCTGTTTAAGAAAACCCCAGACTTCACTCTATTCACCTATTCTTCCTCCCTGCTCCCAAAAGGTGCCACTGACTATTTCTTTGTAGTGAGTGTTGTGATGCATTACACAGACCTACCCCTTAAGGACTAAAGGACTTAGTCTCACAGCTGCTGAAAGTATTGACTACTGTGGCTCACAGCTGAGTTTTTCCTGGAGTCTTCAGTTGATGAAACTGCTCCTCAAAGATGATACCTTATCCCAACCATGGCTCACACCAAATAACTGCTCATTGTGGGAGTGTAAAGGCCTGATCCCCTTGCCTCAATTCAGGACATTTCTGAAGAGTAATCTCAGCCCCAGAGCTTCCCATGGGATCATTTGCAACTGTATCTCAGTTTAATGTTTCCCTTACTCTTTTATAGATGTTCTTACTAGCACTGCTCAGTAAACCTTCCCCATACAAATCTCCTTCTGAGAGTCTCCTTCCCAAGGAGCTCAACTTAAAACACCTGACACTGAATGACTGACTGATTCTTTTTTTCACTGATGCATAACAAATGTATGTAGTTCTGAGATATGTGTGATAAGTTAATATGCCCATATAATTGGCAAAGATCAAATCAGTGTACTTGGAATATCAATCACCTTAAATATGTCTTTTCTTTATGCTAGAAACATTTGAATTCTAGCTACTTTGAAATGTACAATAGATTGTTGTAAATGATAGTCTCCCTGCTGATCTATCTAACACTAGGTCTTATTTCTTCTATCAAAGTGTATATTTGTACCCATTAATCAACTTCTCTTCATCCCCTCTTCCCTGCTACCCTTCCTGGCCTCTGGTAACCACCAAAATACTCCCTACTTCCATGAGATACACCTTTCAGCTCTCACATATGAATGAGAACAAGTGATATTTGTCTTTCCGTGCCTGGCTTATTTCACTTAAGGTAATGACTTCCAGTTCTATCCATGTTGCTGCAAATGAGAGGATTTCATTTTTTTATGGCTGAATAATATTTTATTTTATATATATATATTCCATTTTCTTTATCCTTTCATTGACTGATAAGCACTTGGGTTAATTCCATATTTTGGCTATTGTGAATAGTGCTGCAAGAAACATGGGAGTGCAGATGTCTTTTTGATATATGGATTTCCTTTCTTTTGGGTATATATACCCAGTAGTGGAATTGCTGGATCATATGGTAGTTTCATTTTTAGTTTTTTGAAGAACCTCCAAATTGTGCTTCACAGTGACTACCACGACATTACACTCCAACAGTGTACAAGGGTTCCCCTTTCTCTCCACCCTTGCCAGCGTTCATTATTGCCTTTTTGATAAAACCACTTTAATTAGAGTTAGATGACATCTTATTGTGGGTTTTATTTGCATTTTTCTAATGATTAGTGATATTGAGCATTTGTACGTACACATTTTAGGCAAGTTGTATGTCTTCTTTTGAGAAATGTCTATTCAGATCTTTTGCCCATTTAAAAAATCAGATTAAATTTTTTTTTGCTATTGAGTTGTTTTGAGAGAGATATATATATATGTACATGTATATGTATATATTCTCGCTACTATTCCCTTGTCAGATGGTTAGTTTCCAAATATTTTCTCCCATTCTGTGGGTTTTTACTTTGATGATTGTTTCCTTTACTGTGCAGAAGGTTTTTAGCTTGACATAATCTCATTTATCTATTTTTGCTGTGGTTGCTGTGCTTTTGAGGTCTTACACACAAAAAAAATACCCAGACCAATACCCTGAATTGTTTCTCCAATGTTTTCTTCTAATAGTTTCATAGCTTCAGGTCTTACATTTAAGTTGTTAATCCATTGTGATTTAAATTTTTGGTAAGGTGAGGGGTTCTAGTTTCATTCTTCTGCATATAATATAGCTATCCATTTTTTGCCACATCACTGATTAAAAAGATTGTCCTTTCCCCACTGTAGGTTCTTGGTACTTTTGTTGAAGATAAGTTGGCTGTAAATTTGTGAATATATATCTGGGTTCTCTATTCTGTTCCATTGGTCTATATGTCTGTTTTTATGCCAGTACCATGACGATCTGGTTACTCTGGCTTTGTAGTAAAATTTGAAGTCAGGTAGTGTGATGCCTTTCCTTTGTTCTTTTTGCTCAGGATTGCTTTGACTATTTGGTGTCTTTTGTTATTCCATGCATTTTATATTTCTGTGAAGAATGTCATTGGAATATTGATAGGTATCACATTGAATCTGTAAATTGTTTTGGATAGTGTTGTCATTTTAACAATATTCTTCTAATCAATGAACGTGGAATATCTTTTCATTTTTGGTGTCTTTTTCAATTTCTTTCATCAGTGTTTCTATAGTTTTCCTTATATAGATCTTTCATTTCTTTGGTTAAATGGATTCCTAGGTATTTTTTGTTCTTTGTAGATATTATAAATGGGATTGCTTTCTTGATTTTTTTTAGGTTGTTCACTGTTGGCTTATATACATTATACTGATTTATGTACATTGATTTTGGATCATGCAACTTCACTGAATTCATTATGAAGATCTAAGAGATTTTTTGTGTGGGTTCTTTAGGTTTTTCTAAGTATAAGACTATATCATCTGTGAACAACGTTAATTTGATTTTCTCTTTCCAATTTGGATGGTTCTTATTTCTTTCTCTTGACTAAATGCTCTGGCCAGTACTTCCAGTACTATATTAAATAAAAGTGGTGAAACTGAGCATGCTTGCCTTTTTCCAGATCTTAGAAGAAAGGCCTTCAATTCTCCTCATCCAGTACAATGCTAGTTGTGGTTTTGTCATATATGGCCTTCATTATGTTGAAGTATGTTTCTTCTGTACCCAGTTTGAGGAAGGTTTTATTGTTAAGGGATGTTAAATTTTATTGAAGGTTTTTGGCATCTATCGAAATAATCGTATGTTGTTTTTCCTTCATTCTGTTTATATGATGTATCAAATTGATTGATTTGCATATGTTGAAACATTTTGCATTTCTGGGATTAATCCCATTTGATCATATTGTGTGCTCTTTTTAATGTGTTGTTGAATTCAGTTTGCTGGTTTCTTTGTTGCGGATTTTTGCATCTTTATCAGTTATACTGGCCTGTAGTTTTCCTTTTTTCTTGTTGTTGTATCTTTGTCTGGTTTTGGTAGAAGGGTAATGCTGGCCTTGTAGAACAGGTGAGGGAGAATTCTCTTCTCTTAAATTTTTTTGAAGACTTTGAGTAGAATTGGTATTAGTTCTTTAAATGTTTGGTAAAATTCAGCAAAGCCATCTGATTCTGGGCTTTTCTTTGAAGGCAGACTTTTTATTATAGCTATTAATCTTGTTATTCATTTTTGGTTTATTGAGGTTTTCTATTTCTTCATGGTTCATTCTTGGTAGGTTGCATGTGTCCAGGAATTTATCCATTCCTTCTAGGTTTTCCAATTCATTGGCATATAAGTGTTCATAATCTATATTATGATTAAAATGGAATTGATCATAATGATTTGTTATATTTCTATTGTTTCAGTTGTTATGTCTCATATTTTGTTTCTGATGTTTATGTAGTTTTGTCTTCTCTTGTTAGTCTAACCAAAGGTTTATCAATGCTATTTGTCTTTTCAAAAACCCAAATTTTCATTTTGTTGATCTTTTGTATTGTTATTTTGGTCTTTCTGTCTTTTATTTCTGCTCTAATCTTTATCATTTCTTTCCTTCTACTAATTTTGGGCTTGATTTGTTTTTGCTTTTCTAGTTCCTGGAGGTGCACTGTTAGAATGTTTATTTGAAGTCTTTCTACTTTTTAGATGTAGGTGTTTATTGCTGTAAATTTTTCTCTTAGTACTGCTTTTGCTGTATCACATAGATTTTGGTATGTTTTATTTCCATTTTTATATGCTTCAAGAAAATTGTTAATTTCCTTCTTAATTTATTTAACTCAATGGTCATTCAAAAGCATATTATTTAATATGTATTCATGAAGTTTCCAAAGTTTTTCTTGTTATTGATTTCTAGTTTTATTCCATTGTCGTAAGAAAAAAATACTGGGTATAATTTCTGTTTTTTTTTATTTTGTTCAGACTTGTTTTGTTGCCTAGCATATGGTCTATTCTGGAGAATATACTATGTGCTGATGTAAAGAATGTGTATTCTGCAGCAATTGGGTGCAATGTTCTATCAATTTCAGTTAGGCATATTAGATCTAGTGTGTAGTTTTAACTCTGATGTTTCTTTGTTGATTATTTTTGCTTGAATGAACTGTTCATTACCGAGAGTAGGGTGTTAAAGTCCCCTACTATTATTGTTTTGTAGTCTATCTCTACCTTCAAATTTTTAATGTTTGTTTTATATACTTGGGAGCCCTGGTGTTGTGTGCATAGAGATTTGTAATTATTATATACTCTCTTGCTAAGTTGACGCCTTTATCATTTTACAGTCACTGTCTTTTCTCTTTTTACAGTCTTTGATTTGTATTCTCTTATCTAAGTATAGCTACTCCTGCTCTTTTTTGATTTTCAGTTGCATGAAATATCTTTTTTCACCTTTTCACTTTTAGTCTGTGTGTGTCTATATAGGTGAAGTGGAATTCTTGAAAGTAGTATGTAGTTGGGTCTTACTTTTTTTATCTATTCAGCCACTCTATGCCTTTTAATTGAAGAATTGAGTCTATTTACATCCTGTGATGATTAATATTGAGTGTCAACTTGATTGGATTGAAGGATACAAAGTATCGATCCCCTGGGTGTGTCTGTGAGGGTGTAGACAAAGGAGATTAACATTTGAGTCAGTGGGCTGGGGAAGGCAGACCCACCCTTAATCTGGTGGGCACAACCTAATCAGCTGCCAGTAAATATGAAGCAGGCAGAAAAAACATGAATGAACAAGACAGGCCTAGCCTCCCAGCCTACATCTTTCTCCCATGCTGGATGCTTCCTTCCTTCGAACATCGGACTCCAAGTTCTTCGGTCCTGGGACTCAGACTGGCTCTCATTTCTCCTCAGCCTGCAGACGGCCTATTGTGGGACCTTGTGATCATGTAAGTTAATACTTAATAAACTCCTCTTTATATATATACACATACATATATATATACACACACATACATATATGTATACACACATACATATATATACATACACATAGGTATACTTACATATATATAGTATACATATATATATAGTATACATATATATGTATATATAGTATACATATGTGTATATATAGTATACATATGTGTATATATAGTATACATATATACATATATAAAGTATACCTATATGTATACTTACATATATACATATATAAAGTATACATATATGTATACTTACATATATACACATACATATATAAACATACATATATACACATACATATATATATACACATACACATATATATACATACATATATATATACACACACACACATATATATATAGAGAGAGAGAGAAAATGAGGGAACTAATAGGTTCTTTATATATAGTTCTGTCCCTCTAAGAGAACCCTGACTAATATATATCCTGTGTTGTTACTAGTAAGTAAGGACTTACTGCTGTTGTTTTCATTTTGTTGCTTATTTTCTGGTTGTTTTGCGATTCCTCTCTTCCTTTCTTATTGTCTTCCTTTGTGATTAAGTTATTTTTTTTTCTGGTAGTATGTTTTAATTCATTGCTGTTTTATTTTAATCTATATATAGGTTTTTGTGTTGTGGTTACAATGAGGTTTCTCAAAAAATCCTATATATAGCTATATAGTTATATCAATAAGTTATATAAATTATATAGTTATTTTAAAAGAGTTGACAAATTATCTTAGATCACAAAGAAAATAGAAACAGAAAAAATAAAAAGGAATCCTACACTTTAACTTCATCCCCACACATTTTGACTTGTAGTTGTCTCAATTTATATATTTTCATTTTACCTGTTTCTTAAGAGGTTGTAATAGCTATTATTGTTTGTGATTTATTTGTCTTTGGGAGCTTCATACTAGAGTTATGAGTGGATTGTACAATCATAGTTGTAGTATTCTGGGTCCATTTGCATACTTCATTTTATTGGGAGGTTTTATACCTTCAGTATTTTTTCACATGTTATTGTTTTGTTTTGTTTTGTTTTAAGATTGAAGAATTCCCTTTAGCATTTCTTATAAGGTGAATCTGGTGGTGGTAAATTCACTCAGCTTTTGTTCTTCTGGGTGTGGGAAAGACTATCTTTCCTTCACATTTGAAGGATAGCTTTGCTAGATACAATATTCTTGGATGGCAATTATTTCTTTCAGTGCTTTGAAAATGTTGTTCCCGTTTCCTGGCCTGTATGGTTTTCACTGAGAAGTCAGTTGCCAGACAAATGGAAGCTCTTTTATATGTTACTTGATTCTTTTCTCTGGCTCCTTTTAGGATTTTCTGTTTATTCTTGACCTTTTTTGTTTTTTTCAGTCTTGCTGTGTCGCCCAGGCTGGAATGCAGTGGAGCAATCTCGGCTCACTGCAACCTCTGTGTCCCGGTTCCCTTGACCTTTGAGGACTTTTGAAGGTTTTGTTAATATGTGCCTTGAGGTAGTCTTATATGGGTCAAATATGTTTGATGTTCTCTGACTGTCCTGTACCTAGATATTTATCTCTTAAGTTTTGAAAAGTTTTTTTGTTATTAATTATTTGAATAAGCTTTCTACTTCTTGCTCTTGCTCAATTACCCCTTGAACATCAATAGTTCTTTGATTTGGTCTTTTTAGTTAATTTTCTGTATCTTGTAGGCAATCTTTGTCACTTTCATTCTTTTTTTCTTTGGTCTCCCCTGACTGTGTATTTTCCAATAGCCTGTTTTCAAGTTCACTGATGCTTTCCTCTGCTTGATCCATTCAGCTGTTAAGAGCCTTGAATGAATTTTTCAGTTCAGCAAATATATTTCACAGTTCCAAGATTTGTTTGATTTTTAAAAATTCTTACAATCTTTTTGTTAACTTTCTCTGATAAATTTCTGGATTGCTTTTTTGTATTATCTTAGAAATTAGTAAGTTTTCTTAACACTACTATTTTGAATTATTGGTCACAAGAGCTCATATATTGCCATATCATTAGGGTCAGTTACTGGTTCCTTGCTTTGCCCATTTGGGAAGATTGAAGTTCTCTGTTTGCTGTTATTTCTTGTGGGTGTATATCTTTGCATTGAAAGATTAGTTAATTATTCCTGTATCCCTGTCTGGTTGTTTCGGTTTTTGTTGGATATATTTGCTTAGAGGTTCTTTACTACTAGTTTACTGCCTCCTTTTGGCTCTAGGTGATGTCTTGTGCCTACGTTCACCTTGGCTCTAGTAAACACTCAGAGCACTGCCTTTGTCAAATACGGGAGGTCCCAAAGGGGATGTCCTGGAAGTGGAAAGACTAGCTATGGGTTCCTGCTCAGGGTACTTGTGGGACAAACCTCCTACAGCATGGTGCTGCTGAATAGCCACTTTAATTTGGTGTTTCCTTTGGCTGAGTTACAGTCCAGAGCTTCCAGGGCTGGGATGATAGTCCCACCTCCCCCTTTTGTCTCTGCCTGTCTTTATGGATATTTCTCCCTTCAGGCACTTGTAATGCTTCATGTGGGTTAAGGCAGGGACAGGTGTCCTTCAAGAGAACCCAAGATGGTGGGGAAGTGGTTGTCCACCTTGGTATCACTTTGCTCAGTGTAGAAACAATAAGTTGAGGAAAAATTTCCACATGCTTGGTGCCAGGCAGTATGGGATAAGTCGTGTTGCAGATGTGGAAATCTGATTCTCTTACAATCTGCTATAAGTTATTTCATTTCTCTGCGGTTCTAGGAATTGTCTCATCTTCATATTTGAGTTGTGGGATATTCTTGACAATAATCTCACTGTTGCAAATTTGTTTTTTATTTTCTGTTGGTGGTGGGCAGTAAAGCCAGCTTGCCTCTATACCACCATTTTGGAACTGAACATCCAAACAGTGCCTGATTTTCACTGTCTTTAATACAAGTAGTCCCCATCAGTCACATACCAGGCGCTCAAAATACTCGGTGAACTGAATTCTTCTTTAGAGACTGAGTGGTTTGCCATCTCTGTGGAGAATGGTTTTACGGACAATGGCTGCTTATCTTCTCCTTAATTTCTGAAGGTAGTTATTTCACAAGGTTCAATCCTCTGACCTCTCTCTTTGTTCTGTATTTTGGCAAACTCAACTTTTTTCACAATTTCAATTAACCAAATAAATCTTTCTCCTGGTAAATGTCAAATCCTCACCAGGCTGCTAAGTACTCCACTTTGTCCTGCAGACTCCTAGTTAAGATTGAATGCTAGTCTGTTCTGTTCCTATAGGTTGGCAGAATTAAGAGTGATAGTGAGGGGTGGCAGTGAAGCATGCTGAAGGGGCCTCTTAGATTCTAAGGGCAGAGAAGAATGGAAGGAAAACACAAGAAGCACCTGGAAGCTTGTGAGAAGGAGACTGAGGGAGAGAGAAAATGAAGGTGTGCTGAACTTGTTAGAGGAGAGGTAGCTGGGATTTGCAATTTAGGACTGAGAGATAGGCACACTAGAGCAGTTAGAAATTGTGACTTTACTATGATTCGATCATTACACATTGTATACATTCTAAAAATATCATATATATCCCAAAATATGTAAAACTATGATATATAAAAAGAAATGATGGCTTGAGTCTTGAGCCATTTTTATGATGCAGCCAGGTGTGTGTTTATTTCTAAAAATGTCAACTGTGGTGGATGTCACCACACCCCTAACTCAACAAACTAACACAAAACCCAGTGTCCTATTTTAACTTGATATCCCTAAATATCTGTTTGTTAATTACTGGCCCCACTCTTGTTCTGATCACTCATTCTCAGAATATTCAAGAAATCTCTGACCTTTCCATAGGCATTGTCCCTCATAGCCACTACATTTTAATATTTTTGTAATATCATTCTTTCTCCAATTAGGGAGAATGGAGTTACAGCGAATGCTTGCTTGATTCTGAACTGATTTTTGGCATTCATTAAACAAATACTTATTAAGCATTTACCATATATCATTTACCATTGTGCTGGGGCTACAATGAATACATTGTAAAGGTACAACGTATTTCATTATACAACGAATATATTGTACAATGAAACATTATACATGGTTCTCAGGTTATGGTCTAAAGGAGGAGATAGATTTTAATAAAACAATTACAAAAATCAATGTAAAACTACAACTATAACAGTTGCTAGCTAAGTAGGAGAGATAAATGGTGCTATAGGTGTTTTAACAGGAAGATTTTGATAAATAGTCAGATGGCAGGAAAGAGACCCTTGAGCACATAAAGATATAAAGAAGCATATATACGATATATGATAAATAGGCACTGTTAGACAAGAAAAGGAGGGAAGGGTGTTCTTAACAGAGGGACAGTTTGTGCAAAGACCTTCGGTGGGAGGGAACATGGCAAAATGAGGGAATTAAAGCAAAGAAGCATGGCTAAGGCATAAGAAATGTATGAGCTATTGCTAGACAGCCAGGGGCCAGGGGCTCATAAGCCATAGTAGGGTAGTTTGTCTTTATTCCAAGAATACCACTAATGTTCAAAGCAGGGATGTGGCATGATTGGGGTTCATATTTAACAGATCACTGGCTGCTGTGTAGACTGGTTTGGGGAGGGTGGTGACAGTGAATGGGCTAGAACATTTTGAAGAGTTGCCTTGTGAGAAATGAAGGTATCATTCATTTGATGGCTGTGGTGGAGACAGAAAGTAGTGGGCATATTTGAAAGGTACTTGGGATCAAATAGGCATGATTTTATGATGGATTGAGGGAGAGAGGAAAGCATCAAAGATGAATCTGAGGCATCTGGCTTTTGCCACTGGATGAGTTATGATAACATTCAGTGGCATAGGAAACACTGGAAATTAAACTTAGATTTTTGGGGAACTTTATAAGCTAATTTTAGACCTGCTGAGTTTGAGATACTTGCATGACTTCCAACAGAAGATGGTCAAGTAGAGATGTTGGTTAAATAGGCAGCTGGATATATGAGGCTGGAACTCAGAGGAGAGGTCTAGGCTGGACATACAAGGGGATCATTAGGTTAGGAATGATAACTAACGTGTTGGTGTATTTTAGCCCAGGGAGAGAGTACAGTGAGGAGAGGAGAGGGCCTAGGACGAAGACTTGAGGAACTCTAAGATTTAATGGGCAAGAAGAAGGTAGGAAATGAATGACTATTAAAAGTAGAATGCAAAACACAAAAACCTTCCATCAAAGAAGCCAAGGAGAACCCACTGAGTGGTAGACAAGGGTAAGTAAGACTATTGGTTGGAGAAAACAAAATGTTGGAGAAAACAACTTGTATTCAGTGATATGAATACTGATGGCCTTATTTGCAGCTGTTTTGTTGGACTAATGGGAGCAGGGACAGATGAAAGAGTTGAAGAATGTGTTGTGGTTGAGGAACTGTGTGAACACTTTGGAGAAGTTTAGTCACCTACCGAAAGAGAGAGATAGGGCATCAGGTGAAGAGGGGTGAGGATGAACAGGATGTTTCCTTTTTTCTGTGATGGAGGAGAGAGTTTGGATACAGCAGTATGGAAAACTTCAAGAAATGCAGACAGAAAGAAAGGTATCAGAGTCAAGAAATACAGACAGAAAGGTATCAGAAATGTGAAGGATGGTTTATGTAACTGCAAAAATGAATAAAGCATATCTGTACATACTGAAAAGGAATAATCTCCAAGACACATTTTTAAGAAAAGAACAATATGCAGAGCAGTATTATAGATGCTACCATTTGCATAGAAACTTGTATATTCATGCTTTCTGGATAGGTAGACATTTAGATTGATTTTAAGCTCTTTTTTTTGTTATAATCACCATTACAGTGAATACTCACCATATCTTTGCAAACAGATAGATTCTTAGAGCTAGAATTAATCTGTGGATGTTCATTTAAAATTTTGATAGACATCAACTTGTCCTCCAGAGAAACTGTTTCAGTTTCCACATTGACACTAATATATGGGAATGTCTGTTTCTCTACATACTGGCTGACATAATGTATTATCCAACAGTGCCAAACTAAGAAATAAGAAATAGTGTATTCATGTATTAATTTTACATATTTAATTTTGATTGAGTTTATACATATATAAATGATATTTACATTTATTTTTATTTATTTATTTATTTTCACAAAAAAACTCATGATTTTTTATTTCTTCTAAAAAAAAACGGGGTACATGTGCAGAACATGTAGGTTTGTTACATAGGTATACATGTGCCTTGGTGATTGGCTGCACCTACTAACCCATCCTCTAAGTTCTCTCCCCTCACCTCCCCACCCCCTAACAGGCCCTGGTGTGTGTTATTCCCTCTCTGTGTCCATGTGTTCTCAGTGTTGAACTCCCACTTACGAGTGAGAACATGCAGTGTTTGGTTTTCCATTCTTGTGTTAGTTTGCTGAAAATGATGGCTTCCAGCTTCATCTATGTCCCTGCAAAGGACATGATCTCATTTCTTTTTATGGCTGCATAGTATTCCATGGTGCATATGTACCACGTTTTCTTTTTTTTTAATTTTTTTGTATTAATTTCAATTTTATTTATTTATTTATTTATTTTTTATTATTATACTTTAAGTTTTAGGGTACATGTGCACAATGTGCAGGTTAGTTACATATGTATACATGTGCCATGCTGGTGCGCTGCACCCACTAACTCATCATCTAGCATTAAGTATATCTCCCAATGCTATCCCTCCCCGCTCCCCCCACCCCACAACAGTCCCCAGAGTGTGATGTTCCCCTTCCTGTGTCCATGTGTTCTCATTGTTCAATTCCCACCTATGAGTGAGAATATGTGGTGTTTGGTTTTCTGTTCTTGTGATAGTTTACTGAGAATGATGATTTCCAATTTCATCCATGTCCCTACAAAGGACACGAACTCATCATTTTTTATGGCTGCATAGTATTCCATGGTGTATATGTGCCACATTTTCTTAATCCAGTCTATCATTGTTGGACATTTGGGTTGGTTCCAAGACTTTGCTATTGTGAATAGTGCCGCAATAAACATATGTGTGCATGTGTCTTTATAGCAGCATGATTTATAGTCCTTTGGGTATATACCCAGTAATGGGATGGCTGGGTCAAATGGTATTTCTAGTTCTAGATCCCTGAGGAATCGCCACACTGACTTCCACAATGGTTGAACTAGTTTACAGTCCCACCAACAGTGTAAAAGTGTTCCTATTTCTCCACATCCTCTCCAGCACCTGTTGTTTCCTGACTTTTTAATGATTGCCATTCTAACTGGTGTGAGATGGTATCTCATTGTGGTTTTGATTTGCATTTCTCTGATGGCCAGTGATGGTGAGCATTTTTTCATGTGTTTTTTGGCTGCATAAATGTCTTCTTTTGAGAAGTGTCTGTTCATGTCCTTTGCCCACTTTTTGATGGGGTTGTTTGTTTTTTTCTTGGAAATTTGTTTGAGTTCATTGTAGATTCTGGATATTAGCCCTTTGTCAGATGAGTAGGTTGCGAAAATTTTCTCCCATTTTGTAGGTTGCCTGTTCACTCTGATGGTAGTTTCTTTTGCTGTGCAGAAGCTCTTTAGTTTAATTAGATCCCATTTGTCAATTTTGTCTTTTGTTGCCATTGCTTTTGGTGTTTTAGACATGAAGTCCTTGCCCATGCCTATGTCCTGAATGGTAATGCCTAGGTTTTCTTCTAGGGTTTTTATGGTTTTAGGTCTAACGTTTAAGTCTTTAATCCATCCTGAATTGATTTTTGTATAAGGTGTAAGGAAGGGATCCAGTTTCAGCTTTCTACATATGGCTAGCCAGTTTTCCCAGCACCATTTATTAAACAGGGAATCCTTTCCCCATTGCTTGTTTTTCTCAGGTTTGTCAAAGATCACATAGTTGTAGATATGCAGCGTTATTTCTGAGGGCTCTGTTCTGTTCCATTGATCTATATCTCTGTTTTGGTACCAGTACCATGCTGTTTTGGTTACTGTAGCCTTGTAGTATAGTTTGAAGTCAGGTAGTGTGATGCCTCCAGCTTTGTTCTTTTGGCTTAGGATTGACTTGGTGATGAGGGCTCTTTTTTGGTTCCATATGAACTTTAAAGTAGTTTTTTCCAATTCTGTGAAGAAAGGCATTGGTAGCTTGATGGGGATGGCATTGAATCTGTAAATTACCTTGGGCAGTATGGCCATTTTGACGATATTGATTCTTCCTACCCATGAGCATGGAATGTTCTTCCATTTGTTTGTATCCTCTTTTATTTCCTTGAGCAGTGGTTTGTAGTTCTCCTTGAAGAGGTCCTTCACGTCCCTTTTAAGTTGGATTCCTAGGTATTTTATTCTCTTTGAAGCAATTGTGAATGGGAGTTCACTCATGATTCGGCTCTCTGTTTGTCTGTTGTTGGTGTATAAGAATGCTTGTGATTTTTGTACATTGATTTTGTATCCTGAGACTTTGCTGAAGTTGCTTATCAGCTTAAGGAGATTTCGGGCTGAGACAGTAGGGTTTTCTAGATATACAATCATGTCGTCTGCAAAGAGGGACAATTTGACTTCCTCTTTTCCTAACTGAATACCCTTTATTTCCTTCTACTGCCTAATTGGCCTGGCCAGAACTTCCAACACTATGTTGAATAGGAGTGGTGAGAGAGGGCATCCCTGTCTTGTGCCACTTTTCAAAGGGAATGCTTCCAGTTTTTGCCCATTCAGTATGATATTGGCTGTGGGTTTGTCATAGATTGCTCTTATTATTTTTAGATATGTCCCATCAATACCTAATTTATTGAGAGTTTTTAGCATGAAGGGTTGTTGAATTTTGTCAAAGGCCTTTTCTGCATCTATTGAGATAATCATGTGGTTTTTGTCTTTGGTTCTGTTTATATGCTGGATTACATTTATTGATTTGCGTATATTGAACCAGCCTTGCATCCCAGGGATGAAGCCCACTTGATCATGGTGGATAAGCTTTTTGATGTGCTGCTGGATTTGGTTTGCCAGTATTTTATTGAGGATTTTTGCATCAATGTTCATCAAGGATATTGGTCTAAAATTCTCTTTTTTAGTTGTGTCTCTGCCTGGCTTTGGTATCAGGATGATGCTGGCCTCATAAAATGAGTTAGGGAGGATTCCCTCTTTTTCTATTGATTGGAATAGTTTCAGAAGGAATGGTACCAGTTCCTCCTTGTACCTCTGGTAGAATTCGGCTGTGAATCCATCTGGTCCTGGACTCTTTTTGGTTGGTAAGCTATTGATTATTGCCACAATTTCAGCTCCTGTTATTGGTGTATTCAGAGATTCAACTTCTTCCTGGTTTAGTCTTGGGAGGGTGTATGTGTCCAGGAATTTATCCATTTCTTCTAGATTTTCTAGTTTATTTCCGTAGAGGTTTTTGTAGTATTCTCTGATGGTAGTTTGTATGTCTGTGGGATCGGTGGTGATATCCCTTTTCTCATTTTTTATTGCATCTATTTGATTCTTCTCTCTTTTTTCTTTATTAGTCTTGCTAGCGGTCTATCTATTTTGTTGATCCTTTCAAAAAACCAGTTCCTGGATTCATTAATTTTTTGAAGGGTTTTTTGTGTCTCTATTTCCTTCAGTTCTGCTCTGATTTTAGTTATTTCTTGCCTTCTGCTAGCTTTTGAATGTGTTTGCTCTTGCTTTTGTAGTTCTTTTAATTGTGATGTTAGGGTGTCAGTTTTGGATCTTTCCTGCTTTCTCTTGTGGGCATTTAGTGCTATAAATTTCCCTCTACACACTGCTTTGAATGCGTCCCAGAGATTCTGGTATGTTGTGTCTTTGTTCTTGTTGGTTTCAAAGAACATCTTTATTTCTGCCTTCATTTCGTTATGTACCCAGTAGTCATTCAGGAGCAGGTTGTTCAGTTTCCATGTAGCTGAGCGGTTTTGAGTGAGATTCTTAATCCTGAATTCTAGTTTGATTGCACTGTGGTCTGAGAGATAGTTTGTTATAATTTCTGATCTTTTACATTTGCTGAGGAGAGCTTTACTTCCAACTATGTGGTCAATTTTGGAATAGGTGTGGTGTGGTGCTGAAAAAAATGTATATTCTGTTGATTTGGGGTGGAGAGTTCTGTAGATGTCTATTAGGTCCACTTGATGCAGAGCAGAGTTCAGTTCCTGGGTATCCTTGTTAACTTTCTGTCTCTTTGATCTGTCTAATGTTGACAGTGGGGTGTTAAAGTCTCACATTATTATTGTGTGGGAATCTAAGTCTCTTTGTAGGTCACTCAGGACTTGCTTTATGAATCTGGGTGCTCCTGTATTGGGTGCATATATATTTAAGATAGTTAGCTCTTCTTGTTGAATTGATCCCTTTACCATTAAGTAATGGCCTTCTTTGTCTCTTTTGATCTCAGTTGGTTTAAAGTCTGTTGTATCAGAGACTAGGATTGCAACCCCTGCCTTTTTTTGTTTTCCATTTGCTTGGTAGATCTTCCTCCATCCTTTTATTTTGAGTCTATGTGTGTCTCTGTACGTGAGATGGGTTTCCTAAATACAGCACACTGATGGGTCTTGACTCTTTATCCAATTTGCCAGTCTGTGTCTTTTAATTGGAGCATTTAGTCCATTTACATTTAAAGTTAATATTGTTCTGTGTGAATTTGATCCTGTCATTATGATGTTAGCTGGTTATTTTGCTCGTTAGTTGATGCAGTTTCTTCCTAGTCTCGATGGTCTTTACATTTTGGCATGATTTTGCAGCGGCTGGTACCGGTTGTTCCTTTCCATGTTTAGCGCTTCCTTGAGGAGCTCTTTTAGGGCAGGCGTGGTGGTGACAAAGTCTCCCAGCATTTGCTTGTCTGTAAAGTATTTTATTTCTCCTTCACTTATGAAGCTTAGTTTGGCTGGATATGAAATTCTGGGTTGAAGATTCTTTTATTTAAGAATGTTGAATATTGACCCCCACTCTCTTCTGGCTTGTAGGGTTTCTGCCGAGAGACCTGCTGTTAGTCTGATGGGCTTCCCTTTGAGGGTAACCCGACCTTTCTCTCTGGCTGCCCTTAACATTTTTTCCTTCATTTCAACTTTGGTGAATCTGACAATTATGTGTCTTGGAGTTGCTCTTCTCGAGGAGTATCTTTGTGGCATTCTCTGTATTTCCTGAATCTGAACATTGGCCTGCCTTGCTAGATTGGGGAAGTTCTCCTGGATAATATCCTGCAGAGTGTTTTCCAACTTGGTTCCATTCTCCCCATCACTTTCTGGTACACCAATCAGACGTAGATTTGGTCTTTTCACATAGTCCCATATTTCTTGGAGGCTTTGCTCATTTCTTTTTATTCTTTTTTCTCTAAACTTCCCTTCTCACTTCATTTCATTCATTTCATCTTCCATTGCTGATACCCTTTCTTCCAGTTGATCGCATCGGCTCCTGAGGCTCCTGCATTCTTCATGTAGTTCTCGAGCCTTGGTTTTCAGCTCCATCAGCTCCTTTAAGCACTTCTCTGTATTGGTTTTTCTAGTTATACATTCTTCTAAATTTTTTTCAAAGTTTTCAACTTGTTTGCCTTTCGTTTGAATTTCCTCCCGTAGCTCAGAGTAATTTGATCGTCTGAAGCCTTCTTCTCTCAGCTCGTCAAAGTCATTCTCCGTCCAGCTTTGTTCCGTTGCTGGTGAGGAACTGCGTTCCTTTGGAGGAGGAGAGGCACTCTGCTTTTTAGAGTTTCCATTTTTTCTGCTCTGTTTTTTTTCCCATCTTTGTGGTTTTATCTACTTTTGGTCTTTGATGATGGTGATGTACAGATGGGTTTTTGGTGTGGATGTCCTTTCTGTTTGTTAGTTTTCCTTCTCACAGACAATACCGTTAGCTGCAGGTCTGTGGGAGTACCTGGCCATGTGAGGTGTCAGTCTGCCCCTGTTGGGCGGTGCCTCCCAGTTAGACTGCTCGGGGGTCAGGGGTCAGGGACCCACTTGAGGAGGCAGTGTGCCCGTTCTCAGATCTCCAGCTGCGTGCTGGGAGAACCACTGCTCTCTTCAAAGCTGTCAGACAGGGACATTTAAGTCTGCAGAGGTTACTGCTGTCTTTTTGTTTGTCTGTGCCCTGCCCCCAGAGGTGGAGCCTACAGAGGCAGGCAGGCCTCCTTGAGCTGTGGTGGGCTCCACCCAGTTCGAGCTTCCTGGCTGCTTTGTTTACCTAAGCAAGCCTGGGCAATGGCGGGCGCCCCTCCCCCAGCCTTGCTGCGGCCTTGCAGTTTGATCTCAGACTGCTGTGCTAGCAATCAGCGAGACTCTGTGGGCATAGGACCCTCCGAGCCAGGTGTGGGATATAATCTCGTGGTGCGCCGTTTTTTAAGCCTGTTGGTAAAGTGCAGTATTTGGGTGGGAGTGACCTGATTTTCCAGGTGCCGTCTGTCACCACTTTCTTTGACTAGGAAAGGGAACTCCCTGACCCCTTGTGCTTCCCGAGTGAGGCAATGCCTGGTCCTGTTTCAGCTCGCGCACGGTGCGCGCACCCACTGACCTGCGCCCACTGTCTGGCACTCCCTAGTGAGATGAACCCGGTACCTCAGATGGAAATGCAGAAATCACCCCTCTTCTGCGTCACTCACACTGGGAGCTGTAGACCGGAGCTGTTCCTATTCGGCCATCTTGGCTCCTCCCCCTATATTTCTTTTTAAATGAACTATCTATACATAACTTAAAAAAAAAAAAAAAAAAAAACCTCTTGTGTCCAGGGTTGACTTTCAGTAAACTACAGTGAGGGAGCTGCTGCACTACGTAGAAAACACCCATGCAGAAGCAGGTCATTTAGAATGGTTTAGAACCAGCATCCCCATGAACATGCATTGTGGAATGGGCGAGGGAGTGGCCACCTTTCTGGCCTCCCCCATTTCCTAGAATGAGGGGATCTTAGCACTGAATCCCAGTTCTGGTGCACAGCAGGACATGCCTACCTAGTTATGACTGTTTTTTTCTTAGTGGATTGTTGATAATTTTTCTAAATGATCTTTAAGAGCTTCTTATATATTAAGGAAAATATCCTATTAGCTTTCACATTTAGTTGCAAGTTTCTATTTGGTTACTTGTTGTTTGACTTGTATGGCTTGTAAATTATTTTTGTTATGTTGAAATTTTAACATTTTGTTTAATGAAGTAAGGGTCATGGGTTTATACCCTAACTTCCTTTGAAGTTATTTAAGAATATTTTTTTCTGGTAAATTTTTACTTTACTTTTATGTTTGAACATTTGATCTATTATGATGCAGTATATTTTATTATAAGGAGTGAGTTAGGGATATAGCATTTTTTAACCAGATGGCTAGCCAGTTTTTCTAATACCATTTATTGAATAATCTATTTTTCCTACTAATTTGAAATGTCAGTTTCTAAACAATAAGTAATTGATGTATATGGGCCTATTTCTGGACTATCCATACTTTCCCATTGTCAATCCATTTTAATTAATTTGCTTTATAATAGGTGTTTATGTCCTGTGGCTCTAAATTGTATGATGACTTTTTCTTTTTTATTTGTTTCCTGGGTTTTTCAGACTATTAAGAAAACCCATAAAACTCCTTTGGTCTTCTTATTTCTTTCTCGACTCCTTCTATCTATGCTTTAAACTTTTATTTCATAGATGTCATTTTTGCTACTGAAATTTTCTAAAGAATGGTTTAGCTGGATGATCACCTGTTCCATGGGAAAATTTTTCTGGAGTGCATTCTTTGTCTGCCTGCTATTTGTCCATGTTTCTTTCCTTCTTTTTCTTTCGGTATTCTCACATAGGTTTATGTGTTCTTTCTCAGCATCATTTTGTATACAGGTCCAATTTTTACTGCAAACTCTCCTTCAAATATACTGTGGTTTGTCCAATCTATTTCTGTTTCTTATTCTCCTTGTTGTTTTCAGATAGTTTCAGAGGGAGACAGAATCACTAATGCCTTTATTCTTCTGTTTTAAAGCTTGGAGTTCTCTGACTTTTATCTCCTGAGGCTAGATTTTGCCTGCCTTGAGTGCTATTGATTTAAAGACTTAGCTGCAAAGTTTTGGAAACTTACACCGATCTGCATGACTCTGTTACTGGGCAAGTACTGGAGTAGCTACAGGACTATGGAGTAATTCAAAGTTTGCTGGTTTATATATTTTTTGGTCTGATTCTAATAAATATCTGAAAAAAACTGGTATTATAAAATATGTCTATATCAAGCCATTCATCATGGGAGTTATTTAGAGTCCTCAGTCAAATTCCTGGTCCTCTGTGAAAAAATATGGGAATAGATGTGAAAAGCATTTAGGATCTGGGGATATCTCCTTGGTAGAGAAGACATAGGTGTATAATAAGGAAGCAGCCTAGACAATTTTTTCTACTCTTATTTTTAATGGAACTCTCTTGGAAACTTATTAAAGGAAAGAGGTGATTCAACATTTCTTTAGGATTAACTGTTTTGGAAAGTATATCTCCCAAGTTCTATTTCCTGTGCCCCATTGTTTCAGTATTAGAAATTAGACCCACATAAAGTGTCTATTTTTTTTCTTAATCTTATCAAGAAGTAGAAAATAAACTATGGACTTAATAGGTCCATAGTGATGCAGCCATACATTTGGGATATCTCATTAATATCTCCTCTAGTCATGTAATTATCTTCAGAAATTATCTTTTAGCGTTGATGAGGGAGTGAGGCAGGAGAAGAGGTTTTGGACACAGGGAACCAAAGACCAGTTTGCGCTGAATTTCTGGAACTGGATTAAAAGGAAAATCCCACCTCTCTATGCCCAAGTGACAAGGGACTAGAGGCCACTCCCTGTACTCCACTGGGTCACAGATGAAAAGTCCCTCTGATTGGCCATGGGCCAATCCTTCATTTGTAATAAGGTGCCAATTCACATCAGCCTGAGTGGCTGTGGGCCAAGCCTTTGCTTTAGCCTCTAACTGGCCATGGGCCAATTCTTCATTTACATAGGGTGTAACCAATTGGAGACATCTAAAGAGTACTTTGGGGTGTTAAAAAATTCTCTTAGCTTAATAAAAACCCTGCAGAACATTGTAATTGGGACTCTTGAGCTGTTTGCTCAAGCCTGCTCCCACACTGTGGAGAGTACTTTCATTTCAATAAACCTGTGCTTTCATTGCTTCTTTATTTTGTTGCTTTGTGTGTTTTGTTCAATTCATTGTTCAACACACCAAGTATCTGGACAACTCACACTCAAGACTATCCATCCAGTAATGGGGGTACTAAGAAAACATTGCAACCCTACCTCAATGTAGTTGCCACAGGTTCAGAATTTGTTATGTTCCACATTCAATTATATATATATATATATTTATATATATATATATACAAAGTTTGTTATTAGTAATCAAAATTTAAAGTATGTTGTGTGCTGGCTAAAAACAAATAAAGAACTTTTTCAAATATATTAGAGAAAAAATAAAAATCTAACATGAAAGAGAATTTTTAAGTGGGTAAAATAAAACCTTAGCAAAATACTGAAATGAATGAGAACAATTTAATATTTTCCCCTGTGGAGTTGGTTGTATAAGAAAACTGTAAAAATGAGGGGTACACTGAGTAGACTCATTGCTTTTATTTTAAGAATTATAAAATAGTTCACAAAAATCTGCTTTTTAACAAACTTAATTATTTTTAAATGCAAAGATTTAGTTGTTAGATGATATATAGATGTTATTTCTTATTGTTCAGTTCAATGTATTAAAAGTGATACAAAAATAACAATGACAATATCCAGACCAAGACAACATATGTCCCTCAACACATGAGTAAATACAAGAATTTTTTTTTCTGTTGCAAAGCGCATTAAGCACCTGTTTTCCCACACAGCATGTTTTATAGAATCAACAGTTTTTGCTTTAGATTTTATTTCTCATAAAACAGTGATTTTACTACATCCAAAAGAAGGCAGGCTAAAAGAGTTTTTATCTGACTTTTAAAAATATGCTGCTTGTTCATCTTTCCTTCATTTTTGTTGTTTTGTCACTGCTGAGAGATGTAATTTTTTTGATGTTCACTCAGTTACAGGCAAATTGTATGTACAGCTTAACAGAAATGTTCAATTTTTTCACAATCATTTTAACCTTTTTTTTAAGGGCTCCACAAGTTCAGATAAAAGAAGTAGATCCAAGATGTTTATATCTAGGACTTTTCTGGAATTTGCAGGTGTCCAGTTCTCTATATGATGACTTGACTTTTATAAAAAGAGGAGCTGCCATCTATTAGGAGATAATCAACTGCTGTAACCTATTTGTCATTTCATCATAAATGATACTGTAGAAGGTTTGGCCCTATCAAAGCACTAAAAATTAAGCAGTGTTATAATTTAGTTTTCTCTGATTCAGTACTAGTGATTCACTGTTGATTACTGTTCTTCCCAGACACACATTATGTGAAGTGGCTCTAAGTTCTAATTATCATATCAATCCCAATGTACTAACTATCAATGATCATCTTATATAGAGCATTCAGTCTAGTGTAAAGGAGATTCAGGAAACTTTATTATATTTGTTTCTAATTAATGATTTTATTATTGTAAATATGGGAGGAGAATGGTCTTGGATAATCTAAATCAGAGATTCACCCCAAAGTGACTGAGATTGGGGTTAGTAAGTTGTATGTCATTTTATGGTTGGAAGCAAATTTATCTGTTTCATTCTATTTTACTATATTGAAAATATTCACATTTTTCCTCTCCTGCTGCAAAGAAGGATCTGTAGGTTTTCTCCAAATCCAAGCCAGGCTATTCAGGAGAGCTACCAACAATGAAGGTTTAAGTGGATGGAAATAGAACTTTTTGGGAACTTGGGTGACAAAACGTGACATAGAGTTGAACAGGTTGTCATTCTCTTCTCTTCCACATGGAGCTTAGAAACAAGTCTGATATTTGTTGCAAAGACTGGAAGTATTAGGAGTCTCTGTAGTTAGGACCCTTGATTTGGACCTTGGAGTTTCAGTGATGGATAGTGTAGAGTGGAGCCTCTCTTGGTGGTTTTGTGAGAGGTGAACATAGAACAGTTGAAGACAGAATGGTGAGTCCTATAAAAAATTGATTTTTTGGGGAGTTCCAGAAAAACTGAAGGAAATTATGAGAGAAACTAGTTTTCAGTAATTAGTTTGTTGGGAAAGGGAAATGAAATTACAAAAATCTGGTCTTTAAAAGTAAATGGGGCCTTAAGGGTGCTTTAGTTAATTCTGAATCTCTACATGGATTTTTGTAATAATTGTGCAATATATATCTACAACCACTGCCTCACTCATAGAATGAGATTTATTGCTTTTACTCAGAATTATCCTTAAAGCTGGGCAACCAGATTTTGAGGGGCTTTTCTCTGGCCCTCCTCTCTATACCCTCCCTAGAGGGTATGGAGACTGCTGGGCTAGGGCATGTGCCTGCCCAGAGCCTGTGTCCTATACTCCAGACAATGCTTATTGTCTGTTAACCTGGAGCTTCTTGTCCAAATGGGCCAAGCATGCTTCCAGAACCAGCATGGGCCTCTGCTCCCTGGGTGTCCTCCTAAGTACAGATCATGCTCCCTTAGGCTCAAGTGGTGGAGGTGTGGATAAAGGTTGGCTCTTGGGTTAGAGTGTACATATACACATGTTTTGAGGCCCCATACATTGCAAGAAAAAGCTGTGACTGGGAGGAGAAGGGGGTTAGAGCATAGAACTAGAGTTTCCTGATATATTCTTACCATAGGGCCTGTAAATATTAGGAGCAGGCTTAAACTTGGGACAATGTCAATGTCTTTATTGGAGGATTAGTACATGGAATATGGAGGAGGATTTTCAGAGATTAGATCTGGTGTGGTGGATATTAGTGAATTGAGGTAAAGCTTGATTTAGAGAGATTTAGAGCAGGCCTTCAAGCTCATGGGAAGAAACTTCACATGGGAAGTTAACAAGTTTGCAACATTTTTTGAATTTTTCCAACATATTCATTTCCTCATAATTTTTCCTCTTTATAAGAAAAAGATAATATATGAAAGTGATTTTTAATGTTTCTATTTATTAATTTGTGTCTTATTCCATTTTTTGCTGCTATAACAGGATACCACAGATTGGGTCATTTATAAAGAACATAAGTTTATTTGGCCCACAGTTCTGGAGGCTGGGAAGTCCAAGAGCATGGTGCTGTCATCCCACAGTGGAAGGCAGAAGGGAGAAAGGAGCATGTGATACAGAGGAAATCAGGTCAAACTCATCCTTTTTTTAATCGGGAAACCACTCCCAAGATAATTAACCCACTTCACAATAATGGCATTAATCCCTTCACAAGGGTAGAGTCCTTATGGCCTAAACACATCTTAAAGGCCCTACCTCTTAATACTGTTATAATGGCAATTAAATTTTCAATAAATAAACTTTGGGAAACATATTCAAACCACAGCACTGTGGATTTTTAAAAAGACAACCAACCCAAAAGATTCATATGAGGTTCATATGAGGTATGATAGCACTCCTGATGCTCCCAGTAGCGTTTCTTAAGTGTACAATGATAGTTTTATTGCTCTTGTATATTAATTTGTTTCAAAAATTCTGTTTTAACTTCTAATATGATAAATATCAACATATATATAACCCATATAAACAAAAATATATGGGGCATGCAATAATTTTTAAGCGTATAGAGTGTTCTTGAGGCTACAATGTTTGAGAACCACTGGGTTAGACATTACTGTTTCTCACAGGAATACAGAAGCAAATTACTTTTCAGCAGTACAAATGTTTCGCTAAGAGCTATAAAAAGACTAACAGCACTGTGGTTTTTAGGCCTTCCCAGTACAGTAGTTTAATGTTTTTTTTTTTTTTTAATCACTGACCACCACTAAATACATTGTCAAAACCAAGACAGAACAAATCAAAGGGAGCCACTAAAAGAATTCTTGCCAACTATTTCTGATCGTTGTTGATAAGACCTGGAGAATGGCTTCATCTAAGTAAGATTTGCTGAGCAGTTCTCCTGATTGCATGGGAAAGAGAGAAGACAGTGAGGCAGTAATACAGGGAATGAAGATGGGGCTACTGACATTTCACACTGGAATGTTAGCCTGCATAGTTTTGCAGCACTTATTCAGTACTCTTTGATCCTGAAGGTATGTGAAGGACCTCTGACCTGCAGGAAAAGAAGCTAAGACCAATCCAGATGTAGACTCTTATTTTGAAGGGGACCTTGGAATGAGTGGTATATTTTAGATGGGGTTACAGTGGGAAGATTGTGGGAAGGAACAGGGCAATATATGGATTTGTTTCCCATCTCATGCTATTTCTGGGGTGCCAGGAATGCCATACAAAAAAGTTGGGTTTCCTGGTGAGACTGTTTCTTGGATCCCACCTATGAAAAAGTACACAGGTATATCAATGGAATGATTGTGCTCTTCCTCAGCCTCTACAAAATAATTGTTAGAGGAGACAGTAATCTTTATAAAGGAATATAATGATGTTTTCAGAGGGAAAGTATATAGGGAAAAAACTTTATTTCCTGGATTGTTCTATCTTCCTTCCACTATTATCTGTATAACAGAAAAATTAATTTTGAAATTATCCAAGGCATTTTCCATTCCTCCTAATTCTTGTCATCTCAGCCTTTCATACATTGAAGGGAGGCAGACCTCAGCCAGTGATAATAATAAAAATAATTATTATTTTGTTAGTGATAATTAACACAAACATAGTGCTTTTTAGTACATGCTAGACACTGTTCTAAGAACTTTACATATTTGGCTATACCTTGAAGAAAGTCTCCTTGGTAAGCATTATTCAGGCAGATCACCTCTTCTTTCTTTTTAATCGTGTGTGTGTGTGTGTGTGTGTGTGTGTGTGTGTATGTGTATATATATACACATATATATTTCATTTTATTTAAGAAAGAATGTTCTTATAGAATCTTCCAATTTCATTTTGAAGTTCTGATTTTGAATGTTAGAAATAAAATATATTGAGTTGAATACATTTCAATTCTTTAATAGTACAGACTCTCTGAGGGGCCTTTTGTTCCTGACCAGTGTGAGACAGAAAGCTCAACATGCAGGCAGCTATGGAGGCAAAAATAAGGGCCCAAAACAAAATCTGAACAGGTTTAAAGGAGGTTACAGTCAGGAGACTCATATTAGAAAAATTATTTGGCTTATCTTCTATAAAATGCTTACAAATATAGATTATACTGATGTTCAATTTCATAACTACATACAGTAGGACAAATAAAATCTTGCCTATTTTTCTAAACATAGAAAAATGATCATTACATAATTGGATTATATGCACATAATGTTTTATTGTGCTTCACTTTATTCTGCTTCCCAAATAATGAGTTTTTCACAAATTGAAGGTTTGTGGCAGCCCTGTGTCCAGCAAGTCTATTGACACAATTTTTCCAACATATGCTAACTTTGTGTCTCTGCATCACATGTTAGTAATTGTGGCTCTGTATCACATTTTGGTAATTCTCACAATGTTTCAAATTTCATTGTAATTATTATACCTGTTATGGTGATCTGTGATTGATGGTCTTTGATATTACTATTGTAATTGTTTAGGGCACCATAAACTGCACCAATACAAGATAGTGAACTTAATGGCTAAACGTGTGTGTTCTGATTGTTCCACTCACTGACCATTCACCTGTCTTTCTATATCTTCTTGGGCCTCTCTATCTCCTGAAACACAATAATATTGAAATTAAGCCAATTAATAACCCAATGATGGCCTCCAAGTATTCAAGTGAAAGAGTCACATATCTCTAACTAAATCTAAAGCTAGAAAAGATTCAGCTTAGTGAGGAGAGCATGTCAAAAGCTGGATAGCCCAAAAGTTCGGTCTCTTATACCAAATAACCAAGCTGTGAATGTAAAGGAAAAGTTCTTGAAGGAAATTAAAAGTGAAACTCCGTGAAAACATGAATAATAAGAAAGCAATATAGCCTGATTGCTGATATGGAGAAAGTTTGAGTGGTCTGGATAGAAGATCAGAACAGTCAGAACATTCTCATAGGCTAAAGCCTAATACAGAGCAAGGTCCTAACTCTCTTAAATTCTATGAGAGCTGAGAGAGGTGATAAAGCTGAAGAAAAAAAGTTGGAAGCTAGCAGAGTTTGGATCATGAGGTTTAAGGAAAGAAGACATCTTCATGACAGAAAAGTGCAAGGTGAAGCAGCAAGTGCTGATGGAGAAGCTGCAGCAAGTTATCCAGAAGATCTAGCCAAAATAATTGATGAAAGTGGCTACATTAAACAACAAATTTTCAATGTAGATAAAATAGCATTGAAAGATGTCATCTAGGACTTTCCTATTTTGAGAGGAGAAGTCAATTCTTTGGCTTCAAAGCTTCAAAGGACAGGCTGACTTTCCTGTTGGAAGCTAATGCAGTTGGTGACTTCAAGTTGAAGTGAATGCTCATTTACCATTCTTAAAATTATAGGGCCCTTAAGAATAATGGGAAATCTATTTTGCCTGTTGCTCTATCAATGGTACAAAAAAGCCTGGATTGACAGCACATCTGTTTATAGCATGGTTTACTAAATATCTTAAATTCACCATTGAGATACACTGCTAAGAAAAAGGTTCCTTTCAAAATACTACTGCTCATTGACAATGCACCTAGTCACTCAGAGCTCTGGTGGAGGTATACTAGGAAATTCATGTTGTTTTCATGCCTGTTAACACAACATTCATTCTGCAGCCCATGGATCAAGGACTCATTTTGACTTCCAGGTCTTATTATTTAAGAAATACATTTCATAAGATTATAAATGACATAGATAGCAATTCCTCTGATGGATATGGACAAAGTAAATTGAAAGCCTTCTAGAGAGGATTTACTATTCTATATGCCATTATAAACATTTATTATTCATGGGAGGGGGTAAAAATAGCAACAGTAACAAGAGATAGGAAGAAGATAATTTTAACCTTCATGGATGACTTGGAGGGGGTTCAAGATTTCAGTGGAAAAAGTCACTGCAGATGGGGTGGAAATACCAAGACAACTAGAATTAGAAGTGGACCCTGACTGATTTCTGCAATCCCAGAAAAAAACTTGAATGGATGAGGTGTTGCTTCTTTTGCATAAGTGAAGAAAGTGGTTTCTCAAGATGGAATCTATTCCTGGTGAAGATACTATGAACATTGCTGAAATGACAATAAAGGATTTAGAATATTACATAAACTTAGTTGATAAAGCAGTGGCAGTTTTGAGAGGATTGACTCCAATTGTGAAAGAAGTTCTACTGGAGGAAAATGCTACTAAACAGTATCACAAGCCACAGAGAAATCTTTTGTGAAAGGAAGAGTCCATTAATGGGGCAAACTTCATTGCCATCTTATTTTAAAAAATTGTCACACCCACCCCAGTCTTTAGCAACCACTACCCAGATCAGTCAGCAGCCATCAACATTGAGGCAAGATCCTCCACTAGCAAAACGATTACAACTCACTGAAGGCTGAGATGACGTTAGCATCTTTTAGCAAAAAAGTATTTTAAAATTGAGGTATGTACCTTGTTTTTAGACATAATGCTGCTGCACAATTAATATACTGCAGTATAATATAACATTAATATAATAGTACAGTATAATATAACAAAACTTTTATATTCACTGAGAAACCACAAAATTTGTGTGACTCATTTTATTGTGATATTTGCCTTATTGTGGTAGTATGGAGCTGAACCTGTAATATTGCTGGAGGTATGCCTGTATTTACTTGTTCAAATAATTAGTACCAGTGAGCTAGAGTAATATTGGAGAGTAATTAAGAAATCATGTTCAAGTGATATTATAAATATAAAATCTATTTGTTACTTCAACAAATCCTTCAAAAGATAATTTGAAGCTATAAGAAAAATATAAACCTTTTAGCACAGTTGTGTAAAGTCTTATTCATTAAAAGGCAGTTGTGATTGGATCAACTCAGACAAGAAACTTAGACTCTCTTCGAATTACTTATGACTTAGCTTTGTATTTGCTACAAATGATCCATTCATAAAGTATATATGTTGAACTTAAGCATACTTGGTGTTGTGCAAAAGGATTAATGTATTATTTTTGAGTATGTGAATGATCACAACATGAAGAGCCTATTGCACACTATCCTCTGAACTATAATTTAGAATAAACACAATCTTTCCTTTTTATGCACAGGACTTTCAAATTCATTTAATTGCACATGAATCAGGAATATATGCAATTCTGAATTAATAAATATATTTATTCTACTTTCATGATTCTCTAAAAAATCTGTAACAATTCTAAAATTAGCTTTGACATCATAACATTGTTTTAATTTAATAATTCAGATTGATTGGCACAAATGTCAAAACAATCCCACATATCTTTCCTCGATGTGCAAGAAGTAATCCTGTATCTAGTAATTAATAATATCTTTCCTTGGTATTCTTCTCCTCAAGTAAATGAGAGAGTTAGATAATGAATCCTGGAAGTAGAAAAATGTGCCTGCCTGGAGGAGAAAAAAATACCCTAGATTTACAAATGATATGGAGAAACAGTGTTTTATGATCAGTGTGTATTGTAGTTGAGTGATGGACCTTTTACTCTGAGAGCATCAGCTTAATGTGAGGGTGTAAGCATTATACCCATAATCAACATGGAACCCAAAAGATGTAAATGTGTATGTCCTGCAAACACTCTCATGCACACACACACTCCTGTTCCATAAATTAATTCACAGTTTCAAGTTATTTTCTTTCTTTCCTTTCCTTTCCTTCTCTCTTTCTCTCTCTCTCTCTTCTCTCTCTCTCTCTCTCTCTCTCTCTCTCTTCTCTCTCTCTTTCTTTCTTTTTTTTGATGGTGTCTCACTCTGTCGCCCAGGCTGGAGTGCAGTGGTGTGATCTCGGCTCACTGCAACCTCTGCCTCCCAGGTTCAAGCAATTCTCTTGCCTCAGCCTCCCGAGTACCTGGGATTACAGGCATGCACCAACATGCCCGGCTAATTTCTGTATTTTCAGTAGAAACAGGGTTTCGCCATGTTAGCCAGTCTGGTCCTGAACTCCTGACCTCAGGAAGTTAAATTTCATTGCATATAGTTTAAACCCATGGTTCTCAAACTGTGTGCTGAGACACTGAGTCACTGGAATGAACTCACAAGGTCATTGCACGATATTTCAAATATTCAAGGAAAGAGGGCAATACTTCACATCTGTCAGGAATTACATGGGCTACTAGCTTGAGGTAGTTCACAGTTTGAATATTGTGAATGATAGTGCTACATTCCTTTCAGTGATGCCATATCTTTGCAAAGTTGGTTTTTTGGTGGTTGCTTTGAGAATAAAATGACTACCACATAAAATCAGTGTGGAACAGAAAATGAGGGTGGCATGTAGCCTGATGCCAAGATTTGCGAATTTTGTGTGTCCCAAAGGCTCACACGTCTTATGAATAATTGCTGTTGAGAATGAGATAAAAATATTTTCTCTATTATTTTTTCAAAGGCTACTAAGCTATTAGTATATAAATATGTATTGGTTGTTTAGACTTAACTACTTAATACATAGGATGGTTATGTATTTCTTTGGGCCTAGAGGTGCTGTGAAAAGATTACTCAGGCATTCAGGGTGCTGTGAAAATTTGAGAATCTTTGGATCAGCATTTATTTTTATAGTAACAGCCAAAGTCATTTTGTGTTAAATTAAAATTTTCAGTACCATAAATATTTCCCAAATGAAAGTTCTTTGTGAATGAAAAGAAATTTTTGTTTTACATCACTTCCTATTTGGGAATGCTTTAAAAAAATGACAAAAGGTAAGTGACCCTTGCAGCAACAGAATGTGAGATAAATTCCTAGCCTTTCCTATTTTCTCCTCTCCAAGTGGGCATCTGGCATTTAGGGAGGTTTAGCATATCCCAGCCCTAAGCCCTGCATGCCCCCAAGTAGGCAGCAACTCCAATCGTACCATGGGAGTTCAGAGTGGCGCGGCAGCCCTCCAGTGTGAAGCCAAAAGGGGGAAGCCAGCGATGGGGCCCTGACGCTGAGGTGACCAACAGATCTCTTGCTTCCTATCTTTCGCAGTTACCTGGATTCCTCGCGTCCATTTTCTGGTAGTCCTGGGCCACCACAGTAAGAGGCCACAGGCCTACAAAGGCCTTAGAGCTAACCAGTCTACTTCTGAAGCTGGTGAAGATCTCTGCCCATGAACAATAGCTAAGTCTGAGGCTATGTGACGGCCATTGTTTTTCTCTGTAGCTATGAACCCCTTCAAAGGCACTGTGAGAAACACTCGTTTGTACCTTGAGGGCGCTGTCTTGAGCCTGCAGGAGGTTTGCTAAGTGGATAGGCGGCTGAGGTCTCTGGATCGCTGACAAGTCTGAGGCCACCACAGGGAAGTGGCCCCAGGTAGCTGAGGAGTCGGCAGTGGGCGGGAGGAAGGCGGGAGGGGTGCTGGGAGGGTGACGGGCGGGGCAGGGCGCGGGCTGGGGCTTGATGAGGCGGGTGGAGTGGGTGGAGGTGCAGCACGCTGAGGAGGCACAAAGTGCTTCAGGAGCTGAGTCCGACTGAGGCAGAAGCACAGGTGAGTCGCCTTGGGGCAGCAGGAGGGGCTTGGGCAAGGGTTGGGGTGCAACTTGGGGACTTTTTTTTTTTTTAATACTTATACTTCATAGATTGTATGTACCTTTCAGGCAATGCTTATATGGGGAAAATATGTGTGTACATTCCGCAAACTCAATGCAACGTTTTTAAATAAAAGGATGTACAGTAAAAAGTCTGGAGTTATTTCAGAGTGACAGAAGATCAGAATACCGTGTAGACTTTTCGGAAAGCCACAATCTTGGGCATTTTGAATGCTGCTGGCTCCAGCTGGGGCGTCACTGCATCGTACTCAGTGTGACCCCCACTCTGTCATTGTGTGCTGGTCCTGAACTGTTTCTACAATGCCTTTGTATTTAGGCCTTGTTTTGCCTAAAACTGTGTAATAAGAAAATATTGAAAAAAATAGACAAGATGATAGTGAAATGGCAAAGCCACTGAGAAAAACAAGTGGAAAAGATGTTACTTCATAGAAAGTTTTTAAACAAGCATATTAATGATGTTTAGTGATCAGAAAGAGACGTTTTGAACATTTTAATCCCCAAACGATTCTCTGTTAGTTATAAATAGGCACAGTGTTACTGCTTCAGTTTCTATTTAGGAAGTCGACTGTGGATTTTTCTAATTTGGAATAATATAGGTTGGTGAGCATTTGTGCATACACATTCAATTTTCGGGAACAGATTACTGGTATTAAGTACGAGATGCTTTTAGTAAATTATTTAATCCTTACTATCCCATAAGATAGATGCTATTATTTGGATCCATTTCGTAGACTGGAAAACTAAGATTCAGAGAAATTAATTTGCCAAGGTCACACAGATAGACAAGGGCAGTGCCAGGATTGAATCCAAGAGACCTAACCCCAGTGTTTATGTTCTTAACCACAACTCTGTGAAGTCTCTCAAGACTCCTTTCCAAATGGTTCTCTATTAAATCCCTAGAAGAGACAGCAGCCATGACAGTGGCTTTCAACTGTAAGAACCCAGCGTCTGAAGAATATTTTCTTTTCTTTGTCCTTGCAGGATGTGCTTATTCTTTCTCCCTCACCGATTCCTTCCATGTGATTTTGGAATAAAACCTTTCAGGTGAAGAGCTCCCAGAAAGCTTTGCTCATGTGTAAGCAGAGGATACTCGTGCTCTGCTTCTTGATAATTGTTAGTATGTTTATTCAGGGCAACAGATCCTTAGAAACAGTGAAGTTGTAGGTAGCAAGTATTTTAGACTTTGCCGTCCATATGGTTTATGTCACAAGGACTTAACTTTGTTGTTGTAGGGTGTATTAGTCCATTCTCATACTGCTATAAAGAACTGCCTGAGACTGGGTAATTTATAAAGGAAAGAGGTTTAATTGATTCACAGTTCCTCGTGGCGGGGGAGGGCTCAGGAAACTTACAATCATAGTGGAAAGGGAAGCAGGCACCTTCTTCACAAGGTGGCAGGAGAGAGAAGTGCAGAGTGAAGGGGGAAGAACCCCTTATAAAACTATCAGATCTTGTGAGAACTCACTATCATGAGGACAGCACAGGGGAACTGCCTCTGTGATCCAGTCACCTGCCACAAGGTCCATCCTCCAACACGTGAGGATTACAATTCTGATTGCAACTCAAGATGAGATTTGGATGGAGACACAGAGCTAGACCATATCATAGGGTGAAAGCAGCCATAGGCAATATGTAAATGAATGAGGCGTGGCTGGTTTCCAAGACAACTACTTACAAAAGCAGTGGCCCGCTGCATTTGGCTTGTGGGCCTGGCTATATTTTGCCAACCCCTGGTCTAGACTCTAATTTCTATTAATAGATCATTTTTCTGGATAACAGTCAAAGTATATTATTTGGATGTTCTGTGTCAGGCACTGCATACGTACATTATATGGACTCATTTGTTACAGTATATAAGGCAAGTATTTTGAAAACCCTGTTTTACAGGGAAGGAAATAAAAATATACAGAAACGAAGTTTACTCACATACAGGCATACTTCAATTGCGCTTTGCTTGATTACACTTTGCAGATACTGCGTTTTTTATAAATTGAAGGTCTGTGGCAACCCTGCATTGAGAAAGTCTATTGACACGATTTTTCCGTCAGTGGGTGCTCATTTTGTGTCTCTGTGTCACATTTTGGTAATTTTCACAATATTTCAAACTTTTTATTATTATATCTGTTATGGGGATCTGTGATCAGTGATCTCTGATGTTACTATTGTAATTGTTTTGAGGTGCCATTAACTGCATCCTTTTAATACAGCAAACTTAATAAATGTTGTGTGTGTTCTGACTGCTCCACTGACCAGCTGTTCCCTGTCTCTCTCCCTCTGCTTGGGCCTCTGTATTTGCTGTGACACAACAATATTGAAATTAGATCAATTAATAACCTTATAATGGCCTCTGAATGTTCAAGTGAAAGGAAGAGTTACAAGCCTGTTAAAATCAAGAGCTATAAATGATTAAGCTTAGTGAGGAAGGCATGTGGAAAGCTGAGATAGGCCAAAAGCTAGGTTTTTTGCACCAAATAGTCAAATTGTGAATGCAAAGGAAAAGTTCTTGAAGGAAATTAAAAATGTTACTGCAGTGAACACATAAATGATAAGAAAGCAAAAGAGCCTTATTGCTTATATGTTGAAAGTTTGAGTGGTCTGGATAGAAGACCAAACCAGCCACAGCATTCTCTTAGGCCCCAAGTCCTATCTAGAGCAAGGTCCTAACTCTCTTCAATTCTATAAGGGCTAAGAGAGGTGATAAAGCTGAAGGAAAAAAGTTGGAAGCTAGCAGATGTTGGTTCACGAGGTTTAAGGAAAGGAGACATCTTTATAACACAAAAATATAAGGTGAAGCAACAAGTGCTCATGGAAAAGCTGCAGCCAAGTTATCCAGAAGATCTAGCTAAGATCACTGTTGAAGGTGGCCACACTAAATCAGATTTTTAGTGTAGATGAAACAGCTTTCTAATAGAAGATGCTATCTAGGATTTTCCTAGCTAGAGAGAAGTAGTCAATTCCTGGCTTCAAAGGACACACTGATTCCTGTTAGGGGCTAATGCAGCTGGTGACTTCAAATTGAAGCCAGTGCTCATTTACCATTCTTAAAATTCTAGGGCCCTTAAGAATAATGGAAAATCTACTCTGCCTGTGCTCTGTAAATGGAACAACAAAGCCTGGATGACAGCACATCTGTTTATAGCATGGTTTACTGAATAAGCCTACTGTTAAGATCCACTGCTCAGAAAAAAAGATTGCCTTCAAAATATTACTGTTCATTGACAATGCACCTCATCACCCAGAGCTCTAATGGAGATGTACAAGGAGAATCATGTTGTTTTCATGCCTGCTAACACAACATCCATTCTACAGCCCTTGGATCAAAGAGTCATTTGGCTTTCAAGTTCTGTCATTTAAGAAATACATTTTGTAAGGCTATAGCTGCCATAGATAGTAATTTGAGTCTGGGAAAAGTAAATTGAAAACCTTCTGGAGATGATTCATCATCTATATGCCATTAAGAACACTCATGATTCATGGGAGGAGATCAAAATATCAATAGTTACAGGAATTTGGACAAAGTTTATTTTAACACTGATGGATAACTTGAAGGGGGTTCAAGATTTTAGTGGAAAAACTCACTGCAGATGGAGTGAAAATAGTAAGAGAACTAGAATTAGAAGTGGAGCTTGAAGATATCACTGAATTGCTGCAATCTTAGGATAAAACTTGAATGGACAAGGTGTTGCTTATTTTGGATGAGCAAAGAAAATGGTTTCTTGAGATGGAATCTATTCCTGGTGAAGATGCTGTGAACATTGTTGAAGTGACAATAAAGGATTTAGAATATTGCCTAAATTTATTTGATAAAGCACTGGAAGTTTTAGAGGATAGACTCCAATTGTGAAAGAAATTCTACTGTGGGTAAAATACTACTAAACAGTATCACATGCTACAGAGAAATCTCTCGTGAAAGGAAGAGTCCATTGATAGGGCAAACTTTGTTGTCTTATTTTAAGAAATTGCCACAGCCACCCCAACAACCACTTCAACAACCACTACCCAGATTAGTCTGCTGCCATCAACATTGAGGTTAGATCCTCCACCAACAAAACAATTAAAACTTACTGAAGGCTGAGATGATTGTTAGCATCCTTTAGCAATAAAGTATTTTAAAATTAAGATATGTACATTTTAAAGACATAATGTTATTGTCTTTAAAAATTAATAGACTATAGTATAGTGTAAACATAACTTATGAGAAACCAAAAGGTTCGAGTGACTCATTTTATTGCAATATTTGCTTTATTGTGGTAGCCTGGAACCGAACCCACAATATCTTAGAGGTATGCCGGTGTCTCACAAGTAGGGCTGGAATTTCAGGGAATTTGCTCTTAAATACTACATTCTACTAATTGGTCAAAACAGTTACTTGTGTTTTAACTCTTCCAGTATTATTTTCATTTCATTATTCATTCTTATATACTTGGAAATTTATGTTACCATTCTAGTTATCCATATTACTTTTTGAGTCTGCAGTTGTTGCTGTTTTTGTTGTTTTTAGTCTGCAGTTTCTGTCTTAACATTTCTGTTCTGAGTCTTTAAATTTAAATAAAAATCCTGATTGCCCATTTTGCATCTGATGCTTAGCATGTAGTCATTAATATTTATATAGGCTACATGGATTATAATACCATCTGTTTATGGCTATGAACATAAAAGGTCTAATGACTTTGAAGAATACTTAAGAGCAATATCCAAGAATTTGGGAGGTAGGTACTTTTGGAACCACTTGACAAAACTATAATAGAAGATGCAGAGACAAGATCACTTCTCTCTGCACAAGAGTAACGAAGACAAAAGACCAT